>NC_000011.10:109899697-110202727 GCF_000001405.40 Homo sapiens
AGCCATGTTATGGAATCAACCTGTTTCCATCAAGGGATAAAGAGGCAAAGAAAATGTGGTATACATGCATAATGAAATACTCTTCAGCTTTGAAAAACAAAGAAATTCTGTCATTTGCTGCAACAGAGAGGAGACTGGAGAATATTATGCTAAGTAAAATAAGCTAAACACAGACAAAGTTTTCACATACATGTGGAATACAAAACAATTAAACCCATAGAAGTAGAGAATAGAATGGTAGTTACCAGAGGCTGCAAGGTAGGGGGAATGCGAAGATGGCAGACAAAGGTTACAAAGCCACAGTTAGGTAGGAAGGATAAGTTTAATTTTTTTCAGATCAGTAACACAACATGTTGCATATAGCTAACAATTGAATATTGAATGCTTCTATATCACTGAGGCAATAAATTTCTAATTTTTTCAACACAAAAAAATGCTAAATATTTGAGGTGATAGATATGTTATTAGCTTAATTTAATCATTCCACACTATATTCAAAAATTACAACACAGCTTTGTGCCTCATAAATATATACGACTATAATTATTCAATATACAATGACATTTTTTAAAATGAAGGAGAAATACAGACTTTCCCAGACAAACTGAAGCTGAGGAAGTTCATCAGCACTAGACTTGCCTTAAAAGAAATGCTAAAGGGAGTTCTTCAAGTTAAAACAAAAAAAATGCTATCACGCTTGTAACCCCAGCACTTTGAGAGGCAAAGATGGAAGGATCACTTGAGGCCAGGGGTTCAAGAGCAGCCTGGGCAACATAGGCAGACCCCATCTCTACAAATACTTTTTTAGAAAATTAGCTAGGCCAGATGTGGTAGCTCACACCTGTAATTCCAGCACGTTGGGAGGCTTAGGTGGGTGGATCATTTGAGGCCAAGAGTTTGAGACCAGCTTAGACAACATGGTGAAACCCCATCTCTATTAAAAATACAAAAATTAACTGGGTATGGTGGTGCATCCCTGTAGTCCCAGCTACTCAGGAGACTGAGGCACAGGAATCATTTGAGCTCTGGAGGCAGAGGTTGCAGTGAGCCAAGATCATGCCACTGCACTGCAGCCTGGTCAACAGAGCAAGAAAGGAAAAGAGAGGAGAGGAGGGAGAGGGAGAGGGAGAGGGAGAGGCAATTAGCCAGGCATTGTAGGACATGCCTGTGATCCCAGCTACTCAGGATGCTGAGGTGGGAAGATTGCCTGAACCTGGGAAGTTGCATTAGTCCATTTTCATGCTACTGATAAAGATATAACTGAGACTGGGAAATTTACAAAGTAAAGAGGTTTAATTGGACTTACAGTTTCACGTGGCTGGGGAAGCCTCACAATCATGGCAGAAGGCAAGGAGGAGTAAGTCCCATCTTACATGGATTGCAGCAGGCAAAGAGAAAATGAGGAAGACGCAAAAGCAGAAACCCCTGATGAAACCATCAGATCTCATGGGACTTATTCACTAATACCACAAAAACAGCATGGGGGAAACTACCGCCATGATTCAATTATCTCCCACCGGGTCCCTCCCACAACATGTGGGAATTATGGGAGTCCAATTCAAGGTGAGATTTGGGTTGGGACACAGAGCCAAACTGTATCATTCTGCCCTGGCCTCTGCCAAATCTCATGTCCTCACATTTCAAAACCAATTATACCTTCCCAACAGTCCCCCAAAGTCCTAACTCATTTCAGCATTAACTTAAAAGTCCACAGTCCAAAGTTTCATTTGAGATAAGGCAAGTCCCTTCTGCCTATGAGCCTGTAAAATAAAAAGCAAGGTAGTTATTTCCTAGATACAATGGGGCTACAGACATTGGGTAAACACAGCCATTCCAACTGGCCAAAACAAAGGGGCTTCAGACCCCATGCATGTCTGAAATCCAGCAGGGCAGCCAAATCTTAAATCTCCAGAATGATCTCCTTTGACTCCATGTCTCACATCCAGGTCATGCTGATGCAACAGGTGGGTTCTCATTGTCTTGGGCAGCTCCACCACTGTAGCTTTGCAGGGTACAGCCTACCTCTTGGCTGCTTTCACAGGCTGGCATTGAGTGTTTGCAGCTTTTCCAGGCACACAGTGCAAGCTGTCAGTGGATCTACCATTCTAGGGGCTGGAGGACAATGGCCCTTTTCTCACAGTTCCAGTAGGCAGTGCCCCAGTAGGTAGGGACTCTGTGTGGGGCCCCAACCCCACATTTCCCTTCCACACTGCCCTAGCAGAGGTTCTCCATGAGAGCCCCACCACTGCAGCAAACTTCTGCTTGGACATCCAGGCATTTCCATACATCCTCTGAAATCTAGGCAGAGGTTTGCAAACCCCAATTCTTGACTTCTGTGCACTGGCAGGCTCAACACCATGTGGAAGCTGCCAAGGCTTGAGGCTTGCACCCTCTGAAGGCACAGCCCAAGGTCTACGTTGGCTGGAGCAGCTGGGATGCAGGGCACCAAGTTCCTAGGCTGCATGCAGCACAGGGATCCTGGGCATGGTCCAGGAAACCATTTTCTCCTAGGCCCCCAGGACTGTGATGGGAGGGGCTGCCATGAAGACCTCTGACATGCCCTAGAGACATTTTCCCCATTGTCTTGGGGATTAACATTAGGCTCATTACTTATGCAAATTTCCACAGCCAACTTGAATTTCTCCTCAGAAAAGGAGTTTTTCTTTTCTATCACATTATCAGGCTGCAAATTTTCTGAACTTTTATGCTCTGCTTTTCTTATAAAACTGAATGCCTTTAAAAGCACCCAAGTTACATCTTGAATGATTTGCTTCTTAGAAATTTCTTCTGCCAGATACCCTAAATCATCTCTCTCAAGTTCAAAGTTCCACTAATCTCTAGGGCAGGGGCAAAATGCTGCCAGTTTCTTTGCTAAAACATAACAAGAGTCACCTTTGCTCCATTTCCCAACAACTTCCTCATCTCCATTTGAGGCCACCTCACCTGGATTTCATTGTCCATATCATTATTAGCATTTTGGTCAAAGCCATTCAACACTGGAACTCTAGGGAGCTCCAAACTTTCCCACATTTTCCTGTCTTCTCCTGAGCCCTCCAAACTGTTCCCACCTCTGCCTGTTACCCAGTTCCAAAGTTGCTTCCACATTTTCAAGTATCTTTTCAGCAGTGCCCCACTCTACTGGTACCAATTTACTGTATTAGTCCATTTTCACGTTACTGATAAAGACATAACCAAGACTGGGCAATTTACAAAAAAAAAAAAAAGAGGTTTAATTGGACTTACAGTTCCACGTGGCAGAAGGCAAGGAGGAGCAAATCCCATTTTACATGGATGGCAGCAGACAAAGAGAGAATGAAGAAAATGCAAAAGCTGAAACCCCGATAAAACCATCAGATCTCATGAGACTTATTCACTACCACAAGAACAGTATGGGGAAAACTGCCACCATGATTCAACTATTTCCCATAGGGTCCCTCCCACGACATGTGGGAATTATGGGAGTCCAATTCAAGATGAGATTTGGGTGGAGACACAGAGCCAAACTATATCAGAAGTTGAGGCTGCAGTGAGTCATGATCATGCCACTGCGCTCCAGCCTGGGTGACAATGTGGGACCTTATCTCAAGAAAAAAAAACAAAATGTGCTAAACAGTAACACAGAAGCATATATGAAAGTCTAAAACACACTAGCAATGGTAAATATGTAGACAGACACAGAATACTGTACTACTGTAACAGTGGTGTGTAAATCACTTAATGCTGGCATAAAAGTTCAAAGACAATGTATTAAAAATAATTATAACCATAAATATATGTTAGTTGATACAGAATATAAATAGATGTAAACAGATATCATTTTATGAGTAGCATTACTAACTTAAAGTATAGGAAGAGAGAGTGTAGAGTTATATGCAATTGAAGTTAAGTTGCTATCAGCCTAGAATAGACTGTTTTAACTATAACATGCTTCATGTAAGCCCCATGGTAACCACAAAGAAAATACCTATACAAAATACACAAAGAAAAATAGAAAAGAAAGCATATCACTACAAAAAAATTCAATGAAGTATGAAGGAAGATATAGCAAGAGGAAAAAAGAGGTATGAAAGAATTACCAGACAGACAGAAAATAATTCACAAAATGGCAATAGTAAGTCCTTTTCAATAAAAAATTACTTTAAATATAAATGGATTGAACTCCCTAATCAAAAGACACAGAGTGGCTGAAGGGATTAAACAATAAGATCCAGGCCAGGCATGGTGTCTCACGCCTGTAATACCAGCACTTTGGGAGGCTGAGGTGGGCAGATCACCTGAGGTCAGGAGTTCGAGACCAGCCTGGCCAACAAAGTAAAACCCCGTCTCTACTAAAAATACAAAAATTAGCTGGGCATTGTTGTGGGCACCTATAATCCCAGCTACTCAGGAGGCTGAGGCAGGAGAATTGCTTGAACGCGGGAGGTGGAGGTTGCAGTGAGCCGAGATCACGCCATTGCACTTCAGCCTGGGCAACAAGAGTGAGACTCCATCTCAAAAAAATTTTTAATTAAAAAAAAATCCAACTATATGCTGACTATGAGGGACTCACTTTAGATTTAAGGACACACCCAGGCTGAAGCTAAAGGGTTGGGAAAACAGTGTTCTATCAAGTGGTGACCAAAACAGAAAAGGAGCAGTTATATTAGAAAAAATAAATTTTAAATCAAAAACTATCACAAAAGACCAAGAAGAACATCCTATAATGATAAAATGATCAGTCCTCCAGGAAAATGTAACAATCGTAGATCTATATACATCCAACACCAGAACACCTAAATATATAAAGCCAGCATTGACATAACTGAAGGCAGAAATAGACAATAATAAATAATAGAAGATTTTAATACCCCATTTTCAGTAACAAATAAATATGAGACAGAAAATCAATAAGAAAGCAACAGACTTGAACAATACCATAGATTGAAAAGGCATAAACAAAACATTTCACCCAATAGCAGCAGAATAGACATTCTTCTTAAGTGCATGTGGATCTTCCTCCAGAATATAAATCACTGTTAAGCCCCAAAACAAGTATTAACAAATATAAAAAGATTGAAATCATAACAAGTATCTTTTCTGACCACAGTGGAAAGAAACTAGAAATCAACAGCAGAAGGAAACCTGAAAAATTCACAAGTATATGTAAATTAAACATCTAACCCATGAACAACCAATGAGTCAAAGAAGAAATCAGATATTAGCAAATTTCTTGAGACAAACAAAAACACAACATAATAAAAGTCATGAAATGTAGTAACAAAAGCAATTCTAAGAGGAAAGTGTATAGTTATAAATGCTAACATTTAAAAAGAAGAAAGATCTCAGATAAACTAACTTTACACCTCACGGAACTAGAAAAAGAATAACAAACTATCCCCAAAGTTAGCAGAAGGAAGAAAATAATAGAGATTTAGGGCAGAAATAAGTAAAATAGAGAAGAGAAAAACAGTTTTAAAAGTCAACAAAACTAAGAGGTTTTTTTTGACAAAATTAACAAAATTGACAAATCTTTAGCTACTAAGAAAAAACAAGAGAAGACCCAAATAAGTAAAATCAGAAATGAAAAAGAAGACATTACAACTGATTTCATGGAAATAAAAAAGAACATAAGAGAATACTATAAATAATTATACACCAAAAAATGGATAATCTAGAAGAAATGGGTAAATTCCTAAAAACATACAACTTAACAAAACTGAATCATGAAGATACAGAAAATCTGAACAGACTTATATAGTAAGGAGATTGAATTAGTAACCAAAAGCCTCCCAACAAAGAAAAGCCCAGGACCAGATGACTTCACTGATGAATTCTACTAAGCATTTAAAGAAGAATTAACACCAATCTTTTTCTTAATTTTAAGAAAAATTAAAGATGAGGGGACATATTCAAACTCATTCCAGAATTACCCTGATACCAAGCTGAAGACACTACAAACTATAGGCCAATATGTTTGATGAACACAAATGTAAAAATCCTCCACAAAATACTAGCAAAGAAAATTCAATAGCACTTTAAAAGAATAATATACCATGATCAACTGGGATTCATCTCTAGGATGCAAGAATGGTTCAACACACAAAAATCAATCAATGTGACATGCCACATTAACAGAATGAAAGATAAAAAAATACATCATCATCTCAATACATGCAGAAAAGCATTCAATAAAATTCAACAATCATTCATTATACAATTCTCAAGAAACTAGAAATAGAAATTTGTTGTGTGTGTATTCCAATAAAACTTTCTTTATGGACACTAAATACATTAATTTTCATGTATCATAAAAGTATTTTTTTAACCATTTAAAATTTAAACCCAATTTTTAGCTCACAGGCCATAAAAAGCAAGCAGCACGCTGGATTTGGCCCACAGACCATAGCTGGCTATATCTTATACAGGCTTTTATTTGTTATGCAAAATGTTTCAAATTCCAGAGACTTTGGAGAGTTTTATTTTTTAGATTTCTCATTTTAAAATTTATACAACACAAGTTTTCTTTCTGGATAAATATACTCACGAGAGATAAAATAATTCAGAAAAAAATACAAAGCCTTACTTAAAAAAGGGAAAAGCTGTGAAACAAAATGTTTGATCTTAAAACATACAATTAGGAAATGTAAAATTAAAGATGAAAATTGTTATGCTACGCAACATAAAACAATATGCAAAGATCTAGTACATAATTTCTTAGTTTTTACTTTAGGAAAAAGGCAACAAGAAAAAAGGTTTATAAATTTCTCAGCCTCTTTTATAAAAAGCTGCAACTGAAACCAGCAATCACTTACATGTACAACCATCAGCCCTGAATATAATATGAATTATACCTAGGAACTGAAATTTACCTAGATGAGTTCTGGCTGTTTTTTTAAAAATGCACAATCACAGAACACTGTGGCTTCCACAATTTGTGACAATTGTGAAAAGGAAACTCCTAACTCCATAATACAAGTAAACAACAATACTCTTTCCATAGTTGTCATCCAGTATAAAGAAAATTTCACAGCCTGATTTAGCTTTATCAAAGGTAAAATGATTCACTGCTACATTTGCATGGATTACTTTGATCCTCAGTAGTTCCTAAACACAAAACAAATTTTGCATAAACCTTTATCTGTTTGGGTTTTCCAAATCTAGATACTAATATGTATTAAACTGACAGGAGTCCACAGTCTAAAGAAAAATAAATTAAATATAAAATGTTTACCAACTTTATCCTTTCTAATTTTATAGTAGCTTCAGGTATTGAGACCTAATTGGTTTCTTGTGCCTATCCATCATGAACACAACTCAATCTTCTATTTTAACACTCCTCATTGCCAAATTTCGGTGGTTGCTTCATTTCAAGATGTATAAAATCATTTTGTCCAACTTCAATCATTTGTTCTTCCCAAGACTTCATTTCATTATCATAATGAATTTTATCATCTTTAGCAAGCTGAATGTATACTTGTTTTGAGAACTAGACAGATTTTTCCAGTTTTCATTTACAGTCTTCAGCTTTGCCTGTGATGAACCATCCTTAGCTTCTTGGAAGCTTTCAGATACAAAAATGTTGTAAGCTGAGCAAGATCTTTCTGGTTTTCCAAGCATTATTAGCTTTCTCTTTTTTATTAACGCTTTCTTTTTTTAAAGTTTTTGCATGATTTCTTTTCCAAAGATATTATCTGACTTGGAGTTAGCTGTTCCTGAATTCTGTTTATCTCTTCTCTGAATGCCTGCCAGACTGCCCTGTTAGCATCTTCATATATTTTTTTCTCTGAATCAGCAAGTTCTCTCCATAGCTCAGTGATTCTTTTAATTAGTTCTGAATTTTTTGCATCTGGGTTCTGAACTTTAAATATGAGTAGCTGTTCTTTCAAAAATCGAAGGTAAGACACCATAGGTTTCTTCAGATAACTAGCTAAGGTGGATGAAAACCATTTCAGTAAATACACAAAACTGAAAGGTAAGCACAGTCAACTTCCACAGCCAGTGCACAGCTCCACTCTGGACCTTCACTGGGCACTCAGCATGCCCCACATGCTTCGAAGAAGGCCATCGCACTGGCAAATGAGGCAGTGACTGAGCCCCAATCTCGGAGAGCCTCCTGGCACAGAAAAACCCCTGCAGTGACAACTAGAACCCTCATGCGACCCTCCTTTCTTTATTATCATACCTGCCACTTGAAAGGCACTATGGTAAGTCTGGAATAGAAAGAAATTACCTCAACATATAAATGTCATCTGTGAAAAGCCCACAGCTAATATCATACTCAATAATAAGAAAAAATTGGAAAGCTTTTCTTCTAAGATCAGAAACAAAGCACTGAAGCCTACTCTTCCATTCAACATGGTACTAGATGCCTTAGCCAGAGCAATTCGACCAGAAAAAGAAATAAAGGGCATCTAAATTGTAAAGTGTGTTAATCTGTTCTGGTGGCGCTATAAACACATACATAAGACTGGGTAATTTATAAGGAAAAGAGGTTTAATTGGCTCATAGTTCTACAGGCTGTACAGAAAGCATGATGCCAGCATCTTCTTGGCTTATGGTGAGAACTCAAGGAGCTTTTACTCATGATAAGTGAAGGCAGATTAGGCATATCACGTGGTGAGAGTGGGAATAAGAGAGAGAGAGAAGGGGTGCCACACCCTTTTAAACAACCAAATCTTGGGTGAACTCAGAGCTAGAACATACTCATCATCAAGGGGATGGTGCTAAGCCATTCATAAGGGATCCTCCCCGATAATCCAAACACCTCCCACCAGGGCCCACCCCCAGTACTGAGGATTACATTTCAAGGAGAGATTTGAGGGGACAAACATCTAAACCAAATCAGAAAGAAATAAGTAAAATCTTCTCTGTTTGCAGACAGTGTTATCTTGTAGAAAACTTTAATGATGCTACCAAAAAAATACCTTATAACTAATAAAATAATTTGGTAAAGTTGCAGAATACAAAGTCAACATATAAAACATATCAACATATAAAACATATCAACATATAAAATCCTGTTGTGCTTCTATACACTAACAACAAACTACCCAAAAAATTTTTAAGAAAACAATTTCATGTACAATGGCATCAAAATAATAAAATATTTAGGCATAAATTTAACCAAGGAGGTGAAAGACATACACTGAAAACTACAATTCACTGTTGAAACAAATTAAAGAAGACACAAATAAATGGAAAGACATTCCACGTACATGAATTACAAGACTTAAAATTGTTAAACGTTCATACTACCCAAAGTTATCTACAGAGTCAATGCAATCCCTATACAAATCCCAAATGAATTTTTTAAGTTGATATATAATTGTATATATTTTTGGGGTGTATGTGATATTTTGATACATGTATACAATATGTAATGATCAAATCAGGGCAATTGGGATATCCATCACCTCAAACATTTATCTTTTCTTTGTGTTATTATTTTCAATTATTCTCTTCTAGCTATTTTTTGGTTTTTCTTTTGTTTTTGTTTATTTTTCTTTTAGCTATTTTGAAATATACAATCAATTATTAACTAAACTCTCCTTATTGTACTATCAAATATTATAACTTACTCCTTCTATCTAACTATATTTTTGGTTTTGTTTCTTTTTTCTTTGTTCGTTTGTGTGTACATGTGTTTCTTAAGACAAAGTCTTGCTCTGTCACCCAGGCTGGAGTACAGTGGTGCAATCTTAGCTCACTGCAACCTCCACCTCCCAGGCTCAAGCCATCCTCCCACCTCACCCTCTCAAGTAGCTGGGACTACAGCTGTGCACCACAATTTCCAGCTAATTTTTGTATGTTTTTGTAGAGACAAGGTTTTGTCATGTTGCCTATGCTTATCTCGAACTCCTGAGCTCAAGGAATCCACCAGCCTTGGCCTTCCAAAGTGCTGGGATTACAGGCGTTAGCCAGTGCACCTGGCCCTAACTGTATTTTTGGACCCATTAGTCAACCTCTCTTCATCCTCCCCACTTTCTAGCCTCTGGTATTCAATATTGTACTCTCTATCTCCATGAGATCCATTTTTTTAGCTCTCACGTATGAGTGAGAGTATGTGATATTTATCTTTCTGTGCCTGGCTTATTTCATGTACCATAATGACCTCCAGTTCCATTCATGTTGCTGCAAATTACAAGACATCATTATTTTTATGCTTGAATAATATATTTCATTGTTGTATGTATCACATTTTCTTTGTGCATTCATCTGTTGATGAATACTTAGGTTGATTCCATATCTTGGCTATGGTAAATAGCGCTGTAATAAACATGAGAATGCAGATGTCTTTTCGACATACTGCTTTCCCTTCTTTTGGATATATACTCAGCAGTAGGATTGCTGGATCATATGGTAGTTCTATTTTAAGTTTTTGAGGACTCTCCATACAATTTTCCATAGTGGCTGCATTTTCTTCACATTCCCAACAACTGTATAAAAGCCCTCACCTTTCTCCATATTCTCACCAGCACCCATTATTTTTTGTCTTTTTGTTAACAGTCATTTTAACTGGGCTGAGAATATTTCATGGTAGCTTTGATTTGCATTTCCCAGATTATTAGAGACACTGAGCATTTTTTTCTTATACCTGTTGGACATTTGTATGTCTTCTTTTGAAATCAACTGACTTTTTTACAGAAATAGAAAAAAAATCCTAAAATTCATATAAAACCACAAAGGAACTAGAACAATCTTGAGAAAAAAAAAAGAACAAAGCTGGAGTATCATATCAAAGTATAATATCAGAATTGGAGCATCATATCAAAATACATTACAAATCTATTTGTACTAGTACTGGCATCAAGACAGAACAATGGAACAGAATAGAGAACTCAGCAATAAATCCACACATATAGAGTCAATTGATATTCAACATGAGTGTCAAGAATATATGACAGGGTAATAATTGTCTCTTCAATAAATGGCGTTTGGGAAAACTGGATATTTACATGCACAATAATGAAATCGGACCTTTATATTAGACCATACACAAAAATAAACTCAAAATGGATTTAAGACTTACATTTAAGACCCCAAACTGTAAAAGTTCTAGAAAGAAAAAAACACACAAGGGAAAATCGTCATGACATTGGTCTTGGCAATGGTTTCAAGGATATAACACCAAAAGCACAGTCAACAAAGAATAAACAAGTGCAGTCAACAAAGAATAAACAAGTGAGACTACATTAAACTAAAAAGCTTCTGCACAGCAAATGAAGTAATCAACAGAGTGAAGGGATCACATACAAAATGGGAGAAAATATTTGCAAACCACATATCTATGAATGGGTTAATATCCAAAATATATAAGGAACTTCTACAACTCAATAGTTTAAAAAAAAAACTAAAAACCTGATTCAAAAATTGACAAAGGACATAAATAAACATTTTTCTAAAGACATATAAATGACTAACAAGTACATGAAAAAATGTTCAACATCTTTAATCACCAGGGAAATACAAATGAAAACCAGAATCAGATAGCTAACACCTCACACTTATTAAAATGACTTTTATCAAAAACTAGAAACAAAAGATAACAAGTGTTAGTGAAGACATGGAGAAACTGGAACCCCTGTAAACTATTTTGGATAATGTAAAATGGTGCAGTTGCCATGATAAACAGTATGAAGTTTCCTCAAAAGATTAAAAATAGAACTATCATGTGATCCAGCAGTCCAACTTTTGAGTACTTATCCAAAAGAATTGAAAAAAATTGAAAGAATTGAAATAGGCTCTATAAGAGATATTGTACTCCCATAATACATTGCAGCATTATTCACAAAAGTCAAAATGTGGAAACAACCTAAATGTCCATCAACAGAGGAGTAGATTTTTAAAGTGTTATAAACACAGAATGAAATATTATTCACCTTAACAAAGAAGGAAATTCTGCCATATATAGCAACATAGATGAGCCTTAAGAACATTACGCTAAGTGAAGTAAGCCAGCCACAAAAACACTAATAGTACATTTGTGTACTTTTAGGAAGTATCTAAATTAGTCAAACTCATACAAGCAGGAAGTATAATAGTGGTTGCCAAGGGCTGAGGGGAGGAAGAAATAAGGAGTTGCTGTTCAACGGCATAAGATTTCAGTTACTCAAGATTAATAAATTCCAGAGATATGTTGTATAACATTATGTCAATAGTTAGCAATACTGCATTATACACTTTAAAAATGTTGTCAAGAGAGTGGATCTCATGTTAAGTCTTCTTACCACAATAAAAAAAAATTAACTCCAATATGTCATAAGCCTAAATGTTAGCACTAACTAAAGCAATAACACTCTTAAAAGAATACATAAGAGTAAATCTTCGGGCCTGTAATCCCAGCACTTTGGGAGGCTGTGGTGGGCGGATCACAAGGTCAGGAGTTTGAGACCAGCCTGGCCAATATGGTGAAGGCCCGTCTCTATTAAAAATACAAAAAATTAGCGGGGCATGGTGGCAGGCGCCTGTAGTCCCAGCTACTCGAGAGGCTGGAGTAGGAGGATCACTTGAACCCTGGAGGCCGAGGTTGCAGTGAGCCAAGATCGTGCCACCACACTTCAGCCTGGGTGACAGAGTGAGACTCCATCTCAAAAAAAAAGAGTAAATCTTCATGACCAGGGGTTAGGCAAGGCTTTCTTAGATACAACACCAAAAGCACAATTGAAAAAAGAAGAAAAAGATAAACTTGGCTTCATCAAAATCAAAGACTTTTCTGCTCCAAAAGGCATTATTTGAAAAATAAAAATAAAAATACACCTTCAGAATGGGAGGAAATATTTGCAAATAATATATCTGATAAGATACTTTTATCTAGAACATATAAAAGAAACACAACTCAATAATGAAAACATAAATAACCCAATTTAAAAATGGGCAAAATATCTAAATAGACATTTCTCCAAAGAAGATATACAAATGACAAATAATCACATGAAAATATAAATGCAAGTCAAAACCACAGTAAGACAGCACTTTACACGCACTAGGGTGGCTATAACCCAAATGATGGAAAGGGAAAGTGTTGAGGAAAGTGTGAAGAATTTGGAACCCAGATGGTGGCAGTGTAAAATGGTGCAACCACTTAGGAAAATAATCTGACAGTTACTCAAAATGTCAAACACAGAGTTACCATTTGACCCAATAACTTCACTCCTAAGTATATACTCAAGAGAAATGAAAACATACCCACTCAGATGCTCATAGCAACATTGCTCATAGTAGTCAACAAGTGGAAACAACCCAAGTACATAGTGTTAAGTGTTCTTACCACAATAAAAAAATTAACTCCAATATATCATAAGCTAAATGTTAGCACTAATTAAAGCTATAACAAGTATTCATCAACTGGAGAATAGATAAGTAAAATGTGGTATATCCCTTCAATGGAATACCATTCAGCAATTAAAAATAGGAAGTACTGAGAGATGCCACAACATGGGTGAACCTTGGAAACAATATGCTAAGTGAAAGAAGCGAGTCACAAAGAACCACATAAGGCATATTTATATAAAATGTCTAGAAGAGGCAAATCTATAGAAACAAAGAGTAGATTCGTGGTTGCCTAGAGCCGGGGAGATTGAAGGTAAGAGAGGACTGACTGTGTACAGGGTCTTGCGAGGGTGATGAAAATGTTCCAAAATTGATTGTGATGGTCACA
The DNA here is from genome assembly GCF_000001405.40 of Homo sapiens. Classification (NCBI taxonomy): domain Eukaryota; kingdom Metazoa; phylum Chordata; class Mammalia; order Primates; family Hominidae; genus Homo; species Homo sapiens. Next base: position 109,913,334 of record NC_000011.10, read on the forward strand.
CCACCCCGTGAATATACTAAAAGCCACTGAATTGTACACTTGAAATAAATGGATTGTATAGTATATAAATTGATTTATAGTATATAGTATATAAATATCTCAATAAAGGTGTTAGATAAGTTACGGAGGTTGTCATTCTCAAGACCATGCAGTGTAGGCTCAGCAGAGGTCACTTGCTCAACCCCAACATTGAGCACTTCCTTAAATTTTCTGCCCTTAGATGCCTTGCTAGCCCCTCGCTCTAGTCTTGGCCCTGGCCGTGTGAATTCATGAGGCATTACATGAAAGGTACTTAACATATACACCTACTATGTACCCACAGAATAAAAAGTAAAAAGGTACTTAACATGACCACATACCAAGTGCTTAGTAAGTGTTTGTGGTTATGATTATTAAACATCAAGAACGTGCCAGTCTTGGGACATATAAATAATAGCTAAAGTGTACTGAGTACATGAACCAGGCCTTATTCTAAACACTTTCTATGAAGATTAGATAATTGCCCAAATACATCCACTAGTAAGTAGAGCAGCCTTTAAAAAATGTACAGGGAGCCTGGCTCCAGTGCCACTGTATTAAACTGCATCATTAGTGAGAGTGTAAAGATGGTCAGGATACATTCATTTTAATTAGTAATTCATTATGAACCATAAAGATGTTCATCAAGACTATAACAGCGTAGCAGTAAAGATGAGAAATCCCATTGGTTTACAGAGAATTGTAAGTTCATCTGAGGATGGGCAAGACTTCAGAAAGGGTTCATTCCCTTACCACCACTACCTGCAAGTTTCAGGATGGAAAGGAGCTTGCTGGGATGAAGAAGCGAAGAGAGAGCATTCCGAGTAGGCAGAGTAAAAATGAGTAAGAGCGAGTGCTGAAACCAGTCTAGCAGGTTCAGGAAATGGAATTCTGCTGTGGAGCCTGTAGAGTGGCACAATGCTGGCGCTTAGAGTTACCTAACAGAGCTCAGTGTGAAGGGTTTTCTACACCATACTGGAGTCAGAGCTTTGTTCAAAAATGAAGAGGAAGCCAGCAGAGGTCCTAAAGCAAGAGTAAAGCACACAGATAGGAGGTGGGGAGATCTTTCACAAAGAAATTAGATTTGACAACAAACGATAGACAACTATCTCTTAGACAAGCTGTCTCTTGATACGCCATAGTAATTTACTGACTTTAAAGCTCCCTTACTGAAGAACTTGAAAAATATTGAGCTTTCCCTTTGGATATTCATGACAACTGCTTTCATAATTTCTTTTATGTGGTTAATGCAATGTTTTCTATTTATAAATGTACTATAAACTCAATGAGATAAAAAATTATCCTTTCATATGCCACTGGTTAAGCATTCCATTTCAATCCCCCATTCCTTAGCCCAGATCTTAGTTTCAAGCATCATTTAAACAAAATTAGTTCAGGGTCAACAAAACAGTAGTTTTTAAATTTATCTCAAACATTATGTAGCTGACTAAACAAGCTTTCTTGAGAGTGCTTTAGGGTGAGACCCTTGTTTATCTGTTTGAAATTTCTGACCCACATGCTTGGCTGCAGATCAGCCAGGAAAGGAAAAATGATTTCTATCAAACTCACTTCTAAACAACAGCTCAATTCCCAGGATGTGAAAACACCATCTCTTACTTGCATCTGACCTTCTACCACCAGTTTCCTTTTGTCAACAATAGACTCTGCTAGTTCTGACACTGTTCCCTCACTCTGGGCAGCTGGTGCAGAGGTTAAGCACAGAACTGGACTGTTTGTATCAAGGAAATTCGTGGAGCTTGTTCTCCTGCCGCTATAGCAGCTGGTATTGCCTGGTCTAATGTCCCTTCTTTGATTTCATTGTTAAGCCCTCAGGCTCTTTACTTGAAATTTGTAACAGGGCTGCTTCTTACAAGCTACCTGAGATACAGAAGGGAGCTATGCAAGAGACAGTGATTTATTTCACTCTTTTTCATAACGGTTCTTTTTCCATCACTAAAGGATCTGAAATACTCTTTGGAGCATGAAGTATGATACAGTTTATGGATTCATAGATCATTGGGTTTAAAGAATACCTAGAGTTTTCTGTATGGCATTCGTTCTGTGACAAGTTTGGCCTGAAACTAATAGTCTAGTCATTGTTGCAACACTTCCATTGATGAGTCACTCTCAAGGTGGCTTGTTCTATTTTGGGATGGATATAATTTTTCAAAAATATTTCTCACTCCATTGGTTGGAATTGTTTGTCCTTCCATAGACTGACTGTAAAATATCAAAAGATTATATTATCTCTCTGTTTTTTTCTTTTCCAGGCTACACTAGGGTCATGGTCGAATCCATATTTTCTGTAGATTACTGTTTCCTTATCTTTAAAGTACTGACATTTTGCATCTTAGTAAAGCATCGGTTTTCTAACCTAAGAAAAAATGGAAGTGATAACATTAATACCTTCTATATTGTGTTATGAGGGCCAAATAAAATAATAAAGATGCAGTTACTATAAAAATATAGCATTCTCCAATGTCCTATATATGGTATCAGTATTATTAGAAATATAAATACCCCTGTAAAATCTCAGCTCAGATAATATTTTACTTAGAGCAAATTACTCAGTAGTTATCCAAAAGAAACTGAGCTCAACAATCTAGTCTTAACATGAGGAAAGAAGCAAAACTGTCCCTCAATCACTTCGATTAAGGCAAGAAATATTTTAATGAGTCCTTAGTTTGTGCTAGGCACTGTTCTAGAAATTAAGGATGCCAAAATAAGCAAAGTAGATAAAGTCATCCCTAAAGGAATTTATTTATTTATTTGAGATGGAGTCTTGCTCTGTTGCCCAGGCTGGAGTGCAGTGGTGCAATCTTGACTCACTGTAACCTCCACCTTTGGGGTTCGAGTGATTCTCGTGCCTCAGCCTCCCAAGTGGCTGGGACTTAGAGGCATGTGCCACCACACCCGGCAAATTTTTGTATTTTTAGTAGAGATGGAGGTTCACCATGTTGGTCAGGTTGATCTCAAACTCCTGACATCAGGTGATTCACCCACCTCAGTCTCTCAAAGTGCTGGGATTATGTGGCGTGAGCCACCATGCCCAGTGGAATTTATATTTTAATGTGGGGCCTGGTAACATATAAGTAAACATATTTGATGTTGTTAAATGCTATGGGGAAAAATGAAGCAGGTTAAAGAGTGTAAACGAGGAGATACTATTTTGTATACATTGAATAGGGAAGACCTCATTAATAAGGTGACATTCGAGGTGAAACCTGAAATAAATGAGATAGTCAGCTGTGTGGATACCCGGGGAAGGCATTTTCAGAAAGAGGAGATCGATAGTGCGTGCAAAGCTCCTGAGAGCAGGAAAAGTGGCTGCGGCACAGCAAATGAGTGGGGAAGTAGTAGGTGATCTAGGACCCTGGTGAGGACTCTGAGCTTCCTTCCAAGTGAGACAAGAAGTCACTGGAGGGCTTTGAGGACAGGAGTGATGTGACCTGATTTAGGTTTTAAGAGGATCACTATCCTACTCTGTGATACATAGACATCAGGGAAACCAGTTACAAAGTATTCCAATAATCTATCCAACAGATCATGTTAAACTGAACCAGGATAGTATGAGTATATATGGCTAAAATGCTCAAATTTATGGTATATTTTGAAGGTAGAGCCATTAGGATTTGCTGATGGATTGGAAATGGGATGTGAGAGAAAGGAAGGAGTTGAAGATACTCCAGGGTTTTTGCCCTGCACAATGGGTGGGTTAGAAATTACAGAGCATTTGGAATTCCACACCGAAAGGAAAGGGAGAAAAAGTTCAAAATGTAAACCATGGTTAAATTGTGAAAGACTTTGTACTTCATGCTAAAGAACTTGGAATTTGTCCTGCAGGCAGTAGGTTTTATGCATACAAAGTGATGTGACAAGTTTGTATTTCTTAAAAGTAACTCTAGAGGGACATGCAGGATGGAATAAAATGGGGTAAGACTAGACGATGATAGATTAGGACAATATTGTAATAGTCCAGGTGAGACATAGCACCACCAGGTAGCAGAATGATCTTAGTGTCTGCTGGCCTAAAAGCAAGGTTACTATAGACTCACTGGGGAAAGGAGATAAATGATCTTAAGAACCAAGTGATGATCCAAGTGATGGCAAGCAGATTCCAGTGTGTCCCGCTTTATCACTTGATCAATGCATCCCTTGCCTGGACAGTTCTGGAGATATATTGATCAGCCCATTTCAAAACATTCACATTTCTCCAGGAAATGTTCATTGAGTGCTTCCACCAGTTAGGTAACAGGCCAATACTTGACCTAGACTCTATGGTTTAAAAAGAAAATAGATGGGATTGGGAATCAAAATACCTGAATTATTCAAACCCCGCTACTGCAGAATAAACAAACCTCATTGAAATATTTATTGGTTACCATACATATGCATTATTATCCTCACATCCATGTTTCTATTCAGTGATCATTCTCAGGCATATGGTATATGTCAGGATTGAACACACTTTGAATTGAACCTTTTGTTTAAGAGTGATGAGGTGGTAAATTGTTTTCATGTTGCAGCTCAGTCAGAAATATTTTTTACTGGCCTTTTGCTGAACAAGGAAAATATCCACTAATCATGCAGGTAAGCCTTAGCATTTTGTCAGTTTTCTTGTATGCACAGGTAAAGTCAATGATGAGTATTTTCAAGCAGCAAGAATTCTTGTTTACAGTTTATATGTACTGAGTGAACTTATCTCTTCTTTCCTACCTAAGTCTAGGCCAAAAAACGCTTCAATTTTTTTTAATTGGATGTTAGCCTGTTGCTTTAAAAAAAATAAACTTTACTTTTAGAGCAGTTTTCGGTTCACAGCAAACTTGAGCAAACTACACAGAGATATCCCATATACTCCCCCCACATACACATAACATCCCTCATGATCAAAATTCCCCACCACGGTTGTACATTTGTTATAATTGGTGAACCTACACATTATTATCACCCAAAGTCCATAGTTCACATTACGGTTCACACTAGGTGTTGTACATTCTATGGGTGTAAATGAATTTATAAGGACGTGCATCAATCACTGTAGTATCATACAGAGCAGTCTCACCTCCCTAAAAGTCCTCTGTGCTTTGCCTATACATCCTTCTCTCCCTCTTTTCCTCATCTTTTATTGTCTCTATAGTTTTGCCTTTTCCAGAATGTTATATATTTGGAATCATATAGTATGTAGCCTGTGCAGATTGGCTTCTTTCACTTAGTAATATGCATTTACATTTCCTCCATGGCTTTTCATGGCTTTATAGCTCCTATCTTTTCATGCTGAATAATACTCCATTATCTGGATGTACCATAGTTTATTTGTCTACTGAAGGACATCTTGGTTACTTCCAGCTTTTGACAATTATGAATAAAGCTGTTATAAACACTAGTCTTCAGGTTTTGGTGTAGAAATGTTTACAGTTTATTTGGGTAAGCATTAAGGAGTGTGATTGCTGGATAATACAGTAAGAGTATGTTTAGCTTTGTAAGAAGCTGCCAAACTGTCTTTCAGAGTGCCTGTACTATTTTGCATTCTGCTCCAAAATGAATGAGCACTCTTATTGCTCCACATCCTCACCGACCAGCATTGATGTTGTTGGTGTTTCAAATTTTGGCCATTCTACTAGGTGTGTAGTGGTATCTCAGTGTTGTTTCATTTGCAATTTCCTAATGACGTATGATGTTGATTTTTTTTGTATGCTTCTCTGCCATCTGTATACCTTCTTTGGTGAAGTGTGTGTTTAGAACTTTTGTAATTTATGAATCAGGTTGTTCATTTTCTTTTTGTTAAGTCTTAAGAGTTCTAAGTACATTTTAGATACCCTCTATCAAATAAGCCTTTTGCAAATATTTTCTCCTAGTCTGTGGCTTGTTTCTTATTCTCTTGTCTCTTATTCTTTTTTGGTCTTTCATAGAACTAGAATTTTTGGTTTTAATGAAATCCCACTTATCAATAATTACTCTCCTGAATGGTGTCTTTGGTGTTGTGACCAAAAAGTCATCACCATACCCAAGTGTCTTAGTTCATTCAGGTTACCGTAACAAAATACCATAAACTAATTGGCTAACAAACAATAGAAATTTATTTCTTAGAGTTCTGGGGATCCCTTGATCTTGAAAATCAATGGGCCAGCCATCCAGTGTCTGGATAGGGCCCACTTCCAGACTCCCAAATGGTGCTTTCTTGCTTTGTTCTCACATAGCAAAAGGAATGAGACAGGTCTCTGGGACTTCTTTTTTAAGGGTGCTAATCTCATTTGTGAGGACCCTGCCCCCATCACTGAATCACTTCCCAAAGGTCCCACCTCCTAATACCATCATGTCAGTTACTAGGTTTCAACATATAAATTTTGGAGGGCACAAACACTCAGACCATAGCACCAAGGTCACATAGATTTTCTCCTATGTTACCTTTTAGAAGTTTCATTGTTTCCATTTTAATTTAGGTATATAATTTATTTTGATTTAATTATTGTGAAGAGTGTAAAGTCTGTATCTAGATTAGTAATTTGGGTTTTTTGTTGGTTTGTTTGTTTTGCATGCAGATATCCAGATGTTACAGCATCTTTTTTTGAAAAGACTATCTTTGCTACATTGTATTGCCTTTGCTTTTTTGTCAAAGGTCAAAGATTATTTATGTGGGTATATTTTTGTGCTCTCTATTATGTTCCATTGATCTATTTATCTGTTCTTTTACCAATATCACACTGTCTTGATGAGTGTAGCTTTATAAGAGGTCTTGGAGTTGGATAGTGTCAGTCTTCCACCTTCTTCTCCTTTAATTTTGGGCTATTATTGGTCCTTTGGCTCTCTATATAAACTTAAGAATCAGTTTGTCAATATCCACAAAATAACTTACTGGGATTTTTATTGAGATTTCATTAAATCTGTAGATAAAGGTGGGAAGAACTAGCATCTTGTCAATATTGAGTCTTCCTATTCACAAATACAGTATGTCTCCATTTTTTTGTTCTTGTTAGGTTTCTTTCATCAGAGTTTTGTCATTTTCCTCACATAGATCTTGTGCATATTTTGTCAGATTTAAATCTAATGATTTCATTATTTAGGGAGTTAAAATAAGTGGCACTGTATTTTAAATTTCAAATTCTACTTGTTCATTGTTGCTATATCAGGAAGTGATTGACTTTTGTATGTTAACTTTGTATACTGCAACCTTGCTCTAGCTGCTTATTACTTCCAGAAGGTTTTTTTTAATTTTTTCCAATCTTCTACATAGATGACCACATTATCGTGAACAAAGGCAGTTTTATTTTTTTCCTTCCCAATTAGAACACCTTTTATTTTATGTTATTGTCTTATTCCATTAATTAGTATCTCCAGGACAATGTTAAAAAGGAGTGGTGAGAAGAGACACCCTTGTCTTGCTCCTGATCTTAACAGAAAAGCTTCCAGTTTCTCTCCACTAAGTATGACGTTAGCTGTAAACATTTTATAGATGGCCTTTATTAAGTTGAGGAAGTTTCCTTCTATTCCTAGTTTGCTGAGAGTTTTTATTATAAATGGATATTGTATCATAAATGGGTGATATAATCATGTATTTTTTTTCTTTGGCTTATTCCTGTGATGGATTACATTAATAGATCTGCCAAAGTTGAACCAGCTCTGCATACCTGGAGTAAACCCAACTGGTTGTGGTGTACAATTTTTTTTTAACCTTGTTGGATTTGACTTGCTAATATTTCATTGAGGATTTTTTTATCTATGTTCATGAGAGATATTGGTCTGTAGTTTTCTTTCTTGCAATGTTTTTCTGACTTTGGTATTAGGGTAATGCTGGCTTCATAGAATAAGTTAAGAAGTATTCCCTCTGCTCCTTCTAGAAGAGATTTCAGAAAAACGACATGATATCTTGCTTAAATGTTTGATAGAATTCACCAGTGAACCCATAGGGACATGAAGCTTTCTGTTTTGGAAGGTTGTTAATTATTGATCCAGTTTCTTTAATAAAAATATAGGCCTATTCCTGTCATATAGTTCTTCTTGTGCAAGTTTGGCAGATTGTATTGTTCAAGAAATTGGGTCTGTCTCATCTAGATTATCATATTATGGGGTTATAGTTGTTTGTAATATTCCTTTACTATCTTTTTAATATGTGTGGGATCTGTATTGGTGTCCCTTCTATTATTTCTGACATTAGTAATTTGCGTCTTCTTTCCTTTTTGCTTAGTAAGCCTGGCTAGAGGCTTATCAATTTTATTGATCTTTTCAAAGAAACAGCTTTTGGGTTGGTTGATTTTCTCTATTAATTTTCTGTTTGCAATTTCATTGATTTCTACTATAATTTTTCTTATTTCTTTTATTCTGCTCACTTTGGATTTAATTTGCTCTTCTTTTTCTACTTTCCTAAGGTGGAAGCTCAGATGATTGATTTTACATCTTTCTTTTCTAATACATGCATACAACGCTATAACTCTCCCTCTGAGCACTGCTTTCGCTGTACTTCACAAATTTTGGTAAGATATGTTTTCATTTGTAGTTAGTTCAAAGTATTTTTTAAATTCTTTTGAGATTTCTTCTTTGACCTATGTGTTATTCAGAAGTGTGTTGTATAATCTCCAAGTATTTGGGGATTTTTTATCTTTCTGTTATTGATTTCTAGTTTAATTCCACCATGGTTTGAGAGAAGACATTTTATAATTTCTATTGTTTTAAGTTATATTTTATGATCCAGAATGTATTCTATCTTGTTGGTTGTTCCATATGAGCTTGGAAAAATGTATATTCTGCTGTTTTTGGATGAAATAGTCAATAGCTGTCAATTTTGTCCAGTTGATTGACGGTGTTGTTGAGTTTAACTGTGCCATTACTGATTTTCTGCATGTTGGATCTGTTCATTTCTAATAGAGGGGTGTTGAACTCTCCAACTATAATCATGGATTTATCGATTACTCCTTGCAGTTCTATCAGTTTTTGCCTTATGTATTTTAATGTTCTGTTGTTAGGCACATACACATTAAGAATTGTTATGTCTTAATGAAGTTTTGACCTCTTTATAATTATGTGATGTCCCTTTTAATTCCTGATAATATTTCTTAATCTGAAGACTGCTTTGTCTGAAGTTAACACAGCTACATCAGCTTTCTTTTGGTTAGTGTCAGCAAGGCATATCTTTCTTCATCTCCTTACTTTTTTTTTTTTTTTTTTTTTTTGAGACAGAGTCTCACTCTGTTGCCCAGGCTGGAGTGCAATGGAGAGCAATGTTGGCTCACTGCAACCTCTGCCTCCCAGGTTCAAGGGATTCTCCTGCCTCAGCCTCCTGAGTAGCTGGGATTAGAGTTGCTCACCACCACACCCAGCTAATGTTTGTATTTTTACTAGGTATGGGGCTTCACTCCATGTTGGCCAGGCTGTTCTAGAACTCCTGGCCTTAAGTGATCTTCCCACATTGGCCTTTCAAAGTGCTGGGATCACAGACATGAGCCACCATGCCCAGCCTCTTCATCTCTTTAATCTATAATATGCCTTTATATTAAAGTGGGGGTTTTGTATCCAACATGTAATTGGGTTTTGCTTGTTGATCCATCTTGACAATCTCTTTCTTTTAATTTGTCTGTTGAGACCATTCACATTCAAATTTATTGTTGATAGATACAGAGAAAGATGGTGGAAAAGGATTTTCCAGCAATTATCCCCCTGCAGAAATTTCAATTGGAACAACTATCCAAGCATAAAAATGCCTTCACAAGAGAGAAAAAACAAACAAAGAAATGGGAGATGACAGAACCTGGTTGTAGCAAAATAATAAGAAAAGATGTATTGAAGAAGGCAAATGGGACACTTACACATTATCTCCATCACCCCCGCCTAACCCCAGGCAATACAGCATAGAGAGAGAGAAAGAGAGAGACACTGTCCACTGGGTAAAAGAGAGGGCAGTGAGCACAAGACTGCCTTGAACCCCAACGCTGGGCCTATTGTAGTAAAACTCAGCACCAGGCAGACCCCCACAGTTTCATATTTCAAACCAGTACCCATGGATTGAGCCTAAAGACTCACTAAAATGCCAGGCTGAACTACATAGACATAAGCTTCAAGCTTATGACAAACTCTAACCCCAGACCACACAACAGCCGGCCAACATCAGTGGCCCTGGGCTCCAGACAGCCCTCAGCATCAGGTAGGCTTCAGTGGTCCCTAGGCTTCAGGCACATTCCATTGCCATGCTGGCCGTATCTAACCCAGGCTTCTGGCCTGCCCAAGTGCCACACCTGCCAAACAGGCCCTAGGCTTCTGGCAGCACTGTGCCAGCTGCAGCTACCTTGAACTTCTAGTGTGCCCCAGCACCATACCTGCTACAGGGCCTTCCTAGACAAAACCAGTCTGTAAAAATTGGAATAAGGACCTAGTCTTTCAAATACTCAGACATCAACACTCAACCACAGAATCAAGAACAATCAGGAAAACATAGCATCACTAAATGGACAAAATAAGAAGACAGTGGCTTTTTATTGAAATTGAGATATATGAACTACCAGACAAAGCCATTCAAAACATTCCATCCAACAGCTATAGAATACATTCCTCTCCACTGGATATGGAACATCCTCCAGGTTTGATCATATGTTAGGCTACAAAACTATTCTTGACAAATTTAAGAAGATGAAATCATATCAAGTATCTTTTCTAACCATAACCGTATAAAACTAGAAATCAATAAGAGGAGCAATTTCTGAAAACTCACAAATATGTGGAAATTAAACAACATACTCCTGAACAATTTTAATGAAAAAATGTTAAAGAAATTTTAAAATTGTGGGGACAAATGAAAATGGAAACACAACATATCAAAACCTGTGGGATACGGCAAAGCAGTTCTAAGAGAAAGTTTATAGCAACAAATAAATACGTAAGAAGAAAAATCTCAAATACACTACCATTGCACCTCAAGGAACTAAGAAAAACAAGAACAAACTAAGCTCAAAGTTAATGGAAGGAAAAGGCCGGGTGTGGTGGCTCATGGCTGTAATCCCAGCACTTTGGGAGGCTGAGGCAGGCAGATAACTTGAGACCGGGAGTCAAGACCAGCCTGGCCAACATGGCAAAACCCCATCTCTACCAAGAAATACAAAAATTAGCTGGGCATGGTGGCACGTGCCTGTAGTCCCAGCTACTTGGGAGGCTGTGGCATGAGAATCACTTGAACCCAGGAGGTGGAGGTTGCAGTGAGCTGAGATCATGCCCCTGCACTCCATCCTGGGTGATAAAGCAAGACTCTGTCTCAAAAAAAAAAAAAAAAATGCACACATACACGGAATAAAATAACAAAAATCAAAGCAGAAATCAATGAAACAACTAGAAAAATGAGAAAAGATCAACAAAACTAGGAGTTTCTTTTTTGAAAAGATAAACAAAATCAACAAACCTTTAGATAGAATAAGAAAAGAGAGAAGACTCAAGTAAAATCAGAAATGAAAAAAGAGATATTACATACTGCATTATGGAGAAATAAAAAATCTGAACAGACCAATAATAAATAAGGAGATGTAATCAGTAGTAAAGAGTCTCCCATCAAAATTGTGGATTTATTTCTATGCTCTCTATTCTGTTTTTTTTGGTTCATGTGTCTTGTTTTTATGCCAGTACCAAACTGTTCTGATTACTATAGCTTTGTAGTATATTTTGAAGTCAGATAGAGTGATGTGTCCAGATTTATTCTTTTTGCTCAGGATTGCTTTGGCAATCGGGGTCTTTTGTGGTTTCATACAAATTTTAGGATTATTTATTTCTGTGACAAATGTTATTGGCATTTTGATAGGGATTTCATTGAATCTGTAGATTACTTAGGGTAATATGGACATTTTAACAATATTAATTCTTCCCATCCATGGACACAGGATATCTTTCCATTTATTTGTGCCTTCTTCAATTTCTTTCACCAATGTTTTACAGTTTTCAGTGTAAAGATCTTTTACTTCTTAAATCTGTTCCTAAGTATTTTATTTTTTGGAGCTATTGTAAATGGAGTTGTTTTCTTGATTTCTTTTTCAGATAGTTCACTAGTAATGTATAGAAGTGCTACTAATTGTTTTGTATATTGATTTTGTATCCTAAAAAGCTCAGGACCTGATGGCTTCATTGCTGAATTCTATCAAATTTTTTTTTAAAAAACCTAATACCAATTCTTCTCAAACCATTTCAAACAATTAAAGAAATACTTCCAAACTTATTTTAAGAGGCCAGCCCCACCCTGATACCAAAGCCAAAGACACTACACAAAAGAAAACTATAGATCAATATCCCTGATTAACATAGATGCAAACATCCTTAACAAAATACTAGCAAACTGAATTTGACAGTACATTTTAAAAAATCATTCACCCTGATCAAGTTGGATTCATCCCAAAAATGCAAAAATGAGTCAACAGACATAAATCACATTGACAGAACCAATGAAAAAAAACATATAATCATTCCAAGGGATGCAGAAACAGCAGTTCACAAAATTTAATACCTTTTCATAATAAAATCTCTCAACAAATTAGGTATAAAAGGAATGTACCTCAATACAACAAAGGTCATACATGACAAACCCACAACTTACATCATACTCAGTGAGGAAAAGTTGAAATCTTTTTATTTAAGATCCAGAACAAGACAAGGATGCCCACTCTTACCACTTCTATTTCATATAGTACTGGAGCTCCAAGCCAGAGCAATTCGTAATAGTGAATAAATCTCATGAGATCTGATGGTTTTATAAAGGGGAGTTCCTCTGTATGTGCTCTCTCTTGCCTGCCACCCTGTAAGACAGGCCTTTGCTTCTCCTTTGCCTTCCACCATGATTGTGAGGCCTCCCCAGCCATGTGGAACAGTGAGTCCATTAAACTTCCTTTCTTTTTAAATTATCCAGTCTCAAGTATGTCTTTATTAGCAGTGTGAGAACAGACAAATACATTACCCAAAGCAATCTACACATTCACTGAAATCCCTATAAAAATGCCAAAGACATTTGTCACAGAAATAGATAAAAACAATGCTCAAATTTGTACGAAACCACAAAAGACCCTGAGTAGCCAAAGTAATCCTGAGCAAAAAGAATAAATCTGGACACATCACTCTACCTGAATTCAAAATATACTACAAAGCTATAGTAATCAAAATAATATGGTACTGGCATAAAACTGGATACATGGACAAAAAAAAAAAACAGAAAAGAGGTCCCAGAAATAAATTCAAATACTTACAGTCAATTGATTTTTGACAAAGGCACTAAGAACACACATAGGGCAAAAACAGTCTCTTCAATAAACAGTGCGCAGAAAACTGAATATCCACAGGTAGAAGAGTAAAACTGGACCCTTATCTCACACTACATACAAAAATCAACTCAAAATGGATTAAAGACATAAATCTAAAACCCAAAACTATGAAACTACTAGAAAAAGACATAGGAGGAAATCATCATGACATGAATCTAAGCAATTACTTTTTGGATATGACCCCAAAAGCATAAGCAATAAAAGCAAAAATAGACAAATGGAATTATAAAAACTAAAAATCTTCAAAGCAAAGCAATCAATAGAGTGAAGAGACAACTTACAGAATGGGAGAAAATATTTGCCAACTATATATCTGATTAAAAAATTAATATGCAAATTATAAAAGGAACTCAAACAACTCAATAGTGAAAAAAAAAAACTCAATTTAAAAATGGCAAAGGATCTGAATAGACATCCCTCCAAAGAAGATACAAATTGCCAAAAGGTATGCGAAAAAACGCTTGTCACTAAGCATCAGGGAAATGCAAGTCAAAACCACAAAGAGATCTTCTCACCCCACCTAAAACAGCTGTGATTAAAATGACAAGAGATAACAAGTGTTAGCAAGAGCAGAGAAAATGCAATCCTAGGACACTGTTGGTAGAAATGTAAATTAGTAAAGCCATAATGGAAAATAGTATGAAGTTTCCTCAAAAAATTAAAAATAGAACTTCCATATGATCCAGCAATTCTACTATCGGTAGGCATACAAATAAAATGAAATCAATATGTTGAAGAGATATCTTCACTCCCATGTTTATTGCAGCATTATTCACAATAGCTAAGATATGGAGTCAACCTAAGTACCTATCAATGGATGAATAAAGAAAATGTGGTATATATGCACAATAGAATACTGTTTAGCCTAAAAATAAGAAAACTCTGTCATTTGTGACAACATGGATGAACCTGGAGGACATTATGTTAAGTGAGATAAGCCAGGTGTAGAAAAACTAATACCACATGATCTCACTCATATATGGAATCTGAAAAAGTTGATCGTATAGAAGTGATAATGGTGGTTATCAGGGACTGGGATGGATGTGGGATGGAGGAGTTTGAAAGATGTTGGCTAAAAGATAAAAAAATTCAGCTAGATAGGAACAATAAATTCAGGAGATCTAATATACAACATGGTGACTACAGTTAATAATATATTATGTTCTTGAAAAATGCTATGAGAATGCTGTAACCTGTTCTCACCACAAAAGTGATAATTATGTGGGGTAACACATAGCCTAATCAGCTAGATTTAGTGATTCCACAATGTACATATCAAAATATCATGTTGTACCTAATAATACATGCAATTATATCTGTTCATTTTTAAAGATAAAAATGGAATTGACTGTTGATAGAATTGAATTAGTATCTTTTTGAAAGTTTTAACTGTTAAATGTAAGGACTACAAAGTGCAATTTTGTTACATGATATATTGTGTAGTGGCCAAGTCTGAATTTTTAATGTACCCATTACCCAAATAATGCATACTGCACCCATTATGTAATTTCTCATTGTCCACCTCCCTCCTACTCTGAAACCCTTCTACATCTCCAGTGTCCATTATTCCACTGTATTTGTTACTCTGTCCTATTTGTTGCCTTTGCCCTTTTTTCTGTTGATAAATAAATAAAATGTTTTATATTCATCAATGGAATATTATTTTGTAACAAAAAGAAACAAAATTCTGTTACATGCTGTAATATGAATGAACCTTAAAAACATGTTATATGAAAGAATTCATTCACGAAAGACCACATGAGGTATCATCTCTGCTATGGTTTGGATATTTGCCCCCTCCAAATCTCATGTTGAAATTTGATCTCCAGTGTTGGAGTTGGGGCTTAATGGAAGGTGTTTGAATCACAGAGGCAGATCCTTCAAGAAGGGTTAGGTGCCATCCTTATGGTAATGAGTGAGTTTTCACTCTATTAGTCCTGTGAGAGCTGAGTGTTCAAAAGAGTCCAGCACATCCCTCTCTCTCTTTCTTCCTCTCCCTCCATGTGATCTCTGCACATGCTGGCTCCCCTTCCGTTTTGCCATGATTGGAAGCAGCCTCAGGCCCTCACTGGATGCAGATGCTGGTGCCATGTTTCTTGTACAGCCTGCAGAACTATGAACCAAATATATTTTTTTCTTTATAAATTACCCAGCCTCAGATATTCCTTTGTAGCAACACAAATGGACTAAGATAATCTCATTTATATGAAATGTTCTAAATAGGTAAATCTATAAAGACATAAAGTACATTAGTAGTTGCCTCACATTAAGCAGGGGGCAGAAATGGGAAATTACTATTAATGGATAAAGGTTTTTGAGGGGGGAGGTGACTAAAATGTTCTAAAATTGATCACAGTAATACCTGCAAAACACAATGAATATACTTTAAAGAGCATTGACTTGTACACTCTAAATGAATGAATTGTATGGTATGCGGGTAATAGATCTATAAATCTCTTCTTTCAAAAGAAGAAAAAACATTTTACATCACAACTCAGCTCTCTTTCCATCTTTCTCTCTCTCTCTCTCTCACACACACACACACACACACAAAATATTCAAAGTTTTACAAAATAGCACTTACCCTTTATAGCCCTCTATTATTTTGTATTCTATTTTATTCTAGTTCGTTAAAAAAATTTCTTGATCTATGTTCTGGTTACATAGTGCTGCATAACAAAACTTAGAGCTTAAAAACAACATGTTAATATTATTTCAAGAGTTTCTGTGGGTCGAATGGCCCCACTGGGTGGTTCTTGCTTGGAGTTTTTCACGCACTTGTAGTCAGAAGGCTGAGGCTGCAGACTTCTGAAGATTCATTTGTGTTGGATATCCTAGAGGACTCATATGGTTGGCAATAGATGCTGGCTGGCAGCTGGGAGCTCAGAT
This sequence comes from Homo sapiens, assembly GCF_000001405.40. Lineage (NCBI taxonomy): Eukaryota > Metazoa > Chordata > Mammalia > Primates > Hominidae > Homo > Homo sapiens. The sequence continues at coordinate 109,929,515 of NC_000011.10, forward strand.
CTGGTTGTTGACTAAGCAGCTATACTTGGCTTCTCCATGTGGTCTGGGTTCTCACAGCTTGGCATCTGGGTTCCCACAGAGAGTGTCCCAAGAATGAGCTTTGCAAGACACCTGAGCGGAACCTGCAAGCTTCCTTATGACCTGGCCTCCAAAGTCCCAGAATGACACTTCTGATGCCTTCTATTGGCCAAACCGATTACTAAGGCCAACCCAGATTCAAGAGGTAACACGGACTCCTTTTTCTTAATAATGAGAGTCAGAGAATGTGTGATCATATTTAATTTTTTTTTTTTTTTTTGAGATGGAGTCTCCCTCTGTCACACAGGCTGGAGTACAGTGGTGGGATCTCGGCTCACTGCAACCTCTCCTTCCTGGGTTCAAGCGATTCTCCTGCCTCAGCCTCCCAAAGTAGCTGAGATTACAGGCACTTGCCACCACACCCAGCTAACGTTTGTATTTTTAGTAGAGATGGGGTTTCACCATGTTGGCCAGGCTGGTCTCGAATTCCTGGCCTCATGTGATCCACCCGCCTTGGCATCCCAAAGTGCTGGGATTACAGGTGTGAGTTACTGCACCCAGCTGACCATATTTAATTGATCACAACTCAGTCGATTGATTTTAACACTCACTAATGGGTCACAACTTGCTGTTTGAAAAATATTGCTCTAATCTGAGGAGGTGATGTCTCTTCTAGTACTAACATTTCTTGAGTCTGAGAATTAATTAGATTTCATGTCTGGCTATGAAATTAGTAACTTCTCACTAGAAAATAGGCAGAGGGAAGAGGAGCAGTACAAAGCAAGAGGTACGGCAAGGCCTGATGGCTGTGGTCAGATTACTCCCTGAAAGGAGACGGCATTGTCTGTTCTCCACCTTCCTGCTGCTTCTATTTGGGTCCAGGTAAATTTAGGCCAAATAATTCACTAAAGGGCCGCATGCAGTGTGGAAAGATGTATGAAAGTCAGCAGTGACTGACTTTGGCCAGTGCTGTGTGTGGGGGAGAAGGGAGTATACAGACCTTCAGTGAGGCTAATAGACTAGAAGAATCATTGAGAAACACTCATATTCTTTAATGCTGTCCCTGGACTTGGCTGGTCATGGCAACAACATTCTTAGTAAAATTGTTTAACTGTAAGATTTTTTTTAAAAAGCATTTTTTATACAATCTCTGTAATATGGTATCAATGTGTATTATGTCTTAATTTATAGGGTGAGTAATCTTTGTCTATTGAAACTCCAGGAATACTTGCTATGAACAGATGTTTCCTATTCCCTTGGCTTATCAATGCAAAACTAAATAGAAGGCAAAGGGTCATTAATCAAGCCAAAATAAAAGGGACAGGCAGAAACACTGTGAATTTGTGGATCAACAAGAATTTTGCTAAGCCAAATCATTTGGAGAATTGATTTGCAAGCTAAGGTAAGCTGCTTACGGGAAGGAGTCTTAGTCAATCCAAATCATACCCATATGATTAACTATAACACGAAGAAAGGAAAAGAAGGAAGGAAAATGTTCTCTTTCTGTAATTTTATTCTGTTGGGTATTATGAGATGTTCCTAAATGGACAGTCAAACTTCTAAATGACCATGTAATTCCCCATCTCTGCATGGCAGGAAGAAGAAGAGTATAAATATGCAAAAGCTGTTCCATTTCATGGTCGCATGGATACCAAGCAGATGGGTAGATGAACATGAAACTATTCTTTATAAACATTGAGGGCCCCTGTCAATCCAAGCTGTATCCATCTGGCTATACAGCTACAGCACTGCTTTATCTAAGAAAGACAAGAGTGGATTAGAGAAAGCACTATTGAGAGAGAAATCTGTTTGATCTTTGGAGACTAATTAATATTAACATAATAAAATAGCTTTCAATTATATAAACTTTGGATTATGCACTCCTGTGGATGAACTCTGGATACTGAAAATCTTTGGATAATGTATTTAAGTGGTCCATTTAATAATCCCAGTGCTACTTACTAGCAAGCTACTTAAACTCAAAGATTCCACTTTCTTATCTATAAAAAGGGGATGACATTAATACTACCTGATAGGGCAAGCTTGTCGAACCCACAGCCCACAGGCCGCCTGCAGACCAGGATGGCTTTGAATGTGGCCCAATAAAAATTGGTAAACTTTCTTAAAATATTAGGAGATTTTTTTTGCCATTTTTTAAAGCTCATCAGCTATTGTTAGTGTATTTTATGTGTGGCCCAAAACAATTCTTCTTCCAATGTGGCTCAGGGAACCCAAAAGATTAGATAACCCTGTCCTCCCGTCTTAGGGATTTTGTGAACGTGAACTGAAACAATGTTTGCAAAACATTTTGCACAGTGTGTGGCACATAATAAATGTTCAACAATTATAAAAGTAATTATTAGTAATTTTATTGTTGTCTCACCACTACCTGCTCTTCCTGGGAAATAATTTCTAGCCCTTTTTCCCCTTTCTTTCCATTCCAGTGTCTTATCCAACATTGTGAACTCTTCATTGCTCTTTGCTTTTCAATCAATAAAAACGCATTTTCCTTCTATGAAGTCTCACTGTTGCCCAGTAAGCCCAGAGAAAGAAAACTCAGATGTTAAAAAAGGATAGAGTGTCTGAATGCTTTTTTCACAGGTGACTACTGTATCACTGTTTTCTCTTTCAATCTCTCAGAAGTTGCTGTGGCCTCAAGAGTCCTTTGGCCATTACTTTTTTTTTCAATAATTTATCCCAATCACTTGAATAATTAAGATGGTGAAATCTGATTATGTGGTATTGCATACTCTTAGAATTTAAGATAATTTAGAGTTCAAATGGCTCATTCTCCTCCATCTTCCTCTGATCCATTACCCATTCCCGGCACCAGCCTCTGGCTTCCATGCAGAATTCTCTCCTACAGAACTTCTGGTAGATGGTTCTCCAGCTTTTGTCTAAATGCCCCTCTGCCTTATGAGGCAAAGCCATTTCCTTTTTAGACAGCTGAAGTTGTTATTGACTTCTTCTTTAAACTGAGCCCAAATCTAACTCCTTCTCAATAGTCTTCTTTCTGACTTCGGGAGCATGAGAGAGAGAGAGAGAGAGAGAGAGAGGGAAAGAGGAGAACCTAACTATTCTTTCACATGGTGGCCTTCCAAATATTTGAAAACATTTATTCTGTCTTCCTCTAATCTGATTCAAGCAGTATCATGCTCTGATCCTCCCTCTTACATATGTGAAATAATCCCCTAGCATTTTACCGCCCTATCACCCTTCTCCTAAATGCCCTTTTTCTTTAGCTCTACATGGATATATTTTTATACATAGCACCTAAGGTTTGAAGCAGTATTCTACTTACAGCTCAACCAGAGAAAAGCAGAGTGTGTTACGCTTCCCTGAGGAAACACTGCTTCTATTCGCTCAACCTAAAAGGGCTTTCAGAGCTACTTCATTTTGTTAGTAAAATTAACAGGCCACAGAACTCCCAAATATGAACTTCTTCAAATCATGTGAACCTTACCTATCCTGTAATTGAACACCTGGATTTAATGTACAGCTGTCCACAGAGAAGTCTAAGTTTTCACAAAACAGTTAACAATTTTTATATAACTAAATCCTCATCATTTTCTTGCTTGGAGTCAGACAATAGCTTCCAAATACCATCACATTAGGGATTACGGTTTCAACATATAAATTTGGAGGGTTACATATTCAGTCTCTAATACTACCTTTCCAGCATCATCTCCTCCTGCTCCTTCATAGTGAACACTTGTTCAAGCCTCAGTGAACTTGAAAACTCCTATCCTTTCAGGGTTTTGCCAAAGTTTGCGCCTCCTCTGTGAGTCATAGCGTGGTATGTACTTACTTATCAGTGTATGAGTTTTGGAGCCAGACAGACTTCTGTTCCTTGCTCTACCACATCCTAGCTTTGGAAACTTAGGCACATTTTTTTGACCCCTTTAATCTTTAGTTTCCTCATCTTAAAAATTGAGAAAACGTAATACTGCACAGGGCTATCATAAGGATTAAATGATATAATGTGTATGGTGGACATCAGTCAGGTTTTCTGTTTATCTAGCATATTTTGAGCACCTATGCTGTGTATAGAGTGCCCAGTCTTATGAGTCCTGTCTATTCATGTGAAAAAAAAAAAGAACACTCCAGCCTCATTACAGCTGGGGCATAGGCATGTAACTGAGGCTCCAGCAACCACATTTACTCACCTACCCTAGACTTCAATCCTAAAGAGGTAGCTTGAAGAAGGATGCATATCACGGCGATTATTTTGTTGATGATGCTGTTAGAGACACTTTGTATTTCAGGGGCTGAGTGGTAGCCAGACTGAATCCTGATACAGCAGTATCAGTCACGGTGATGGCCGTATTCACTGGAGCCAGTTCTGCAGCAAGGTTTTAGATATTGCTCCTAGAAACTCAGTCTCAGGCCTGGCTCTTCAGGCAAAAAACTATACAATGTCTTTTCCTAATATTTTATATATATATTTATATATTATTATATATGTTTCATATATTAACATTTAACTTATATATAAGATATTATATATAATAAGATATATTATAAGATATAGTTATATAAATATAAAATATATATATTATTTATATATGATATATATCATATTATTTATATAAGATAAGATTTTTATATATATATATATTAGAGGCAGGTTCTCATTCTGTCACTCAGGCTGGATAAAACTCCTTTTCTGCATGATCATAGTCTGCCTCTGTTGCTTGCAACTATGACCCTTGACTGATGCAACAAGGTATTTAAAATGGTGCTTTACATAAAGAAAGTGGATACCAAAAGTTCTTTCCTCTATGATGTTGGCCCAAGGCCAGTCATTCCTCAAGTTTCCAGAACACTTTGACATACCTCCAGTGGATGCCTATCACTGTGAAACTATGGGTATTTGCACACATGTTTGTTGATACCTGGACTGGGCCTCATTGAGGGCAGGAATCCCATCTTACTCACTTCACATCTTCAGTGCCCAGCAAAGGACCTGGCAAATCGTGAGTGTTCAATAAATGTAACTGAGTGCACTGTTCAATCGTGACTCTACCTAACTGTACTTCATTCAGTCTACAGTCCATTTGATGTAATAAAATATCCTGAGAAATTTTGTCAAACACTGAGCTGAAATAAGATTGCTAGGACTACAGCATTTCCGCCAAGCCAGCAACATATTAAAAAAAAACAAAATGATGTCTGTTTGGCAAAATAGACTTTAAATACATACACACATACACACACACACATTTTTATTTCTCAACAAAACAAGATACACCCTCCTTGTAAGAAGATTGAGAAATTCAAAAAAGTATAGAGATGAAACAAACATTAGTTATAATCTTATTACCCAGATATAATCTGGGTTTTTTTGTATTCCGATTCAATCTTTTTTCCCAGATGTATTTTTGATAGCTGAGATCATAAAGTTATATTTACAGCTTTGTATTTTATATTTTACTTAAATTTTTGTCATAAAGTTTTCTCAAACCTCCAAGTATTTTTGCAAATATCATAATGTGTCATATAGATTACAAGGAGGATGTGTTTAATGGAATGATTTGCAAGCTGTGCTGTCAAAGTCATAGAGTTCTTTGGAGTTCTCTCTGCAAGATCTACTGCAAAGAGCCCAGGAAGGACTCGGTGGGTGGACACACTCCAGACTTTGCCATCCTCAGAACAGATCTGCTAAGTGTCTTAAATATTACAGTTCTAAGTAAGATTTTGTTACTTAGAAAGTAACAAAAGACTTGGAAAGACTTCCATTGGATTTTCTCAAAAGTTTGAAAATCTCTAATTATCATTCCAGCATTATTTAACGTTCAGGTTATTTCTAGGTTTTTGATAATATAAATAATTCAGAGATCAATTTATCATACTTACCTAATTTTTAAAATTTCCTTAAAATAGAATCCTAAATTGTGAATTAATGAACAAATCTGGAAGTGTGAAGGCCCGTAGTATATATTTACAATTTTCTTTCCAGACAGTTATACTGATTTATGTTCCTGCCAACTGTAAAACACAACCAAACTCTAGTACTATTGCAATCTTTTTCAGTCTTTTGCTATTTTCCTGCTTCTTTTTTCTTTTAAATTTATTTTTAATAGACAAATAAAAATTGTATATGTTTATTATGTATAACATGTTGCTTTGAAACATGTATATATTGTGGAATAGGCTAAATTGAGCTAATTAACATGTATTACCTCACAAACACCGTTTTTCAATGATGAGAATGCCAAAAATCTGCCCTTTTAGCAATTTTCAAAAACATAATATGTTATTAATTATAGCCACCATATTGAACAATATATCTCTTAATTTTATTCCCCTCATTTAACTAAAATTTTATCACTATTAAAAGGCAAAAAAACTTTAATTAACTTAATTTGCATTCAAATAATTTTTCCCATTAATTTTCCATGATGTCTTATTTATACACTGAAGTATATTTCCGAGTTTTTTTCTGATGTTCCAATGATCTTTGTGTCCAGTTTTGTCCTGGTAGCACACTATTTCAGTTATTATAGTCTTGTAATATGTTTTGCTTTTAGGAACCAGAAGTCTCATTCTATTTGTTTTTTGTAATTTTATTAACAAAATTTCTTTTGGATATTCTTAATACTCCTCTAGAAGAAATTTAAACTATTCTTTTCTGCAGAGGAAAAAAAGTCATTGAGATTTTCATTGAAGTAACACTAAAATATTAAATAAATTGTAAGAATTTACATATTTAAATGTTAGGTATTCTCATCCAATGGCATGGCATATTTTTTCAAATACATAAGTCATCTTTTATATCCCTTATTAATATTTTGCTGTGTTACTTCTCTAGGTTCTAGTTTATTTCTTACAAGCATGCACATAGGTAGATTAAGTTTTGTTGCTCTTGTAAAGGGCATTGTTTCCATTATGATTTCCAGTTGTTCACTTCTAGTATATAAAAAAACTACTGGTTTTTACACATTTATTTTATATCATAAATATTATAAATCAGGTTTGCTGAAAAACTTTTTTATGAACCTAAGTTCATTCATTATTTATTCACTGAGCATCCCTCTCTGCCAGACAGTATGAATATTCTTATCCATCTACATTTTATTCCTGCAGGTTTGTAAACCAGATATTTTTAGAATGTACCTTAAAATTTTCTACAAAATCAAGCTCTAATCCCTTGTTATGGCTTCCAGGCCAGGCCTTTTCTATCTCAGTTCTAGCCTGTCCTTCCAGGTCACCCCATGCCATTTTCTTCCACACATCCTCCACCCCACCTACTCAGACGGACACTGTAATTCTTTCATAACTCCATTATGCATTTTTGCCTGCCTGTGATGCTCTTTCCCACTTGATTACTGGGGAATTCCTATTCATTATTTAGAGACTAACTCAAACGTTACCTCCTGTCTACAGCTACCCTGACCACATATTCAGACAGAATTAATTTCTCTCTCATTTGTATTCACATAGCAGTATACACATGCCTCCATTATGATACAGGTCACATCATATTCTACTTATTTTTTCACATCTCTGTCTCCCCTTAAGAGGCTGTGGCTTCCTTCAGAGCAGGATCAATATCTTACTCATCTTTGTACCCTCAGTAGTCAATTTTTTTTGGAATAAGTAAGATAATCAGTTAATTTATTATTTTATGATTTGAATAGAAATTAGTGATTTATTGTTTCTGGAACCTACCATTTTTTCTCACTTGGAATTGTGACATTCTCTCATTTCTATCCATGTGAGTCATCTGACATTCTCTATGATTTCCAAAAGATTATCATTCATAGCCCTGAGGTCACATCTAAAATCTCTTCACTGTTCTATAAAATCAAGTATCTGGAGCTAGAACTTAAATAATTTGGATTAGAACTCTAAGTGTCTACTAATGCCCTGCATACATCTTTGGCTTAAGTGTCTTGTTTGTGATGCGGAATTTTCCCTTTTTAATAGAAAGACCATCTTACTTGTTCTAAAATGGAAGGAAAATGGGAGTGAAAATCAATTAATTCAAGTATTTATTCAGTATATATTTATTAAAATATAATTCATGAGAACATAGTCTATCTGGGGCAGTAGGTATAAGCACCAAAGTAAAGGCAGAATATGACAAGAGCTATGCCAGAGGCATGAACACGGTGCCATGGAAAAGAACAACCGATTTCCAGCTGGGAAAAAGATTTCTAGCTGGGAAATAGATTTCTTGGAAGAGATAGATTAAGCTTAGGTTTGTAGGTTGGGGAAAGAATATTCCAGGCAAAAGTGTTCAGCCTTTCTTAACTGTAGTTTAAAATATAAAAGAATTTATTTTAACAAGGATGTTTGTCAATTAATTAAATGGTGGTCAAATAACAATACAAGAAAAATCAAATATTCTTTCAATGTTTTGTTTCTGTAAATAACACCTCCACCCACCCAGTTGCTCATCCTAAAGTTCATCCTTGACACCCTCTTTCCGTATCCCCAGTCTGCTCTCAGTCACCAAGGCCCACTCAATCTAACTCCCAAATGTCTCTCAAATATGCCAATTGTTTATGATACCCATTGCCACCACCCAAAGCCTCCTCTTTCTCCTGAACTGCTGACATAGCCACCTAATCAATCTCCCAGATCCACTCTTGCTGCCTTCAAGCCACTTTCCATACTGAAATAACAGGTCTCTTTCATAAAATGCAAGTCATATCAACCCTTGTCTTAAAACCCTCTAGTGGCCTCCCATTGTCCTTAAACACAGTGGGCTATAGTTTTTTCTTCTTTATATGGTTCTTGGGTTTTTTAATAAGTAAACTTAATTTTGTAAATACACAAGTTGTTTGGAAGTCAGTGAGTAACAGTGCAAAGATCCTATAATTTAAAGGCAAAGGACCTAGGTTCATGTCAAAGTTCCATCACTTAAAAGATGTATGACCTTGGGAAAGTTACTTAGCCTTTCTAATTTTTTTCTCATCAGTAAAATGGGTGTAATAACGATCCCCATATAACATATTGGTACAAAGAATAAATGAAATAATATATGTAAAAAAATTCTGCAACCTATAACCCATTATGCAAATGTTGCATAGTAACAATATCATCACCTAATAAGAAACATCTGCTAGCAGGTAAATGAAGAAAGCATTACTTAGGACATGAAAGAGTTAGCATGAACTAATAGTTGGGAAAAGCCCAAGTCCAAATACAGAAAAAAAAAATTTAATGAATTACTTTTAATATGCAGGAGATAAAGGAGTTCAAGACAGTGTAAAAAACGAGCCAAATGCTAAATATTTAAGGAGTGAGCAACATGAAAGATTAATCACTTACTTCTAAAGAACCTGAGATTGTACTATATTTTTTCTTCTTAATTTTTTTTATTTTACACCTTATTTGGAATATAGCACACTATTACTGATATTTTTTAATTACTTGTAAATATTTCAATATTATCGTCAGTATTGTGGGCAGGTGAGTATTATTTTTCTTTGAATGGGCTATTTTAAAACATTTACTGCATTGCTGACTATAATTTAATAATGCCTGAAGACAGATTTTTTTTCCTACAGGACTAATCCCCAATTCAATAATGAAATTCAGCAGGAAAATTTAGGGTTGCTTTAATGGAAATTAATTTTATGGCTTATAAAGAAAACAGAAATGCATTTACCTCATCAAACAAGAGACAAGTGTACTTGGAAAACCTTTTCTCCATGTGACATGAATACCAAGCAGGTTGAATTGATGAAGCAGCATTTAGCTAACCATGCTACTTTTCCTCTTTTATATTCTCTCTGCCTTTAATTCAGGTAACAGTGGAAAGCTGGAACTTGGCCATTTTCCTGCACAGTCCCCTTATGCAGAACCTTTTTCCGCTGAGGTGAAGGAATTCCTCTGCTGCCATCTAGTGCTTCTTAGAAAGACCTTTGCCAGTTTTAGTCAGATGGGTTGGTTTATATTTAGCTCCAAGTGTGGGATGGAGGGAAATGGGGGTGGGAATGGCAGAAAACTAAAACTTTTTTAGACTTTTTTTTTAAATCTATTGCATTAATTAGTAAGAGATTCTGAGTCACAGAGAACATTTATGGGCTTCTGAGCTAAATGTTTTATTTGCCTTTTTATATGAGCTACTTGAATACTGTATAAAGACTTGACAGAATTTCAAGTTCAAAAGATTGATGAGAGAGGTTGGGGTGAGCAGCCTCTCATTTCTTAAATTGTTCCATATAAGCATTTTTTAATGTACTGACATTCATAAAGCTGCTCAATCCAGAAGCCTGGGAGTCATCTTTGACATTTTCTTCTCCCTCATGGCTCCATCATCCATCCAACACAATAACACACACACAATAACACACAAACACAAATACACACACAAACTCTAAAAACGGTGGATTCCAGCTCCTAAAAGTCTCTCAAATCCATCAACTTCCTCGATTACCATTGACATTACACATGATATAACCTAAACATACTCATTAACATGAATTGGAATCATCCTTTACCCTCCTAATTTATCTCCTCATATCTAATATTCATGCAGCAACCAGAAATAACTTTGTTTAAAAAAAAACAAATGAAAAAATAAATTTGATCTATTGAAGTCCTGCTTAATATTCTTCAGTGATTTTTCTTTGATTTTAAGATAAATTCCAGACATTTTAACATAACCTAAAAATCTTTATGTGATCTGACCTCTGCCCAGATGATCTCCTGCCATTCTCCATCCATCCCTGTGTCACTGACACCAATCCTCTCTATTTATCCAAAGGACTAATCTTCTTATAGCCTCGGGGCCTTTGAACATGCTGTGCCCTGTGTCTATTCTGCATTCTGTCTTCTCACTAATCACAAGCCATCTTTATACTTTGTTACTTAATATCTATTTCTAGGCCAGGTGGGATGGCTCACACCTGTAATCCCAGCACTTTGGGAGGCTGAGGTGGGCAGATCGCTTGAGGTCAGGAGTTCAAAATCAGCCAGGTCAACATGGTGAAACCCTGTCTCTACTAAAAACACAAAAATTAGCCAGGCATGGTGGCTCACACCTGTAATCTCAGCTGCTACTTGGGAGGCTGAGGCAGGAGAATTGTTTGAACCCAGAAGGTGAAGGTTGCAGTGAGCCAAGATCGCACAACTGAGCTCCAGCCTGGGAGACAGAGTGAGACTCCAGCTCCAAAAAAAAAAAAAAACCCTATCTCTAAGCTCAAATTTTAAAGCCTATGAAGTCAGGTAACAAGTCTGTCTTATTCATTTCTATATTCAGGCCAAGATTGGCAATTAGTAAAAAATTTGCTAAATGAGTTAAAGAATTCATTATTGCCTCCTATAATTTTCGATTATTTTAAACAAGCTTCTTGCCTAAAGAGTAAGCTCCTCAAGGCAAACAGTCATCAAATTCTAATAAGACCTAAGGTTGGAGACAGTGGCAGAGATGACTCAGACATGACTTGACAACGTAGTGGTGATAGAGCATGTAAACAAGTAACTGTAATACAACATTCAGAAGCGCCATGACACGCAATCTGCACACGTTTCTTTGAAAACAAGGAGGAGGAAGGGTTCATTCAGCTTAGCTGAATCCGGGCAGACATGGAAAAGAAGGTAAAATTTAAGCTGAAGTTTTGACGAACAAGGAAGAGTTCACAAGTAGCAAATCGGTGAAGGATGACTAAGGGGGTAAAGAAGGATGGCTAAGGGGGTAAAGTCAGAGACATGAGAAATAAACAATGGTATAGTGTAGGAAAAGGATGGACAAATGTCTTTTTCTCCACGGGAACCTCCATCCCAGTTAATTAAATGCATAAATAGACATTTAATCAACACTTGTGATTTGACTTTTGGAGAATGGTGAGAAATGTGGGAGTAACAATATTTATGGTATCTTGGCAAAGTCAGAATAAGAGACTAAATAGAACTAGCTTTCTTCCATCTTTAATATTCAACAACATTGAAACAATTGTACTTGATACTACTCTAAGGAAATGCCAATAAAAACATCATTGCCTGAGCTCCCCGTGTGTTTGATCAAATGAGCTTACATTTGAAACCTCTCTGAAAAAGGGTTGTAAAGGGTTGTGAGCTCCAGCTAAACATGTACTCACAAAATTAAACCTAAATTTTTTCCCCGGTGAACACCATTCTCTAGAGATATCTTCAAGTTGGCACTCCTTTTTTCTCTAGCTTCCTGTATTTCTGCCCTGAGAGGATGAGAGAGTGGCATTCTCTTGGCTCTCTGCTAACACCTCTAAGCCAATCTTCAATCACCCTCCTTTGAAAGTCAAGTCATGTCTTTACAGCACCTTTTACTACTCTTTGGCATGCTTTTATCCAATAATAATAAGCATCAGATTTCTCTATTCTTAACTATTATTTCCTAAATCAAAACATAAATATAGATTTAACCAATTAATTGCACTTAAGAAATCTAGTCTCACTCTAAATCTCTTTTGCTTAGAATTAAGTTCCAGAAAGCCAATCCCTCATTGTTTCCTCAATTTTTGGAGAATTGAAAATGTCAACAAAGGAAGTCAAGTTATTTATATTTCAAAAAGAGAAATGTTTAGTACTATACATACATTCTCAATTGTCTAAATAAGATACAAGAAAAAAATCACATAATTGCTGTTTATATGGAAAAAATTGGAGGAAGAGACCCTGTTTATGCAAAGTTTCTCTCTCTAAAGTAGCAAATTAAGCTCCTAGTAGTAGGCAAGAATCAAGAGCAAATTGCAAAAGTGTGATGCTTTGCTTATGTAATGATTTTAAGTAAACAGAAAACAATTGAAAGCCATAATTATGGGTATCTTAGGTAAAGAACTTCTACTGTTTTCATAGTTAGGACTCACCATTCTTTTGTATGATTTGGTTCTTGCTTCCACGCATCCAGTTAATATTAGTGAAATTTATTAGAGAAAGCATTATATATGCTGTACTGAAGACAAACTATCACATTAACGTTGCGTTTATGTCTATGCGTGAGAATTGTATTTCTGTGCCTAAGAACTTTGGGGTAGGATTCATTATTCCTGCTCTGATATTGACACTCTCTCTTTCAACAGAAATGGACCTTTTACAATATTGAATGGATCTCAGAGAAGACAATGAGGGAGGCTATAGTTCTCTAGGACTGAGAGAACAGCTTAGCACATGGGATAGGATTGGATTGAACATCACAGGCATGAGTTCTCAGCCCAACCCTGCCTCAACTGGCTACAAGGCTTTGGACAAGTCCCTTGAGAAATGGAGTCTGGGCCTAGAAGGAGAAGATGGCTCCAAGAGTCCTTCCAGCCTCAAACTACCAGGCTATTCTTCCAATATTTAGGCTAGAAATACTTCAGTTTTCAGGATCTAGCCTTCAGCTGCAACTGATGGCTAAAATGAAGGAGCACTTTAATGATTTAAGAAGCTATTCAGTTGTCATAAAAAAGTAATTTTGTTTCTTCCAAAGCTCCAGATTAGTATGGAGATTTTTCTGCTGAGTCTTATTTTTAAAAGGCATTATGCACATCAAGACTGACATAGCCATAAGGAATTGTAGAAATTTTAATATCTGTTGATGTGGATGAGAAACTAAAATTTCCATATTTAAAACTGTCATTTGACTTTTAAATGGATCACATTAAATTACTGTCAGAAATGTTCAATATTTTCTCATCTATATACGATTGTTTCTTGGTAGATGAAAGCTGCAATCTGGTTTCTTTGGCTACATGGCCATTTTTTCAGTTTGTCCCCAAACTTGCTACCAAGCTTGTCCCCAAAGCAAGAGGATGAGATTAAGTGACTGTGGTGTGTGTGTGTGTGTGTGTGTGTGTGTGAGAGAGAGAGAGAGAGAGAGGAAGAGAGGAAGAGACTGAGAGGAAGAGAGAGAGAAATAGCAGCAGCAAGGTAAGATAATATCTCAAAAAGGTATATTTTATTTATTTTGTCTGTTTTTGTTTTTTTTGAAGAAAGGTATATTTTTAAAATAAGGTTATTTCCCCAAACTATATGAATTTTTTAAATGACACACATAAGGAGAATATTTAAAATAAGAAGCCCAATAATATTTTGTTCAAAGACCTTCCAGTTGCATTTTTGTATATTTATAATGTAGCAATTGGGATTCAGGGAGTCAGGATTGATTTTTTTTTTCACCCAACATTATGAGAAAAAGTGAGAAATACATAATCCTACCTTAGCCCTCTTAGGCCAAATACAAAAAAAGAAAAAAAAATAGAAATGAGTTAAAACCTAATTTCTGTTCGGAATGTAATGTTTTGTGAAAGAGATGCAGACTTGGGGGGAAAATATTATTTTTGAGAGAACTGTAGAGGTAATTTGCAAATCAAAGCAGATGTTACTTATACTTTGTCTCATTTTTTTGTTACCATCCCTTTCTCCAACAGATCCAAGCATAGTTATCAGCACATATTAGGTTTAAATATTTCTTGATTGAGTGCTTGCTAAAAGTAATAAATATCCAAACTTAATTAGCAATAAGTAGTTTATCTAAATATCCAGCTAGAAAGAAGATGGAAAAGTGTAATAATTCTTGCAAGAGAAGGAAGGAAGGAAGGAAGAAAGGAAGGAAGGAAGGAAAGGAAAGAAGGAAAGAAGGAAAGGGAGATGAGGGAGAGGGAGGAAGAAGGAAAAATATCTTCATCTAATTAGGAAAAAAATAAACCTGGGTAGCTTCTATGTTCTTAGATTAGAGAAAGAAAATGGAAGTAAAGAAATTAGCGTTATTTGAATCTCTATTGTGTGCCAGATACTCAGCTAAGTTTTTGGATTTTTTTAAATTTGATCTATAGCTATTTCTATCTTCTCTCTGATGTAAGGATACCTTAGAGAACTAGAAATCAGAGAGAAGAAAAGGGAAATGATTAAGTTGATATCAGAACCTACAGAAGTCTTACCACTTACCAAACCAGAATCCTCAAAGTTGTGGATAATTTTCTAGAGATTTTTGACACCAAAGTAAACTTTAAATGTGTGATAAAACATTATTTAGTTAATTAATCATATACTTAAGCTTTGAAGTTAATGGTAAGTACAGCCTATACATTTTTCTTAACTGTTTAATTCTTTAAAAGATTGTCTTTGCTAGTAACTTTTAAGGCCTAATTATTTTAATCGAGTTTTGAAAAATATTAAAAGTTAAAAAGAATTGCAGAGGAATATCAAAGGAAAACAGTAGGTTATAGAAGACTATGTATTCATTAAAAGCTTGATAATTCTTGCCTCTGCCTGGTAGGATATTAGGTAATTAAAATTTATTTGATTTGCATATCTGTGTTTTACAATAACTATATAATGCTTTGGTAAATAAAAATCATAATTTAAAAAAACAAGTGGCATGGAGAGAAAACAGAGAGAAAAAAATGGTGCCCAGCTTTATTCCTTCCATGGTATAGGGTTTTAATAAAAAGACTGAATAAAACTGCAAAAAATTCCTGAGACAAAACACACAGGGCAGCGCAGGAGAACAGGAAAGAAGAAAATACAGAAAAATAGACCCAAATGTTTCAATAAACTGTCCCGCCACACTAAAAAATGGGCAGCAGCAGAGGTTGCCACATGCATCTACAGGCAAAGAGGAGGAACAACGATTGGGATTATTCTAACCAGATTTTTCATGAAACCTTCTGTTGTAGCTGGCCTAAGTGGAACAAATGTGTCTGTGCCTTTGTTTCAGAGTATTTGTACTCCCTAATTTTTATAGCTCTTTCCACATCTTTACGTGCAATAACTCCACTGATGATGTCATACTGGTCTTCCTCAGTTTCTACAAATATAGCCAGCTCTTTCTCACAACATGGCATTTGCACATGCCATTCCATCTGGAACAATCCATTCTCCCATCCTCTTCAATGTTTCTCCACAGCAAGTTCCCAGTCAAACCCAGGTCTCAACTAACATGTCACCTCCTCTGAGATTTTGCTGATCACCCTACTCCCCGACCTGAAGTAATTGAAGTAATGCAGTCACACCACTATACACACTCCACCACCCTCAACTTTGCTTCCCTAACTTAACTCCTGCATCATTGCCTTCAAAACCCTTAGCACAATTTGCAATGACTTTGTTTGTTTGTTTCTGTCTTCCTCATTGGAATGCAAAGCCCATGAAGTCAAGAACACATTTGTCATCACAGTTGTGCTTCCAGTAGACATATGGTTGGCACTCAACAAATATTTGGGAAATAAATGAATGGTCTCATAGTAACCTAGCGCAGTACACAGAGCACGAATTATTATCCCCATTTCATAGGTAAGAAAATCTCAGAGGTGCTTCAAGGACTTGCCCCAAAACACACAATCAGGAACATAACCTCGGTCTTTTTACTCAAGTTCAAGATTTGAGTCAGCCTTCTAGCTAGGTGACACTGGGCACTTTACATAACCTCCATGTTTCTGTTTCTCCATCTGAAAAACAAGAAATAAAATAGAAACCTACTTCATGGTTGTTACGAGGATTAAACAAGGCTTAGAATGTATTTCCATTGGGAAATACTTAATTTCACAGAAAAATGTTAACAGTCTGATACTAGATCACAGATCTTGATGGAGGCAATAGGTTTGTATTCATAATATATATAGGATGGGCTGCACTCAGGAGAATCGAGAAGTTTTGTGGCACAGGGAAGTTTTTTTAATAATGAAAGTGAGGCTGAGATGTCAAAGGCAAATGAGTACCTCACAATTTTGCATCTGGGTGGCTGTCTACCAATCATAACCTAGGTCCCGTCTTGGAGCCCATGGAAGTTGGCTTGTTTTACAAATCTTGAAAATTCACCTATGAACATCAGAGGTTGCTAGTTATGGCCTGAACTAAGAAAAGGGTCTATTTTCTTGAGCCTTAATTTGTGGAATTACAAGACATGCTTTTGCTTCATTCGGTAGCGCAGGCTCCGACCACTAGAGGGAACTGCTCCATCAGTTGTATGAGACTCCAGGCTTCCGCATTCCTCTGGCTGTGACTGTGGAGTATTGTTTCGTAGCAATTTCCTCAGAAACGTAATTGGTCATTGACCCAATCATCTCTCCTTCATGACTTGCAAAATATACTCTCCTGGCCTCAGAGTTGTAAGGATGGAAACAAACACTTCTGTTTCTGAACCAGAGTGGGTTCTCAGAGTCTTGGCTTTCTTTCTGCAGCCTGTCTGCCTCCTAAGCAGCTGAGATTGTTTCCCCACTACAGATGAGTGATAAGCTGACTGCACCCTCACGGATAATTCTATCAGTAAGTAGGTCAGAAGGATAACCCCCTTCCCCTCTCTCCCCAAAATATTCATTTCCAAAATACTCACTGAGTGCTGGATTACATAAAATAGGAGCCTGGGGAGGGTATCATCCCAGTCACTTACCATTGGGTCAAGCGGCTGCTTGGACCCTGTGCCAACTAAGACCCTAATCTCAAGTACGTGCAGAGTAGGAAGTAATTTATGAAACTGGCATCCCCAAAGAGTAAGGAAGAGCAAAAGTGAATAAAATTTATTTAGAACAATTAAAATGTTCCGACTGGCTTGTGTGAGCAGTTTGTACTCTCAGGAATTCTCTGCTTTCTTCAGTTCTTCAAAGCTCTGTCCACAAACTTAGAAGAATAAACCAATATTATGGGGGAGAGAGGAGGAGACTTTAAAACACCTACAGATCATGGAAGAGAAAGAGTATCTACCTCTCCTGGAAGTTGCTTTTATTATTATTATTATTATACTTTAAGTTTTAGGGTACATGTGCACAATGTGCAGGTTAGTTACATATGCATACATGTGCCATGCTGGTGTGCTGCACCCATTAACTCGTCATTTAGCATTAGGTATATCTCCTAATGCTATCCCTCCCTCCTCCTCCCACCCCACAACAGGCCCCAGAGTGTGATGTTCCCCTTCCTGTGTCCATGTGTTCTCATTGTTCAATTCCCATCTATGAGTGAGAACATGCGGTGTTTGGTTTTTTGTCCTTGTGATAGTTTACTGAGAATGATGATTTCCAATTTCATCCATGTCCCTACAAAGGACATGAACTCATCATTTTTTATGGCATAGTATTCCATGGTGTATATGTGCCACATTTTCTTAATCCAGTCTATCATTGTTGGACATTTGGGTTGGTTCCAAGTCTTTGCTATTGTGAATAGTGCTGCAATAAACATATGTGTGCGTGTGTCTTTATAGCCGCATGATTTATAGTCCTTTGGGTATATACCCAGTAATGGGATGGCTGGGTCAAATGGTATTTCTAGTTCTAGATCCCTGAGGAATCGCCACACTGACTTCCACAATGGTTGAACTAGTTTACAGTCCCACCAACAGTGTAAAAGTGTTTCTGTTTCTCCAGATCCTCTCCAGCACCTGTTGTTTCCTGACTTTTTAATGATTGCCATTCTAACTGGTGTGAGATGGTATCTCATTGTGGTTTTGATTTGCATTTCTCTGATGGCCAGTGATGGTGAGCATTTTTTCATGTGTTTTTTGGCTGCATAAATGTCTTCTTTTGAGAAGTGTCTGTTCATGTCCTTCGCCCACTTTTTGATGGCATTGTTTGTTCTTTTCTTGTAAATTTGTTTGAGTTCATTGTAGATTCTGGATATTAGCCCTTTGTCAGATGAGTAGATTGCAAAAATTTTCTCCCACTTTGTAGGTTGCCTGTTCACTCTGATGGTAGTTTCTTTTGCTGTGCAGAAGCTCTTTAGTTAATTAGATCCCATTTGTCAATTTTGTCTTTTGTTGCCATCGCTTTTGGTGTTTTAGACATGAAGTCCTTGCCCATGCCTATGTCCTGAATGGTAATGCCTAGGTTTTCTTCTAGGGTTTTTATGGTTTTAGGTCTAACGTTTAAGTCTTTAATCCATCTTGAATTAATTTTTGTATGAGGTGTAAGGAAGGGATCCAGTTTCAGCTTTCTACATATGGCTAGCCAGTTTTCCCAGCACCATTTATTAAATAGGGAATCCTTTCCCCATTGCTTATTTTTCTCAGGTTTGTCAAAGATCAGATAGTTGTAGATATGCGGCGTTATTTCTGAGGGCTCTGTTCTGTTCCATTGATCTATATCTCTGTTTTGGTACCAGTACCATGCTGTTTTGGTTACTGTAGCCTTGAATCTTCAATACATATCAGAAGTTCATAATTCCTTATTTCAAACTCATGTCTTATTCATTCATTCAGCAAAATTAAATACCTTCTACTTACCAAAACTGTTCTAAGTACTAAGAATTATGTATGGACAACAGGCTGTTGAATACAGAATAATTATTGCTTTTTCACAACTTTTTACCTTTTTTAATTAACTGTTTTATTTGAGATCATTGTGGATTCA
Organism: Homo sapiens; assembly: GCF_000001405.40. Classification (NCBI taxonomy): domain Eukaryota; kingdom Metazoa; phylum Chordata; class Mammalia; order Primates; family Hominidae; genus Homo; species Homo sapiens. The sequence continues at coordinate 109,948,786 of NC_000011.10, forward strand.
CATTCAGTTGTAAGAAATAATACAGGGATCCCATGTACCCTTTCCCCAGATTCCTCCAGTAGTAGCATCTTGCAAAACTATGGTACAATGGAACAACCAGTATATTGACATTATCCAGTCAAAACAGAGATATCTCCATCAACACAGGGATCTCTTACGGTGCTTTTTTATAGAAACACACATTTCCCTTCCCCTCATCCCATATCTGGGTCTTAACCCCTGGTAACCACTAATCTATTCTCCATTTCTGTAATTTATTGTTTTGAGATTATTCTATAAGTGGAATCTTGCATTATTGGTTTTTTTCACTCAGCGTAATTCTCTAGAGATTCACCCAAGTTTTTGTATGTATCAATAGTCCATTCCCTTTTATTGCTGAGTAATAGTCTAGGGTATGGATGTACCATAGGTTGTTTAACTAATTATCACTGAAGGACACCTAGATTGTTTCTAGTTTTGTGCATTACAAACCAAGAGCTATAAACATTCATGTACAATATTTCGTGTGAATGTAAGTTTTTATTTTTCTGCAATAAATGTCCAAGAGTGTAATTGCTGGGTCATGTAAGTGTTGCATATTTAATATTTTCAGAAATTGCCAAACTGTTTTTTAGAGAGGCTGTACCACTTTTATTCCCACCAGCAATGTATGAATGATCCAGTTTCTCTGCATCCTTGCTAGTTTTTGGTGTTGTCATTACTTTTTATTTTAACCATTCTGGTAGACGTCTAGTGATATCTCATTGTGGTTTTTAATTTGCATTTCCCTGATTGCTAATGATCTTGAACATCTTTTCATGTGCTTAATTGCCATCTGTATATGTTTTTCAGTGAAATATGTCATCATGTTTTTTACTCATTTTCTAATCAGTTGGTTTGGTGCTGGTTTTTTTAAATTCAGTTTTGAGAATTCTGTAGTTCTATCAGTCCATTCTCATGGGTCTTGGGCAGCTCTACCCCATGGCTTTGCAAGGAACAGTTTCCCTCCTGGCTGCTTTCACAGCTGGTATTGAGTGTCTGCGACTTTTCCTGGCACACGGTGCAAACTGTCGGTGGGTCTATTATACCATTCTTGGGTCTGGATGATGGCGGCCCTCTTCTCACAGCTCCACTAGGCACTGCGCAGTGGGGACTTTGTGTGGGAGCTCCAACCTCACATTTCTCTTCCACACTGCCTAGCAGAGGTTCTCCATGAGGTCTCCACCTCTGCAGCAGACTTCTGCCTGGAGATCCAGGCATTTCCATACATCCTCTGAAATCTAGACAGAGGTTCCCAAACGTCAATTCTTGTCTTCTGCACACCCACAGGACCAACACAATGTGGAAGTAGCCAAGGCCTCCTGGGGCTTGCACCCTCTGAAACAACAGCCTGAGCTGTACCTTGGCCCCTTTCATCCATGGCTGAAGCAGCTGGGATGCAGGGCACCAAGTCCAGAGGCTCCACACAGCAGGGGGGGTCCTGTGTGGAGTGGAATGTAATATTTTTGTAGATCCTTTGGGATATTCTACATAGACTCTCAGGTCATTTGCAAATAGGAGCAGTTTTACTTTTTCCATCCTAATCTGTATGGGATTTATTTTCTTTTCATACCTTACTGCGCTATCTAAAATTCCACTACTATGTTGAATAAATGTGAGGAGAGAGAACATCCTCGCCTTGTTCCTGACATAGGGCAAAAACATTCAATTTTTTAGCATTAAATGTAACATTAGCTGTTGGGTTTAAGTAGATATTCTTTATCAAACTGAGGAAGTTTCCCCTCCACTTCTATTTTTCCAAGAGTTTTTAAAATCATGGATTAAATTCAAACTTTGTCACATGATTTTTCTGCATCAATTAATATGATCATGTGGTTTTTCTTCTTTAACCTGTTAACATGTTTGTATTAATTGATTTTGAAATTTTTTTTTTTTTTTTTGAGACAGAGTCTCGCTCTGTTGTCCAGGCTGGAGTGCTGGAGTGCAGTGGCGCGATTTCGGCTCACTGCAAGCTCCACTTACCGGGTTCATGCCATTCTCCTTCCTCAGCCTCCCGAGTAGCTGGGACTACAGGCGCCTGCCACTACGCCCGGCTACTTTTTTGTATTTTTTAGTAGAGACGGGGTTTCACCGTGTTAGCCAGGATGGTCTCGATCTCTTGACCTCGTGATCCACCGGCCTTGGCCTCCCAGAGTGCTGGGATTACAGGCATGAGCCGCCGCGCCCGGCCGATTTTGAAATATTGAACAGCTTTGCATTCCTGGAATAGACTCCATTTGCTCATGATGTATAATTCTTTTTTTATGTAGCTGAATCATATTTTAAGTGTTTTCAGAGAATTTCTGCATCTATATTCATGAAGGATATAGGTCCATAATTTTCTTTGTACTATCTTTGTCTAGTTTGGGTGTCAGGATCATACTAGCTTCACAAATTAATTGAGAAATTTTTTCTTCTCTTTCATATTCTAGAAGAGATTGTTTAAAATTTGTGTTAATCCTTCTTTAAATGTAGGAGACATTACAAATAACTCTATACATATAAATTTGGAAACAGATGAATGGATCAATTTCTTTAATAGCACAACTACACAACTAATCTAATATAAATAATTTGAATAGCCCTATCAATATTAAAGAAATTACATTCATAATTATAAAATACCCCAAAACATAAATCTCCAGGTCCATGGGATGATTCTACCTAATGTTTAAAGAAGAATTAAGGCTGATTCTATACAATCTCTTCAAGAAAAGAGGAGGAAAAACTTTCCAATTCAATTTATGAAGCTAATATTACCCTGTAATACATATTAGGTATTCATCGCCCTTTCATGGCATACAACTCCTAAAATCCTTGGACCCTCCAAAGTGCTGTCTTTTTGTATGTTAATGTTAATTGATAGTTTCAGGATAGGGCTGGTTGTCAGAAAGACACAGCTATGATTAAAGGATTGGGACTTTCAGCCCCAGTCCCCAACATTCGGAAGGGGAGAGGGGTTGAAGGTTAAGTTGATCATCATTGGCCAACGGTTTAATCAATCATGCCTACATAATGAAGTCTCCATAAAAACACCACGAAGGCAGGGTTCAGTGAGCCTCTGAATAGTCTAATACATGGAGGTTTCTGAAGGGTGGTATGCCCAGGGAGAGCATGGAAGCTTCATGCTGCTTCTCATATGCCTTGCCCTATGCATCTCTTCATCTGTATCTTTTGTAGCATCCTTTATAGTAAACCAGCAAATGTGTTTCCCTGAGTTCTGTGAGCCACTCCAACAAATGAATCGAACTCAAAGTGGGGGTTGTGGGAACCCCGACTTGAAGCTGGTAAGTCAGAAGTTCTGGAGGCATGGACTGGTGACTTGTGTCTGGAATGAGAGCAGTCATTATTGCAGTTCATTATGGCTATAAATTTACCACTCATTGTTTTAGCTGTGTCCCACATATTTTGAAATGTTGTATTTTATTTTCACTCAGTTTGTAAAAGGAAAATAAATCTCAGGACCCCAAACTCACTAAGCCAAAGGGAAAAGTCAAGCTGGGAACTGGGTTATGCAAATCTGCCCCCCATTTGGTTCCTGAATAGGATAGCTACAAAGATGAAAAGTTACATACCTCCCTCACCGATTGCCCACAAGGAAATTCCCTGTGGGCCCCAAGATCTTTACCCTAAAACAGTTCTGCTGAATTTCACCCTGGCCATGTAAATTGATAGCTTATTTTCACAGGTGCAGGACAAAGGACAGAACTAAAAGTCATCCCTCTACTCACCTGAAACAAATGTGTATCTGATTGCTTCTTCTACCCTATCCTACTCTATCCTCTACTGCAGATTCTCTGAGCCAGATGAAGGCATAAGTGACTATTCCTCTACTCCCCTGTCACATGTAAATTGTATATTCCATGAAAGGCTGATCAAAGACTCAAAAATGTAACCGTCTGTCTTTTATCTATCCACACCTTTCAAACAGTTTCTACCCCTTTCTCCAATATCTGCTCTTTCCCCTTTAAATATCAAAGCCTTTGGAGAAAGGCACAGACCTGTATCCTGAGCATATATCCTTAACTCTGGCAAATAAACCTCCTACAATGATTGAGACTCACCTCAATCATTTTCATTGATTTATAAGTTCAATATATTTTTAAAAATATATTTATCTTAACACTTTGACGCATTGTCTTAGTCAATTTGGGCTGCAATAACAATTATACTATAGACTGTGTGACTTTAAAAACAAACATTTAATTCTTAGAATTCTGGAAGCTAGGAAGTCCAAGTTCAAGGTGCTGGCAGATCCCACATCTGGTGAGGGCCACCTTCTGGTTTGCAGATGGCAGCCTCCTTGTTGTATTTTCACATGCCAGAGAGCAGAAAGGGAAGCACAAGCTCTCTCCTGTCTCTTCTCCACCCTTATGACCTAATTACCTCCCAAACGCCTCATCTCCAAACATCATCACATTGGTGATTAGGCTTCAATATACAAATCGGGAGTTGAGGGGGAGGCTCACAGACACTCAGTCCACAGCACTCCTGAATTATGTGGAAGTGTGCTAGCTTCCAAGTATTTCAAGACTCACCTGTTATTTTGTTCTGCTACTAATTTTTCATTCTGTTGAGGTCATAGAACACACTTTGTATGATTTCAATCATTTTAAATTTGTCAAGGCTTGTTCTATAACACAGAGTATAATCTATCTTTGCACATGTTCTATGGGACCTATGGGCCCTTGCATAGAAGGTATATTCACTGTTGTTGGGTGGAGTGTTCTATGAAAGTTAAGTTAGATCCTGTTGATTAATGATATCATTGAGTTCTTCTATATCCTTGTAATTTTTGTTAATTCTTGCTACTCATTGTTTCTCTATTCCTAGAAGTCTTAGAATCCCTGGCTTAGAAGCAGGGAAGAAATAGTGAATATTCAGCTTCTTCTTCTTCTTTTTTTTTTTTTTTTTTCTGTTTTTTTGAGATGGTGTCTCCCTCTATCGCCCAGGCTTGAGTGCAGTGGTGCAATCTTTGCTCACTGCAACCTCCACCTCCTTGGTTCAAGTGATTCTCCTGCCTCAGCCTCCCCAGTAGCTGGGACTACAGGTGCACACCACCACACCTGGCTAATTTTTGTATTTTTGTAGAGATGGAGTCTCACCATGTTGTCCAGGCTGGTCTCAAACTCCTGACCTCAAGTGATCCTCCCACCTCAGCCTCCCAAAGTGCTGGGACTACAGGCATGAGCCACCACACCCTGCCCAATCTTCTAACTTCTTAAATTAGCAAATGATGCATATTTCAAAGACAAGAAAGCCAGATCTTTCATTTCTCATTCGCAACAGCCAAATTTCATTAAGAGGAAGCAAAATACTTTCATAGATTTCAAAGAGTTAAACCATAGAGGGTTTGAGTATAGAATGTTTAGTGTAAGACACTGAAAGACAGGCTATGTGATATGATATGGATATTATATCCCACTAAACCAGATAAAGCATTCCTCCCAGACATGAGGGAGGCAGGAAACAGACAGACATAGGTGAGTATCCAACCCCCCAGGATTGAGACCCTTAGTGAAAAGTGTAAACCCCTAGGTAGGTTTGAGGAACTGAGGACAGAAGAGTATGTTTTATGCTAAAAAAAAAAGATTCATTAAAAACAAGCTTGGTGTGTGCCATAAGCCATCATAGGATAGATTCAGGGAACTAGAAATGAAAGTATAGCATACTTCAGTAGAGAGCCTTAGTGTTCCTGGCTTCATAGTAGCTCCTATCCAGCAGTTCCTGCATGCTGCAGGGGGACAGAAAACCAAGAAGGGGAGACAATGAGGAGGACCCAGAGTACAAGGACCTGAAGATCAGACAGCATGGCTACACCTAAGGGCACCAGCAGCAGAGGCTGGTGCAAGTCAGAAGGATGAGCAGGGACCGGCAATACAAGCAGAAAATGACCAGCAGGATGAGATACTCAAGTAGAGGCTAATCCAGGACAGCTCACCACTCCTGCCAAGCTACTGTATAAGCTTCCACTTGTACTCAGAAGCCATAATAAGTGGTATAGACAGGAGACAGGGAAATACTGCACGAAAGAGGGTGGTTCCCCAGCAAAGACCCCACCTTCAAGCAAGCCTGGAAACCCACAGCACTAGATGAAAACAGGCATTCCTGTTTTTGTGCCCAAAAGTTGCCTTTTGGCCCACCATGCACCCCTATCCTGTACATATATAAACCCCAAACTCCAGACTCCACAAGCCAATGAACAGAAGAGCAGAACGGAAGAACAGCATGGCAGAAAGAAAAAAAAAAGGAGTATCTGAATGCCAAGAGAAGATCAGCTGCGAATGGTCGGAGAGGAGAACGGACACCGGCTGCCCAAACTCCAGGGGAAGATCATCTTCTTACTTCATCCCCCTTCCAGCTCCCCATCCACCCCACTGAGAGCCACCTCCACCACTCAACAAAACCCCTGCACACATCCTTCAGGTTTATATATGACCCAATTCTTCCTGGACACCAGACAAAGACCTAGGTACGAAGAGGGCACTGAGCTGGTTAACACTTAAGCCATCCGTGGACAGCAAGGCTAAAAGAGCACACTGTAACACAGGCCCACTTGGGCTTTGGGGGTTGCAGGATCCCACCCACAGACACTGCCATGGGGCCTGGGCCCAGGGGTGCTCGGTCCGGCTCCTGCACCTGCCCATCTGCATGCTCCCCCTCCTGTAAGGAGTTTGAGTATGCACAGTGCCAAACAGACAAGCTACACCCCTGTTGCATGTCCTGCTAGGGGGGGTCAGGGAACGCTCCAGTTTCATCAGCAGTAAAGCAGGACAAAAAGGAGGAGGGAAACATCCAGGAGAGCAGGGGCAAGGAGTTACAGGAGCCCTTGAGAGAAAAGGACACCCCTGACAACCTGAATTTTGAATCAACAAAATTTAAATTCTTGGTAATTACACCGAAAGACTAAATTCTAAACCAGAAGAAAATCAAAGTGACAAGGTTAATTTGTTTATTGTTTGTTTACTTGATTTGATTTATTTTTTTTTCTCTCTCACTGTTATTGAAATAGGGGCTACTTGAATTCAACTGTAGAGGTGTTTAAAAAAAGAATCGTGTTTATATGTGTGAGGTTTGTGGGACCTGCTTAAAGTTTTGGTCCTGGAAGGGTCTTCGAAGGCCATCTAATTCACGTTGTATTGAGAGGAAATAGACGATGAAATAGGAAGCAATTATCTCAGGACTACAAAGCCAGTCACTAAAAGGGCCAAGACAAGATTGCACATTTCCAAAGGCACCCAGACATGTGAGCATTCAAAATCAAGAGCACTTTCACCCATAGTCATTGATGATGAAAAACACAGGTTGAATACATGTGGCTGCTTCTGATTTTTAAGCACACACAAAACTCTTGTACCACTGGAGCGAACCCACCAGCCATCAATGACTGCATGACGCCTTTCCCCCAGTTCTTTGCTCTCAACAGTAATTCCCTTTGCCATAACTTTCTGTTTTCTGCAGTGCCAGCCAGTCGTGACTGGTTGTGGCATCTCTAACAAAAGATACTGGATGTTGTTTTAAAGTCCCATGGTTGCATTTCAGAGCTAAAAATAGGACTATGCTATATCATCTGATATTTTCAGATGATCAGCTACACCACTTCCCTCCTTTCTGAAACTTACAGAGGTAAGTGAATTTTAAAATTTTGTTCTTTGAACAGCTCACTTTAGAGAACAATAGAGCCATTACACAAGCATACTTAATTTCAACTCTATACATTTAGCCCATTTCCCCCAACCCACTTTCCCCTCATTTCATGGGCTACTAAAAATATAGAACTAAATAGTGTGGCCCACCTGGAAATGAGTGTGTACACTGTTTAGCCTGAATGAGTGCTTGTGTGTGTTAAAGGAACAGGCTGCCTTCCAGGTGTCACCTCACATTTGGTTTCATTTTACTTTTCTCTAGTCATATGCCTTTGCCCTGACTTCCATGCCTGTTTTTACATTTTATTTTACAGAAATTATGTATTTCTGTAATGCAGTTTATAAAAATGATAAGAATATTAATCAATGTGCTTACTTTCATCAGCTTCAGTCAAACTTCTATTTACCCATCTTCAAATTATTTGCTCAAATTATATCTACAAGGCAAAAGGAAAGTAAATAAGGAAAGAATCCTGCTACTGAGGATTAAAAGCACCTTTTACATAATAACTAATGAATTTTGCAGACTGGCTGTGAACATGGCTGACAGCATCAAATAGATATGCCAGTGGTGAATTTTTGCTCTGTCCATGTGAATATAACCTTAATTTAAGATCATAATAAAATTTGAAACAGTGAAACAAGAGTGAGATTTAACCTCATTAAGATCAGGGAGCACATCTTCTTTCAATAACTATTTCAAACACGTTTACATATAGACTCACGCAGGCAAAGTAACCACAATTACTGTTTTTAAAGTGAAATACGTTAATATGTTACCTATTCTACAGAAACACGTAAGAACCTTCGGAAGCAAAATAATAACATCATTTGAAATATGAATAGTTACCCGAAAACCTATAGCAATCCAAAGCCAAATTTAAGATGAACAAACTTAAGATGTCCAAAATTTAAGTTGAGACAGCCTTTTGCTCTTGGCAAGCTACAAAATAAATACAAGTTCCCCTCCCTTTATGTCACACACACAATTTAGGGGAGCTCACTTGGACAATATTTGTACTGTGATACATAACGTCATCTAGAATATAAGTCAGAGTACCCAGCTATTTCTCTCTTTTGTGATTATTCACTTTAAAATTACAAGTTCTGATTCATTTTTAGATTTCAAATGATCAAAACTTTTATCTGTTTTTAAAATGCCTATATTCCTTGGTTTTCTCTAATCAAGGAAGTGAATAGGTATCTTAGCAAGAGAGGTCATGGGGAAGATTGCAAGCATTATACTATGCACTGTTGAGTGGGTTCAGAATAGTTTATATTATCATAAAAACAAATTGACATCAATAGCATAATTGCTGCATGAATAATCTTAGAACAAGTGAGACCTTTCAAGGCTTTTTTATTGTAAGCAATCATTATGCTCACCACATAAAACAAATGCCTTCTGGGAACTTTTAAAATAAGACTCAGCTTTTTCTAGCTTGTATTTCTTGGTTTCAACATGAGATATCTAAAAGATGAAAGAAGCTGTTCTGGCTATAGGGATAATACTGTGTGTAGCCATGGGTGATTTATGCAGTAAATTAAGGGAAAAAGTTGCACATGTAATGAGATATTGGTGAGCGAGTTCTCATTACCATCATAATATTTGGCACCAAAATTTAATAACTCCTTTTGCATGTGAATGCAAAAAAAGAGCATTTTAACATTAATTAAAAGCCCATAATCATACTGGATGAAAGAGAGAATGTTAACCCAACTTTACATATGAGATACGGAGTCACGGAGATTAAGAAAATGACCCAGGCAGATTTTTTAAATTATTCATAATGCCACAATATGTCGATGGTGAAAGGGAAATCAGCATAGACTCCCACAACTACCGCTGTTCTCATCATTGCCTTGTATGGAACAGAAGCCTGGTAATTAGGGCTTCTGATTTCTACAGATGTTCCCACTCCCTCTTCTGCCCTGCATTCCCTCAGCGCTAATGAATTCAGTATTAATTTGCAATCGATGATTGAGAAAATAAAAAGCTGTCTTCAATTCCTTTAGGGCAGAAAACAGTTCTTTAATTTTCTCTGAATTTCCCCATATTTCTCTGGTTCAGCTTCATGAAATGTGCAAGCAAAGAGTTCCTAGGTTGAGCAAACTTAAAGGGGTTTCTTTACTCCAAAAATTCTCGGAGCCTTGACTATACCGATGTACATTGCAAAGCTCCAAGAAAGAAATATTACTTGCAGATTTATGTGACCACAGAATCTGCGTTTCATGGATGTGGTAGGCAGAATAATGGCCTCCCAGAGATGTCCATTTCCTAATCCCTGGAAATTTACAAGGCAAAGGGGATGGAACTTTACAAGGCAAAGGGGAATTACAGTAGCAAATGGAATAAAGGTTGTTAATCAGCCAATCTTAAAATAGTGAGGTTATCCTGGATTATCTGTGTGAATCCAATATAATCACAAAGGTCCTTAAAACTAGAACCGGAAGGCAGAAGACAGTGTCAGAGTGATTTAGCATGAGAAACACTTGACCAGTCATTGCTGGCTCTGAAGATGTCAGGAGGCAGAGGAGTATGGGAAGCTCCAGCCTCCAGAAGGAATGCAGCACTGCTGATACTTTTATTTTAACCCAGTGAGACCTCTTTCAGATTTTTACCTCCAGAACTGTAAGATAATAAATTCGTGTTGTATTAAGCCACCAAGTTTGTTGTAATTTATGACAGCAGCCATAAGAAACTAATACAGTGGGGCCCATTAATGTCTTACTAATACCTCCCAGAATTATAGTTCTGTGTTACAATTTTTAGAGAAATGCTATTCAACCTGTAACAGGGGCCCACATCAGACTGTCAATCAATAAATATTATAGACTGAATAATTCATTTTTTTTGTATGAGAATTGTTAGTATTTGGTCATTAAGCCAGCCCATCTGTTAGCCTATTTCACTATCTTTGCATTTTATAACAACAATTTCTACCAGCCATTTTGAATCATGAAGCAAAAATGCATTTACTTTAAATGATGCTAAAATAAACGGTATGGAATAGATTCAGTGCATCTCAAATTTTAATGTGCATGCAAACCACCTGGAGAATCCTCTTAAAATGCAGATTCTGATTCCGTAGCTCTGGCATGAGAACTGAGAGTGTGCATTTCTAACACGCTCCCAGGTGACACCAATGCTGGTGATCTGTGGACCAAACTTTAAATAGCAAAGAACAAAAGAGGACAACCCCTGTCATACCCTCTATTCCCTGCCATAGAAACCTTTCTGTTCTCCCTGTAGTCCCAGCTACACGGGAGGCTGAGGCAGGAGAATGGCATGAACCCAGGAGGTGGAGCTTGCAGTGAGCCGAGATAGTGCCACTGCACTCCAGCCTGGGTGACAGAGCGAGACTCTGTCTCAAAAAAAAAAAAAAAAAAAGACTTTTCTGATCTCCCAGGTGGAATTAGGCAAATCCTCCTTGCTCTGCTTTTAGGACCATTACTGATCCCAAACAGAAAATATTCAAGGAATTTTAGTTTAATACTTAGAAGACTCAGCTTCTAGTTAATACAGTATATTTGTAAATTATAAAATAAATATAGTCTCATGAAAGACAATTCATAAAATAGAAGAAAGAGTAATTTTAATCATCCACAGTCTCAGCACCCAAAGATATGCCTTATTAACATTCCAATGTCTTTCCTTCAAGACTTCTTTCTCTACAGAGATTCTGTTTTACATATTTGACATCATATTGCATATCTCAATTTTTTAATCAAACATCATGTATGCACATATATACATATAAAGTGGTGACAGATTGAATTATTGGTCTCAATTCTTCACTCCTCTCTAATAGAATTATATATCCACACTCTTGCCACTCTGGGGAAGAGCATCCCAATTTTTCTCCCTTCTAATAGAAATATGTCTTTACTTTCGCCAGGCTGGTGAGCAGAGAGTTATTCCCAACACCTTGACTTTGGGATTAATCAAGTGATTTACATTGGCCAAAGGGTTATTAGTGGACAAATATTTTTTAATGTAGGTTTTATTATTTAAGATATGGCAAAGCCAACAGATCAGGAGACAGCTACCACTGTAAACATAGTTTGTTACACTCAACAGACCCCAAGACAAAAGGGCATGCCACACCATAATGCAGGGCCACATGGGGAAGCACCAGGGTCAGTCAAGGGCAGAGGAAGCAGGGAGAAGATTTTATTGTCATTTCTGCGGGAAAAATAATGGGCAAGGCAGGGTAAGCAGGTTTAGGATTGGCCACTTTGAATAATTTCAGTGGACTCTATGGTACAGTTGTCTGGTATTTGGTCCTGGAGTATCGGCCCAGAATGTAAGAGTTCATTAATGGAGGTGTTGGGGGGTATGAGCTCTGGAGTAGTTGGTTTGTGTATGAAAGGTGCACTCTTAGGCCAGTAGTTTGCTATCTCTAGGAATTAGCTAACCCTGGGAGAAGTAGTCACTCCAGGGTCAGCAAGGCCCCAAGATGTCAAAGCATCAACAAAAACAGAGTATAAAGACATGATTACCACAGCATGATGCAAACAAGGGCTTGGAATGTGCTGATGTGGTTGGGCTTGTTCTCTTGCAATGTGATTGTCTGCAATGAGAAAAGCTCATGCAGCCAGGGTTGCAGAACAACCACACAGGGAGCAGGCCTGGACCCAACTCAAGGTCAGGAGCTAAGCCCAGCTGACTCCCAGCCAGCAGCGGAGGCAAACCCCGGCCAGTCCACATAAGCCAGAAACTAATGCTTACTGCTGCCTGCCTCTGAGATTTTGTGGTTGTTTGTTATAGAGCATTATGGTGGCAATAGCTGAATATGTTGGAAGTGGGGTCCTGCCATAACAAATCCCAAAATATGTGCCATCAGCTTTAGGACTGGAAATTAGACAAGAAGAATATTGTTCTAAAAGCCTGGAAAAAATGGTGGTCCATGTTATATAGTAGTGAAAGTAAAGCATTTGTTTTAACTGTTACTTTCAATAAACCAAAAGACAGACAATGGACCTGATAAAGTTGGGATGATGACCAAGCAAGTTTCAATTCGCAATGCTGATAGGGTAAGCGGGTTGTTGAATTGCATTTGAAAAGTTATGATAAGAGATGGGTTCTGTAATGGTTAATATTGAGTATCAACTTGATTGGATTCAAGGATGCAAAGTATTGTTCCTGGGTGTGTCTGTGAGGTTGTTGCCAAAGGAGATTAACATTTGAGTCAGTGGACTGGGAGAGGCAGACCCACTCTCAATCTGGGTGGTCACCATCTAATCAGCTGCCAACATGGCTAGAATAAAGCAGGCAGAAGAAGTTGGAAAGACGAGATTCACTGAGTCTTCTGGTCTTCATCTTTCTTCCATGCTGGAGACTTCCTGCCCTCAACTATCAGACTCAAAGTTATTCAGCTTTTAGACTCTCAGGTTTGCACCAGTGGTTTATCAGGGGCTCTCAAGCCATTGGCCACATACTGAAGGCTGCACTGTCAGCTTTCCTACTTTTGAGGTTTTGGGACTCAGACTGGCTTCCTTGCTCCTCAGCTTGCAGTTGGCCTATTGTTGGACTTCACCTTGTGATTGTGTGAGTCAATACTCCTTAATAAACTCCCCTTCATGTATACATTTATCCTATTAGTTCTGTCCCTCTAGAAGACCCTGATTAATCCAGGTTTTGGTACCAGGAGCAGTTCTAGAGGAAGAGAATTTTAAGGATGGATTTCTTTAGTTGGTTTTGGGGTTTCTGGAGTTGGCTACTTAATATGATGAGACTCAAAAATGTTAAGGACTCTACTTCTAACAGTCTGGAGAACACCGATGGTCCTTGGAGTGAACTGTTTAGAGAGTTATGCAAACTAAATGCATTTGATACTCCTGATTAATCGCTCATGAGAGGCAAGGAGTTTAGTGACTCTATACATAATACCTTTGACCATATGTGGAGAATCAAGAAATATAATGAAGTTGGTTGGTTGCTCTTAAGTTCACTGGACAAAGTGATGAAAGGAAAGGATGAGCTCAGGGATTCTAACTTCCAGCTCTAGAAGCACATACTGAGCCTCAAGTCTTCTAAGTTTGCCCCAAGTGAGACTCTTATCTCCTATAGACAAAGGACTGAAATTGCAGAAAATCAGACACAAGCTCTTATAATGAGAATGGCTAACCTGCAAGGAAAGGTGCATGCTCAGCCTCATCAGATGTCTACTGTTAAAGTGAGAGCATTGACTGGAAAAGAATAGGACTCTGCAACTTGGAATGGAGATGTGTAAGAGGACCCTCACTACACTGAGCTTGTAAACTCTGATGAGTTTTTTTTGCCAGAGGAAACAGCCTCCCCACCCTCAGTGGTGGCAACATCCCCTCCCCCACCAACATGGCCATCAACCTTTCCACCTTTATCTGAGGAGTTAAACCCTGCACTGACTGAGCCAACAGTGATGGCCTCCTCTGAGGCAGTTACCAGGCAAGACAATGCTGATTCTCCTCAGGACCCACCCCCAACACCCCTGTTTGCTTCTAGACCAATAAGTAGACTCAAGTCCCCGCAGACCCCTAGAGGCGAGGTTCAGAGTGTGACCTATGGGGAGGTGCACTACACTCCAAAAGAACTGCTTGAGTCTTTTAATTTATATAAGCAGAAATCTGGAGAATAGGCAAGGGAATGAACATTAAGGGTATGGGATAATGGTGGAAGGAACATAGAGTTGGATCAGGCTGAATTTATTGATATGGGCCCACTAAGAAGGGATCCTGCATTTAATGTTGCAGCTTAGGGAGTTTAAAAAGGTTCTAATAGTTTATTTGCTTGGTTAGCTGAAATATAGATTAACAGATGGCCCACTGTGAGTGAGCTGGAAATGCTTGATCTCCCCTGGTTTAATGTAGTGGAAGGGATCAAAAGGCTTAGGGAGATTGGAATACTAGAGTGGATTAGTCACTTTAGACCTACTCATTCCAGCTGGGAGGGTCCAGAAGACATACCCTTCACCAATACTTTCCAAAATAGATCTATGAGGGGAGAACCTATATCCTTGAAGAGCTTTGTGATTGCTCTTCTCCGTATGCCAGATCTTACAGTGAGAACCACAGTCACTTAATTAGAAAATTTAAATGCAATGAGAGTAATTGGATCTCAAGGTGGCAGTGGCCAAGTGGCAGCCCTCAACCGTCAAAAGCAAGGTGGGCATAGTTACTGTAATGGACAGCAGGGGCAAAGCAGCAATCAGAATAGTCTGACTCCAGTAGAGCTCTGGCATTAGCTAATTAATCACAGTGCTTCTAGAAGTGAAATTGATAGGAAGCCTACTGCATTCTTACTTGATTTGTATAAGCAGAAAACTTCCACATCAAGTGGACAAGACTAATTTCAATTATAAAAATAGAGAATCATGGCCCTTCAGTCAGTTTCCAGACTTGAGCCAGTTTACAGACCCAGAACCCCTTGAATGAAGGGGAGGCCAGGTTCCCTTGAGAAAGGACCCCACTACACTACCAACAATTTATGCTGCTAATCTTTCTCCCATCTTTCCCCAAGGAGACCTCCAGCCTTTTACCAGAGTAATTGTGTACTGGGGAAAGGGGAATGATCAGACTTTTGGGGGACTACTAGACACTGACTCTGAGCTGATGTTGATTCTAACTGACCCAAAATGTTATTGTTGTCCCCCAGTTAAAGTATGGGCTCATGGAGGTCAGGTAATTAATGGTGTTTTAGCTCAGGTCCAACTTACAATGGGTCTAGTGGGTCCCTGGGCTCATCCTGTTGTTTTCCCAGTGCCAGAATGCATAATTGGCATAGACATACTTAGCCACTGGCAGAACCCCCACATTGGCTCCCTGACAGGTAGGGAGAGGGCCATTACAGTGGGAAAGACCAAATGGAAGCCATTAGAACTGCCTCTACCTAGAAAAACAGTAAACCAAATCCAATATCGCATCCCTGGAGGGATTGCAGAGATTAACACCAGCATCAAGGACTTGAAAGATGCAGGGGAGGTGATTCCGATTCCCACCACATTCCCATTCAACTCTCCCATTTGGCCTGTGCAGAAGACAGATGGATCTTGGAGAATGGCAGTGGATTATTATAAGTTTAACCTAGTAGTGACTCCAATTGCAGCTGCTGTAACAGATGTGGTTTCATTGCTTGAATGAATTAACACATCTCCTGGTACCTGGTATGCAATCATTGATTTGGCAATTGCCTTTTTCTCCATTCCTGTCCATAAGGCCCACCAGAAGCAATTTGCCTTCATCTGGCAAGACCAGCAATACACTTTCACTATCTTACCTCAGGGGTATATCAACTCTCCAGCTTTGTGTCATAATCTTGTTCACAGAGATCTTGATCACTTTTTCCTTTCACAGAATATCACACTGGCCCATTATATTGATGACATTAGGCTGACTGGATCCAGTGAGCGAGACGTAGCAAACACATTGGACTTATTGGTGAGACATTTGCATGCCACGTGATGGGAAATAAATCCAACTAAAATTCAGAGACCTTTTACCTCAGTAAAATTTCTAGGGCTCCAGTGGTGTGTGGCCTATATCTTTATATATCTTTATATCCTTCTAAGGTGAAAGATAAGTTGCTTCATTTGGCCCCTCCTACAACCAAGAAAGAGGCACAACACCTAGTGGGCCTATTTGGATTCTGGAGGCAAAATATTCTTCATCTGGGTGTGTTACTCTGGCCCATTTATCAAGTGACCCAAAAGCCTGCTGATTTTGAATGGAGTCCAGAACAGGAGAAGGCTCTGCTGCAGGTCCAGGCTGCTGTGTAAGTGCTGGGGCCATATGACCCAGCAGATTCAATGGTGCTTGAGGTGTCAGTGGCAGATAGGGATGCTGTTTGGAGCCGTTGGCAGGCCCCCATAGGTGAATCAGAGCAGAGGCCTCTAGGATTTTGGAGCAAGGCCCTGCCATCTTCCACAGATAACTACTCTTCTTTTGAGAGACAGCTCTTGGCCTGTTACCAGGCTTTGGTGGAAACTGAATGTTTGACTACGGGTCATCAAGTCACCATGCAACCTGAACTGCCTATCATGAACTGGTTGCTTTCTGACCCATCTAGCCATAAAGTGGGTCATGCAGAGCAGCATTCCATCATTAAATGGAAGTGGTATGTATGTGATGGAGCTCAGGCTGTTCCTGAGGGCACAAGTAAGTTACATGAGAAAGTGGCTCAAATGCCCATGATCTCCACTTCTGTCACCCTGCCTTCTCTCCCTCAGCCTGCACCAATGACCTCATGAGGAGTTCCCTATGATGAGTTGACAGAGGAAGAGAAGACTAGGGCCTGGTTCACAGATGGTTCTGCATGATATGCAGGCACCACCTGAAAGTGGACAGCTGCACCACTACAGCCCCTTTCTAGGACATCCCTGAAGGACAGCGGTGAAGGGAAATCTTCCCAGTGAGCAGAACTTCAAGCAGTGCATCTGGCCGTGCACTTTGCTTGGAAGAAAAAATGGCCAGATGTGCGATTACATACTGATTTATGGGCTGTAGCCAATGGTTTGGCTGGATGGTCAGGGACTTGGAAGAAGCATGATTGGAAAATTGGTGACAAGGAAATTTGGGGAAGAGGTATATGGATGGACTTCTCTGAGTGGTAAAAAACTGTGAAGCTATTTGTATCTCATGTGAAGGTTCACTAAAGGGTGACCTCAGTAATCAAGTGGATAGGATGACTCATTCTGTGGATAACACTCAGCCTCTTTCCCCAGCCACCCCTCTCATCACCGAATGGGCCCATGAACAAAGTGGCCATGGTGGCAGGGACAGAGGTTATGCATGGGCTCAGCAACATGAACTTTCACTCGCCAAGGCTGACCTGGCTACAGCCACTGCTGAGTGCCCAATTTGCCAGCAGCAGAGACCAACACTGAGCTCTTGATATGGCACCATTCCTCAATCAGCCAGCTACTTGGTGACAGGCTGATTATATTGGAGCTCTTGCATCATGGAAAGAGCAATGGTTTGTTCTCACCAGAACAGATACTTACTCCAGATATGGGTGTGCCTATCCTGCACACAATGCTTCTGTCAAGACTACCATCTGTGGACTCATGGAATGCCTTATCCACTGTCATGGTATTCCACACAGCATTGCCTCTGACCAAGGCACTCACTTTACAACCAAAGAAGTGCAGCAATGGGCTCATGCTCATGGAATTCACTGGTCTTACCATGTTCCCCATCATCCTGAAGCAGCCGGATTGATAGGACGGTGGAATGGCCTTTTGAAGTCAAAATGACACCACCAACTAGGTGATAGCACTTTGCAGGGCTGGGGCAAAGTTCTCCAGAAGGTTGTGTATGCTTTGAATCAGCATCCAATATATGGTACTGTTTCCCTCAGAGCCAGTATTCATGGGTCCAGGAATCAAGGGATGGAAATGGAAGTGGCACCGCTCACCATCATCCCTAGTGACCCCCCAGCAAAATTTTTGCTTCCTGTTCCTGTGACATTACGTTCTGCTGGTCTAGAGGTCTTAGTTCCAGAGGGAGGAATGCTGCCACCAGGAGACTCAACAATGATCCCATTAAACTGGAAGTTACGATTGCCACCTGGACACTTTGGGCTCCTCCTACCTCTAAGTCAACAGGCTAAGTAAGGAGTTACATTGTTGGCTGGGGTGATTGATCTGGTCTGTCAAGATGAAATCAGTCTACACAGGAGATCTCTTAGGGCGTCTCTTATATCATACCCTGTGATTAAGGTCAATGGGAAACTAAAACAACCCAATCCAGGCAGGACTACAGATGACCCAGACCCTTCAGGAATGAAGGTCTGGGTCACTCCACCAGGTAAAAATTCACCACCCACTGAGGTGCTTGCTGAAGGCAAAGGGAATACAGAATGGTTAGTAGAAGGTAGTCACCAATACCAGCTACAACCACATGACCAGCTGCAGAAACGAGAACTGTAATTGTCATGAGTATTTCCCCTTATTTTGTTAAGAACATGTTTGTGCATGTGTACACTTATACTAAGGAAATATCTTCATTTTATTTCTTTTCTTTTTCCTTTATCATATGACATAAGATTTATTGACTTTATATCAGCATTTAAGTGTTGTTAACTTTATGTAATAGCACTTAGGTTAAGGATTAGTGCACTTCCATTTGTACAAAGAATAGTTGTATTATGTTAGGCATAATTATGACCTTTTATTGATTGTCTTTATTTGAAGATTATGTATGATTTCAGGAGATGCGTACGGGTTCAAGTTGACAAAGGGTGGACTTGTGATTGTTAATACTGAATGTCAACTTGATTGGATTGAAGGATGCAAAGTATCGTTCCCGAGTGTGTCTGTCAGGGTGTTGCCAAAGGAGATTAACATTTGAGTTAGTGGACTGGGAGAGGCAGACCCACTCTCAATCCAGGTGGGCACCATCTAATCAGCTGCCAACATGGCTAGAATAAAGCAGGCAGAAGAAGTTGGAAGGACTTGACTCATTGAGTCTTCCGGCCTTCATCTTTCTTCCTTGCTTCTTTCATCCTCAACTATCTTTGCTTCCTTTCTTCCTGCCCTCAACTATCAGACTCCAAGTTATTCAGCTTTTGGACTCTTAGATTTACACCAGTGATTTGCCAGGGGTCCTGGAGCCTTCAGCAACAGACTGAAGGCTGCACTCTTGGCTTCCCTACTTCTGAGGTTTTAGGACTCAGACTGGCTTCCTTGCTCCTCAGCTTGCAGATGGCCTATTGTGGGACTTCATCTTGTGTTTGTGTGAGTCAATACTTCTTTATAAAAGTCCTTTCATATACACATCTATCCTATTAGTTCTGTCCCTCTAGAGAACCCTGACTAATACAGGTTCCAAGGAAAGCATGGCTACCTTGCAACAGAATTGAGAGTACATAAACATGGCCCAGAAATCCTGCATTTATAGGGAATAAAAAAATAAACCTATATTGAGAAAATTTCTGTTAACATGAACTAAAAGCGATTGTGACTTTTTGAGATATAAAACTGCCTCTAGTCTCCTCCTACCCCAACCTTCCACAGGGAGGGTGCAGGCTGAGAGGGTGACTCAGACACCAAATACGGCATATTCTCCAATGCCCACTTTAGAAGTGACCAAGGGGGATTTTGGCAAGGGACTTCCCAAAGAGTGGAGCCAAAAACCATAGAGAAATAATGAACTGAGGTTTGGGGAGCTATGCCCAGGGAGCAGTAATGGGGTCTAAGCCAGTAAGAATATTCCCTTCTCCCAAGGTAGGGGAACCTGGCAACATTGATCAACGAGGATTTCACAATGGCTATAAACCATGACCGCTATGTGCATCTCACTCTTCTCCTACTAGAAGACACCAGCAGGGGATGAGATTTGGAAGGATCTTGAGATGGACGCAAGCACCTGTGGGAGGGATGTGAAGAAAGGCAATGGAAAGCAGACTGGGGTTAATTGAATTATTTGTGCCTGTTCTTTTTTTCCCTCAAAAGAGAATTAGACATAACTCATTCTTGCCATCTTCTCAAGGCAAGCAGAGGATACTTCCCCATCCCTCACTTTAGGCTGGGCCATGTGACTTGCTTTGGCCAATCAGAAGTTGGTAGACATGAAGCAAGCGGATGTGCTGTGTGGTTGCACTCATCCTCTTGCCCCCTAGGAGACTCCCATGAGAAGAGCTTCCCCCTGGTAGCAGATACCCCTTCAACCTGGGCTCCAAAATGAATACAGAGCAACATACCTGAGCCCAGACCTGCAACCTGCAGCCAAGGCCGGTTTACCTGAAGCCAAAAGCAGAGTCTCATTCCAGCTAACCCGCAAACATAAGCAAAATAAGTAAATGTTTGTTGTTTTCGGCCAGACAGATTTAATGTTTGTTATGCGGCTTTATTGTGGCAATAGCAGACTAAGATATGTATTTTCCCATGTCATTTCATATTCTTTAAAAAGCACTCTTACAAATACATTGATTCCATTGAAAAATTTCATTTAGTTAACTATTTCCTGATTCTGAAATATTAGGGTTTTTACTAAATCTGTTTTTTTGCCTCTATTTTTTGCTTCTTATAACAATGCTATTAATAACATATTAATCCATAATTTTTCCATACTTTGATTTATTTTCATAGGGTTAAAACTGGATAATAACATCTACTTCCCAGAGCTGTTGTGATGGTTAAAAGACTTAAAATAATTAAACGCTAAACATATCATCTTTCATGTAATAAGCATTCAGTAATGATTGCTATTGTTTTTTGTTATAGAGTTCCAAAAGTAAGAAAAACAATTCCAAGCTCTTGATATGAAATATAAAACTATTTTCCAATAGTTATACCAATTTATACTGCTAACAGCATCATGTGAGTTTTAGCATACCTTCAAACAACTCCATTTTTTTAACCTTGGCTATTTTGACAGTTGAGAAATAATATCTTGCTGATATTTTAATTTTTATAGCTTTTATTACAAGTGAGGTGGAAATTATTTTATAAACTGTCTAACCATTTATACTTTCTCTTCTGCAAATTACCAGTTAACACGTCCATTTAATATGCCCATTTCCATCCAGTCATGATGTTGGTCTTCCTCTGACCTGATAGACTTACCTGGTGCCAAAGAACTGATTGATTTCTGTGCTTTTCAATATGATAGCCACCTGTGGCCACTGGGCACTGTGCCACAAGTTATAATATTTTGGATATAGTGAGTTTAATGAAATATATTATTAGAATTTATTGTATATGTTTCTTTTTACTTTTTAAAATATAGCTACTAGAAAATTTTAAACTACATATTTCTATTGGACAGAGCTACTTAGACCTTTGAATATCACTTGCTCTGAAATTCTTCTTGGTCAAAACTCTCATTGCCCACACCCTTATGTTGGGTTCTCCTGCTATTACATGGTCTATCAGCCATAGTCTGTTGTTAACCTTCTAGATAATGCTGTGTTGAGTCCAATCCCTCTCCTCGAAATCCCTGCTGCATTTCATTCTCCGAGTCTCACCTCCTCCTAATTCAGTTCCATCCTCCTGTGATTAATCCTCCCAAGTCTCAACACATCTCAATTAGGTTCTATTACAGATTCCTGGATGAAATGGCAAACTTGATTAGGATTTTTAAATCCTATAATGTGTGTTAAATAGATTATACTCACTGCTATCTATGTTTATATTCCATTTATTCTATTTCTAGCAATAAAACATGGCTTTTCAAATGCTGAGTATTTTTTATTTGAAAGTGCCATTGAAAGGTTACAAACATACAAAGCTAATAAACAATTGCATATGTTTTTCAAATTCCCCTACCTCTGCCCACACCTTCAAACGTAACCACTGTGAATCCTCTCAAAACCACAGTTGGTGAAGACAGCCAAAGGTTATATCTGTAGCCACGAACCCTCAAAAGTTTCCTAACACCAACTCCAGCTGACTAAAATGTCACAGACATTTACTTATAATCCCTGGGGTTTTTGAATCTATAAGGCAGCATGGGTATGGGTTAACTTACCTGGCCACAGTAGAATTTTTTAAAGCCCTTTATGAAGGATTCAAGAAAAAGAAGTCTGTAACGCTGATGCAAAGTAGAATTCTTAATGTATTGAAAGGGATTATCATATGTCACGTGGAAATTCAACCTCGTTTTTTAGATCCACAGCTCTTTCCTTGTTGCCTAAATTCGTAATCGTGAGGCTCATTTGCCTTAGAGAAGTATCTGCAGCACATTTTTAATGCCAGACCTGCTCCTTCCGCCGTTCTTGCCCCTTTCCAGCAAGCTATTTCCCACCTCCCCCAACATCCCCATGGCTGCCCAGGAATTAAAACCAATTTGAATATGTAATCATGTGGAATAATAAGCACAAGTGTACTCTCTGGGGTGCTCTCTGGCTGCTACTCATCTCCTTGCAACTAGTTTCCTAAGTGCCTTTGAGAGATGCTGAGAACGCCATGTTGACGGTTAACCTTTTAACAGTTTTGCCATTCTCTGTTCACTCTGGCTACAAGCCCAGCTCTAAAGGAGGCACAGGAAGTGGGGTGAAGGAAGGGTTTCCTTCCTTCTAAGACTCACTGGAGAAACATTCTCCATAGCCTGAGGAAGAGAGTTGAGCAGGCTTTGAATAGTGTATTTTTAAAACATTCATTATTCTGACAATGGAGTTTCATGAAACTAGCTTTTATTCCTTTTATGCAAGTCAAACAGAGATTGCCCAAAACATATTACCATGCCAGGAAGTAAATAACTATTGCCTTGTTTTATGAATATGAGAAATTTCTGTGAAGATGCCTAAATATTTTGATTAATTTAAAAGCAGATGAGCTGATGTGTAGGTATTTACAACATCAAAGTACTTTTCTGATTGACTCAGTTTCAAAAATGCAATATAAAAGGTAGAGCATTCATCTTAAATAGCAATTTAGAAGTGGATGCTTTGGGTATTCTGAGGCATTCAAAATCTGATTATTTTGATACTGATACTGCTATTTTGATGCAAACACTGCAGTGATCAATTTGGTGGATGTGAGGGGAGGGCCTCACTCGGTATCTAGTATTCCTTATTAAAATGTAAAAGCACCCACTGTACCTCTTGAATATATAAGAATAATGAGCCATACCAGTAAATATCTGAATTGCAATCAGTGTTGTTTTGCCTGTATCGTCTCATTTCATCTTCAAAGCATGTGTCTGGGAGATAGATATTATTAGGAGTAATCACTGATGTTGCTGAGATTGAGACTTCCTTCGCAGTTGGTTATAAAGATCTAAGAATAAATCATCTTTCTTGAACTCGAGCATATCCATTAAGGTCAGAATTTCTGCAGATTGAGCTGGAGCTATTTTTAGGTACGGTTCTAAAGCAGCTGCAATTCAAGTGTCACAGTGCATGCCTTTTTGGCTCAGCAGTTGATAGTTCTGCTTCGTGCTACTCTCCTTCCCCAGACTCCTGGGACCATCGCATAGAGGGTGCTTGAGACATGCTGCACTGGACGATGCACACACCCCATCTCTCCAACATGACTGTAAGCCCCTTTAGTTTTACAATATGCAAAACCTTAGCACAGAGCTCTACGCAATTAATATTGACCAATGTTCATTGATAATAATGTTCTATAAAATTTCAGAGGCCACCAGGATGCATCACAGTCCTGACCCCAATGCAGGAGACTGAAAGTCACCAAGGACTGAGACATGCTGTCGAGCCACAATCAGAAGAGAAACTGGAGTTGAAGAAGAGCCAGGTCTGGCCACACAGAGAAGTGAAAACCTCCATTTAATGGTCAGAGGCAAAGTACAAAGTTAGGCATCAGAGAAGTGTTCCGTTTTGGTCACTATTATTTCTTAAGAATCTTTCTGAACACTCCAGAACTAAAGGACTAGAAGTCCAGGGCCCTTGCTCTCAGTGTCTGATTAGCTGCTGTCATCTGCCTCGAAAGCTGCCCCATGGTTTTTTCCATCCTTGCTAGCAGCACAAACCAACTGGTTTAGCCTAACATTGATAAAACTACAGAATCTCAGATTTGGAAGGATGCTTTTAAAGCAAATAGCCAAGCTCCTAGCTAATTTTCTAATTTTGTTGCTACAAGAATAAAGAATTTAATGTGGGTGTGGAGGGAGAGTTATTTGAGTCCATTTTTCTTCTGGTCTTTCCCCTTTTCCAAGTATATAGGCAATCCTGCACTCATTGCCTCAGGGAGGGGAGGCAATTAGTCAGAAGATATAAATAGCCAATTGGCACTTTTTGTCTCTGTGTTTTAAAAGAGGGAACTTAGAATTTTGGGGATGATGTCAAGATCAAATGTGTGGGAGAAACAGAGGTCAAAGAGCATTGACTTCCTCCACCCACCACCTAGAATAGGATTCTCTGAGGTCTGAGGCATGGAGAGTGAAGAGCAGATAATGATGAGAACAGACAGAATGAGGGGTTCAAGAGCCAGGTTCCCTTCTTTCTGGGCAGTAGGTAGCAATACCCCAAAGCAGGAGGTAGCAATACCCCAAAGAGGAGATGGCTTCGTGCAGGGTCTAGGCACACCAGTTCATTGCCTCTTAAAGATTTCTGGTGTGAACCTGGGAGGCGAAGCTTGCAGTGAGCCGAGATCGCGACGCTGCACTCCTGCCTGGGCGACAGAGCAAGACTCCGGCTCAAAAACAAACAAACAAACAAACAAACAAAAACCAAACAAGATTTCTGGCCCTCAAGCTATGCAGCAAAATATCTCTGTGAGCCTCCAGTTCTAAAAGGCCATGCTGCAAGCCAAATACTCTCTCAGGGTAACTCAATGGGAACAGATGGCTCAGGGACCAGAAGGCTCACCCTCCCTCAATGTACTGCTAAAGGCACTAAGTAAATCCCAACAGGGTCTTTGTCTCAACCCCCGGGAAGAAGAGAGAAACCAATAATAATCGGAGAGTGTTACCCTTAGCCTGCTAGTACAAAGATAAAACATCAAATTGAGTTAGAGGAAATGTTATTTTTCTAGATCAATGCAGTCTATGGACTGAGATTCATAGATCTACTATACACATAAACACATGTAAAACTACTTAACACATAAAATGTTACCTATATTATTAGCAATGTAATATTATCAGTGAGTTGAAAGTCAGCTACAAAATCTGAATGTCAATTGACCTCCACGTGGTTATCTTATGTCCAGATGGAAAAACGTTGGTTCAACTCATTGTCTTTTTAAAATCCATTCTTAAAAGAGAAAATATTAATTAAAGATTCATTGTCACTTTAGGAGAAAGAGAAAAGAAGAAGGTGGAGTAAGTGTCTAGCTTTATTCCACAGGAATTTGTCCTCGTCTCTGCTTCATTCAGCACTCTGACAATTCCCTGGCAAAGTGTAGAATGTATATGCATCTCCATTAGATTTTTTCGTCTGCTAGATTTGACTATTTGTTTCAACTACGCTCCTTTTTTTTTTTTTTTTTTTTAAGAGATGGAGTCTTGCTCTGTTATCCACCCTGGGGTGCAATGGCACAGTCATAGCTTACTGTAATCTTGAACTCCTGGGCACAAGTGATCCTCCCACCTCAGCCTCCCAAAGTGCTGAGATTACAAGTGTGAGCCACTGTGCACAGCCCAATTATGCTACTTTTGAGTATTAATTAAGACAACTGAGATTCTGGCTGCCCACCCAACATCACATTATGCTAAATTTAAGCACCATATGAATGTACTTCTTTAATAACTTCTTTACTATTTTCCTTGTTCTTCCACTTTACTATTTCTGCAAACCTCCTAATATAGACCATTCAGTCTATCTCCCTTTTCCTCTCCTACACCCTGCTAGCTCAGCATGAGCTGCTGGAGAAAACTCCCACATCAGTGCAGATTGGTGTCACAACCGAAGCAAGGCTTCCAAATGCAGCTGGCCATCAGCATTTCACAGGAATGGCTCTCCTCCCTTGGCCAGTGGCATCACTCTCTCCTGATTCTCCTCCTACCTCCCCGCTTTTTGTTTCTCTGTCTTCTTTATAAGCTCTTTTTCTTCTTTTCTTAGATATTCATTCTTCCTGCGTTCTGGCTGGGGCGCTCATTCAACATGCCCCTCCTGGGAAATCTTAGGCATTGTGATAACTTTGACAATCTATACAAGCTAATGATTCCCAGATCCTTATCTCCAGCCTAGGGCCTTCTGAGCTCTGTGTCTGTAAGTTAATAGACATCTCTAGCTACATCATTAACACATTTTAAACACAAGTCCTAAAATTAACTCATTTTCTATTATCTCATCCAGCAACTCCTGTATTTCCAATTTTGAAAAAGCCCATCTTTTTGTGTGGGCATGTGTATACTTGGTTTGATCTCTGTTCCATTCTTTCCGGAATGTTTGATTGTATCCCATGTTCATTAACAGGTGAACATATTGGCTGTTTCTCCAATAAAAAATGAAACAGACCATGTGTCTGCACCTAACTAGTATTCAATAAATGGTTGCTGAATAAGTGAATCATTTCCATGATCCACTAGTTTAATAATCTTATCAAAAAAGACAATAAGTATACTGATAAAACTTTCATTTAAGAACCAATGACCCCAATTATACTCATTATTTTCCTTTCCTAAATGCTGATGATCAATTCATTTACTATTTCACTTGGGGTACACATCAAGCTTATTGGTTTATAATTCATAAAGTCATGAGAATGAGTAGACACTTCCTCTTCTTTCTTTTGGAAATCAGAATTAAAATGGGTCTCTGTGGTTGTAAGGGAACATGCTCATGCTCTGTAATTCCTCATCGATTGTCATTTATGTTTCCACAACCTTACCTGCCCTTTCTTCCAGGAACCAATGACCTGGTTTATACAAACATGGCTAATATGAACTCATTTGGATAGCTCTTTGTGATTCTTAGATAAATCTAAGAATTTAGATTCCTCTTACTAATATTTATTTTTCCCTTCTGACTGAAAATACTTCTCTTTGACCAAGAAGAAAAAAATTCAAACACCAATTCAATATTTCTCGAATTTTTTTCCTATTGTCTATTAACATTAATTTTCCTTAATCAATATTCTTTCCTTATTTTTCTAACTCTAAAAATGACTGTGAGACTCCACTTTTGTTGTCCTTTGTGCTTTTTGCAAACCTCTACTCATTCTGGGTTTTAACTTTCCTGACTCGGCTTTTCCAGTTTCCCAACTCAGCTTTTCCAGTTTCCTGACTCCATTTCTGCTTAGTTCCTTTCCTCTCCTTCCAGCTCACGGTTGCATTATTCTAAAATTAGTATTAAAATGCCAATAAATGCCTTGACAAATAATAGTTATTGAGCATTTATTATGTGCGAGACACATCACATTCAATTTTTTAATTTTACCATAACCCAGTGGAATAGTTATTACTAAGATCCCTATATTATACATGAGGAAATGAGACTTAATGAGATTCAGAAGTTTCCCAGTGTCACAGAGCTAGTAAACTACAGATCCAGAGGCTTAAGCCCAGGTCTGAATGACTAAAAGCCAAGACCCTACTGTCCAAGTTTAGTCTTCTTCTGTGTGAAAAGTACCATAACACTGAGCTCACAAACTCAAAGGGTCCAGAAGCCATGTACTAAAATAGGAAATGCACATGGGTGAAGAGGGCCAAGTGTTTGCATAGCAAACACGTTGGAATATTCTTTCCTTCCACAAACATATTTTTTCCTTTTTTTGTTATCTTCACACTTTCAAGATAAATACATAGGGAAAAATATTCTCTAATTATGCAAAAAGTAATAATGTGAGTTTGATAAATGGCAGTGGATATTCAGGTTAAGGTAATCAACAAGAAGTAGGGGCACTGCTGTGAACAGAAAAGCATAGTCCCCACTTCAGTGGTTCTCAAGGTGTGGACTCTGACTCTGACCAGCAGCATCAGCATCATCTGGGAGCCTGTTAGAAATGCTAATTTCGGGGCCCCATCCCAGACCTACTGAATGAGAAATTCTAGGGTGGGGCCCAGAAAACTATGGCTTAACAAGCCCCCCAGGTGATTTTGATGCACACTCAGGATTGAGAAACACTGCCGTACCTAAAGGGAATACCTCCCGCTCCTCTCCAGCTGATTGTTTCCATGTGGGGAGTATGGATCTTAGGTCATCAGTGCCTCCATGTTCAAAGGGAAGCAGAAGTCTCCATTATTTTAATTCTCCCAATTATTAAATACTGCTTCAAATGTTTTTAATATGCAATAGATGAAACAAAACACATGTAGGCTACTTCTGGCCTATAGACCATTCAGTAAATGACCACTGAACAGAACCTAAGTTATATTAAACATTAGAATTATTTTACTAGTAACTACTTATGGAAATATCAATTAATTGGCAAATGAAGGAAAGTCTCCTTTTCATTATAACCACTTGTTGTTTGGGAGAGCAATCTGCCCACCTTATAATAACATTTGATAGAGTTTAAATGTTTTGATCAAGGTTTTTTTTTTTACCCTGCCTGGAATTTTCAAGATATGATTCATGTTTGTATTGTAATTTTAAGTATTATGAACTAAAACATTAGCTCTAAGTGATATGGACAGGAGGCAGGGAAATGCTGGGTAGAAAAGGATTGTTCCCCAGCAAAGGCCCCAACTTCAAGCCTGGAAACCCGAGGCCCTAAATGAGAACAGGCATTCCTGTTTTTGCACCCAAAAGTTGCCTTTTGGCCCACCACACTCCCTATCCTGTACCCATATAAACCCCAAACTCCAGGCTCCATGAGCAGATGAACAGAAGAGCAGAAGAGCAGCAGAATGGTGGAGCAGAGAAAAGAGGAGATGGAGCATCTGAACATCGAGAGGAGTTTGGCTGGGGCTGGTTGGAGAGGATATCGGCTGCTAGATGGCCAAACTCCAGGGAAAGATCATCTTCCCACTCCATCCCCTTTCCAGCTCCCCATCCATCCCACTGAGAGCCCCCTCCACTACTCATAAACCCCCCACATTCACCAACCTTCAAGTCCATGTGTGACCTGACTCTTCCTGGATGCCAGACAAGAACCCAGGTACCAAGGGGTCACTGAGCTGGTTAACACTTAAGCCACAGACAGCAGAGCTAAAAGAGCACTGTAGCACACCCACTGGGGCTTTGCGAGTCAGAGGCACCAACCACTAGATGCTACCATGGGGCCAGAGCTCAAAAGCACTCGCTCCAGCTCCTGCACCTACCTGTCTCTGTGCTCTCCATCCCGTAAGGGGTTTGAGTGCACAGCGGCCAAACAGATGAGCCACACCCCTGTTGCATGTCCTGCAAGGGGGGTCAGGGAACTCTCCTGTTTCATAAGATTTAAATGGCAGCTCATAAACTAACATATTTTATGAAACTTTTTTTCATTTTAATAATGCGGTGTGTATGTGTGTATGTATAGGATATGCTGAAGACTTTCAAATCAAATAAATCTAGTTCTATGTTTTAATCAGCCTGTGAAAGGCCTCTATCCAATGTTTTATGATTTTGAGCTTTAATCATAGATGAATACCTCTGAGAACCTGCCAATACAAGAATATTGCCCGTGGATCAAGCAGAGTTTGGGTCAAAGTGTTTCAGGAAAAGGAGCATCATGCATGAAGGTCCCAACATGGTACGGTTGGCGTATTTGAGAATGGAAATAAGATCACTGTAAAGAACAGCCCAGTATGAGGTTGCAGAAGTACAGAGAGCCCAGATTGTAGAAGGCCTTGTAGACTTCAGTAAGGACTGGGGTATTTATTGTAAGGACAATGAGAAACCACTGACAGATTTCAAAACAGCCATGATTCCCTAAACATTTAATCATTAAAAGATCAGTTTGGTTATATTATGGAGACTCAATGAGAAAGAGTAGATATAAAGCAG
Source organism: Homo sapiens (assembly GCF_000001405.40). Lineage (NCBI taxonomy): Eukaryota > Metazoa > Chordata > Mammalia > Primates > Hominidae > Homo > Homo sapiens. The sequence goes on from NC_000011.10 coordinate 109,978,705, forward strand.
ATCAGTTAGAAAGTTATTCCAGGAGTCCTGTTGGGATGTGGTGCCGTGTTGGTGGTAATAAAAATAAAGACAATTTCACAGATTTAATAAGTGCATGGGAAGTCAAATTGATATGGTTATTGTGGTTACTGATCAGACTTCAATAAACCAAAAGGCCGTGGTGCCAAGGGCCATCCCTAGAGCCAGCCTGTAGCATTCATGCCCCAGCCTGCTCTGACTACAAAGCTGATGCTCTATAAAAATCCAGTCTTCTTCCAGCTCCCTCAATCCATGCCTGGGCCAAGCTCCAGATTCACAGGCCTTGTGCTCTACATTTGCATGTGTGTATACTAGACTAAAGCAACTGCCACCTATAACTTCAATCCTATGTGAAATTGTGCTGAGTTCCAAAACAATCAACTTCTGGAAAGTGACCTCTTTAAAAGTTAAATAGCCCAGCACAGTGACTCATGCCTGTAATTCCAGCACTTTCAGAGGCTGAGGCGGGTGGATTCCTTGAGGTCAGGAGTTCAACACCAGCCTGGCCAACATGGCGAAACCCCATCTCTACTAAAAAGATAAAGATAAAAAATTAGCCAGGTGTGGTGGTGCACACCTGTAATCTCAGCTACTCAGGAGCCTGAAGCAGGAGAATTACTTGAATCCAGGAGATGGAGGTTTCAATGAGCTGAGATCGTGCCACTACATTCCAGCCTGGGTGACAGAGCAAGACTACGTCTCAAAAAAAAAAAAAATGATAAATATTCCTTCCCCTTTGTTTACTGTCTGAGAGTCTCAGATTTAGAGCCCCAATCTGTCTTCTCAATTATAAATTCTGATAAAGTCTGAACCCCTAAAATTAATCTTTCTATATCTCATTTCCCTTATGAGAGCAAGCCACATTAACACAATTTGGTCACACTGACCTAATAAAGGTCTTTTTGCCCATCAGTGAAAATCTGAGACATAGCGTTGATGTCATACCTACATTGAAACACTGACTTCTCTGCTTAAGATATATTTACAATTTAGGACATCCTGGGTCCCCCAGGGAAAATGAAGTAAATTAACGTCAAATATTTGTGTACTTCATTACCATCTTCATGAAAATGTAGTAAACTTTCACAATCTGCTTATTTCCCTTAGGAAGTGGGAAATTCAGGATTACAAATGCTTATCAAAGAAAGACTATAGCCTACCCAAATAAAAGGAAATACTAGGTCAAAAATATAAGTAGCACATAATTCGACACAATGCCTAAATGAGCATCATCTTCTGAAGCACAATAATTGTTTGGAAATTTTTCTTCAGCTAAGAACTCTTTTTTCAACCTAGGGGTGACTAAATGCAGGTTGGGGCAATACAATATTTACTTATTCCATTCAGTAAACAAGTGAAAATGTGAACCAAAATTAAGAAAATATAATTGTATGGTTCTGTATAGTGACCCATGCTTTCTACCTATCCTCAGACCCACTTTCCTTATTATGGAGTCCTTTATTAGGTATGGGTCAGATACACACTGTGGATAAAAGGGAGACACCATGAGGTCCAGCAGGAAATAGACTTGGCAGATTTGGGACAGGAAACCTGGCCCTATCAATACTTCTGAGGTAGAGGAAAGAGCTCCCTTTCCTCTCCCAAGGCACTAGGACCCTAGGGAGATGGAAACCCTAGGCACCTAAGAAACATGGACGGAAAGAAGGCAGGTAGACCTAACCCTTCACCCTAGGTGTTCTTCAGTGGTACTGCAGAGGCAGTGTTTAGTGGGATGGAGGCCTGTCCAAGGCATCCTGATGATAGCTGGCTAGTGAGAAGAAATGTTGGGACATAAGAAAGGGATGTCTCATTTTCATGGAAGAATTGAGGATTTTATACCTTATTCACTATAAGCCTAACTGGAACTACCCCTGGCTTGGTGAAGATAGGAGTGAAGTGGATGACAGAGGCAGCCCCCAATCATTCCAAGGCAAAAAAAAAAAAAGTTGATAAGAATTCCATTACTACTGTATTTCTCAGGATTATTACAACAAACAATCTTGGGATTTAGAATTGATGTTGGGAAAGGTTTATATTAAATATAGAAACTACATAGTGACGAAGGAATCAGCAGGCAAAACTTATCACTTCTCTGAATACTGTTCCTTATATAGAGTTTTCTTCGTAAACCCTTAGTGTATTATAATCAGTAACCATAGCAGCATATGGATTTGAATATATGCTTTTAAATTCCATATAATTGGCAAAATGTGCAGTTGAATTGTTGCTTGGTGTGATTTCTTTTTCTGCTCAGCAGGGATAAGTGGGTGTCAAGTTGGACTACTCTATAAAACAGAACTGAAATGTTTTTCCCACAAGGTCATGGGGAAGAAAACTGAGCAAAGAAGTTGACTTATATTCGAGAGATATGGGTCTAATATTTAATCAAGCATCTCTACCACAGGCACTTTACCTAGGCTAAATAACTTAATCCTCCTGAAGCCACCTGAGGCATGCTTATTACTTTAAAGATAAAGAATCAGGCTTAGGAATTTAAGTAGCTGACCAAAGGTCACACAGCCAGCACATGGCAAAAGCAGGATGTGTTTGTATATTTCACATGGGCATTTCAGATTCCAAATTGTGTGCATTTTCCTAGGACATCCTAGTTACTATCTGGGCCATTTTCCAAATGAAAGGACCAATAATTAGTTTCTTTTCTCCTTTTACAGATGAGAAAACTGTACCTCATAGTGGTTAGCTGTCTTCTCAGTCACATAATTATTGTGCCACAAAACTCAAGCCCAGGACTTCTAAGTCCCTTTCCAGGACTCTTACCATTATGAGATGACTGTGACATTCTAAGTCCAGTTTACCATTGTTTAAATAAGCCATTTATAACTTCTGTTGACCATATACTATTTAACCTAGGTGATATCTAGGATCACCCTGTCTCCTAAAATCTAGACAAGACTATTTCTGGTCTCCAGCACACCCGATATTGAAAGTCCAATTCCCTCTGCAAGATTTCCATGTATTTCTCCAGGGCTTATGTTCTCCTGAGTGCCTCTTGCTTCAGCTAATTTCTTGTTCTGCACTTTGGCACCTTGCAACTTTTTCTTTATTCCCACTGGGTTCTTGAACTGGTATTCCGCTATCTTCCTTGGTTTTACACACAAACACAAAAAATCATTCACACAAAGACTTTGGGTAGCAGGTTTTATAGAAAGTTTAGAGAAGTTAGGAAATATACAGAGTTTGCACAGTTGACCCATAAACAATAAGATCTGAATAACAGTCAACCTAGTTCTATAGTCTCTCTGCTGATTTCTCACATTGCTCAGCCATTCTCTCTCCTATATGACCTCTGCCCCCATCAGCAATTTTGTTTTAAATGAAAAATCATTCTACCTTCCATTTGTTCTGCCCTAAGACTTCTCAATCCTATCATGGGGATAGGATTTTTCATTCCCAAATGCTCCATCAAGATGTATTCTAGATTCCTGTAGCTTAAAGGGAAACTTTTACAATGTCCAAAGCCCTTGATGTCCTGCAACTGAAGGAGAAGGATGTCCTTAAATTCCTTGCAGCAGGAACTCATTTAGGTGGCACCAACCTTGATTTCCAGAGGAAAAGTGACAGCATCTACATCATCAGTCTGAAGAGGATCTGGGAGAAGCTTCTGCTGACAGCTCATCTATTGTTGCCATTGAAAACACTGCTGATGTCAGTGTCATGTCCTCCAGGAATCCTGGCCAGTGGGTTGTGCTCAAATTTGCTACTGCCACTGGAGCAAATCCTATTGCTAGCTGCTTTACTCCTGGAACCTTCACTAACCCAATCCAGGCAGCCTTCCAGGAGCCGTGTTTTTTGGTGGTTACTGATCCCAGGGCTAACCACCAGCTTTTCACAGAGACATCTTATGGTAACCTGCCTACCATTGCTCTGTGTTCCACAGATTCTCCTCTGTGCTCTGTGGGCATCTCCATCCCATGCAACAATAAGGGAGTTCACTCAGTGGGTCTGATGTGGTGGAGACTGGCCCAGGAAGTTCTGCACACAAGTGGCACCATCTCCTGTGAACACTCATCAAGGTCATGCCTGATTTCTACTTCCATGGAGATCCTGAAGAGATTGAAAAGGAAGAACAGGCTGCTGCTGAAAAGACTGTGACCAAGGAGGAATTTCAGAGTGAATGGACTACCCTAGCTCCTGACTCCACTGCTACTCAACCAGAGGTTGCAGACTGGTCTGAAGGCAAGCAGGTGCCCCTGTGGCCATTCAGCAGGTTTCGACTGAAAACTACAGCATTCAACCTGCTATGGAAGAATGGTCTGCAGCTCCCCTGACTCAGGCCACTGAAGGGGTAGGAACCACCACCAAGTGATTTTAAGTTGTTCTTCCATGGGCTCTTAAGCAAGATGGAAATAAGATTGATGGTAAATAAACATCCATTTTTTTAATTTTTTAAAAAAAGATATTTTCAAGCCCATTCCTCCCCAAAGCAAATTCTACTATGAACTATTTTAAAAAGAAAGGAGATTTTTTTCTTTTTTTACCACCCACCAACTATATCACATGTTCTGAGAAGTACACAGGGAGAAAATCTGTCCTAAAACAGTAAGTAGCTAACCTAATAAGAAAATAAATGCACAGAACTCAACGTCTCTTGGGCCTCACCAGCCTATAAAAACAGTGAGGTCACATAACATTTACCCATATGGTCTCTTCAGCAAGCCCGCCTAACCCCAGGAACCCCAGCAAGGACAATCTAAGAGAAATTCAGCCAATCCAACTATGAAAACTATATAACTTACAATTAGAGGGGGGAAAAGATGTCTGAAGGCTGAAGAACGGAGTTAATAGGATGACCATGGGTTAACAAAATGGCTCACCTTAGGTTCAAGGCGGCTGTTTAGATTTCTGAACTTGAGCCACCAGGATTCAATGATATAGCTTCTAAATGTCTGTTTGTTTGTTTGTTTGTTTGTTTGTTTGTTTGAATCTATTTTAGTTTTGCCATTAAAAAAATAAACTAGGGTTATCTGGGGTTTCCATTTCTGACCAAATTGAAAGTATTAATATTCAGAAAGCAACTGACCATGGAAATTGGTTTTTCATGTTACTTATGATTTTGTTACAAGGATGAGAAAAACTAGTAAAGTCTGTGAAAAAGTAGTTTTGCCAACCAATTTTTAAACGATGAAGCTACCAAGGATTCTCTATCCCTTGTTCACAATTTCAAAATCCAAAGAGCTCTGAAACTCTTGAGTTTTTAATTCAAAAAGTTCTGGCAATGTCATCTGGTAGCAGAACCTGAACTGAACACGTATGAGGCTGCTTGTGGTCTTTATTCATCCCACTTCATGAGAGGAGTTCTGTGTTTCCTGTAGAAACATGAAAATGTTTGATCACAGGGTGTTCCTCCAACTACACTGAAGGAAGTGTGTAAAATATGCAATGCAGAGTTTACCCTTCAAAAGTCTTGAGTTCCAATCCATCTTGAATTCCAATCCACATTTGGCTCCAAAGGTTTCAGAGAAAGGATTATGGATCTACATTGGCATCTGCTAGAGGTAAGTGAAGGCAAAGGGAGGAGAAGCCAAGGGAAATGGGGGAAGCTCTTATGGTTCCAAGGGCCCCATTTTCAGAAGCACAAATTAGAACATGTGATCTGTCAAAGGGAGAGAACATCAGATATGGGACTGTGTTGTAGACATGTAGAGTCTAGTGGAAGTTATGGCAAGTGAGAATATTTAGGAAACCCTGCTAAGTCCTCCAGTCAAAGCCAGATTTACCTACTGGGACCTACTGCCCAGCCACTCACCACTCCCTACAATGTAAGGGATAAGGCTAGAACTATAAGAGCACAGACATTCTTGGTGGAAGTTTTCCAAGCCTCTCCTTTCTCTCCTTTTATTAAAAAAAAAAAATCTGATCATTTTAGTTATTTAAAGTTCCTTCAGTGCTAATTTGATTTAGGAAAAACAAAGATTATTTTAAAAAGAAAAAAAGAGATGAGAGTAAATAAGGCCCTACCGAAGTAGTTCTTTAACTTGGCTCACATCAGAATCACTTGGGAAGCTTTTTCAACTATTGATCCCTAAGCCATTCCACCCCTGCTCTACCCCCACAACCCACTGAATAAGGAGCTCCCGAGTTGGTTTCAGGGCATATAGAGCTCTCAAAGTGCCACAGGTAATTTCTATGTGTAGTGGGGTTGAGAACTACTGATTAATTTTTTTTTAATCTTTAAAGAGGGAGAAAGAAAAAGACCTTTTCCCTATTTCTATATAAGAAAGTTCCTAGGATCCAGAAAAGCCCAAACAGGGGTAGTAAGTACACTTTGCCAGGGGTAGTAAGTACACTTTGCCGTTGTCTTAATCACATGTGCTAACCACACAAAGGAAGTTTCACTTCTATAAAAACTATCAGTTTCTCTTTCATACTTATCATTTGCAGTCATAGATGCGTTAAGCAATTTTCAGCCAATGATTTTATCTTCTTCATTCCCGAGCTTGTGGATATACCCTACATTTAGGTGCTATCAAGGATTAAGGGAATATCCGCTACATGTCAGAAGAAAAACCAGCTTCTCAGAAATTCTCTGGTGTGTTGGATGGAATTTAGCAAAATGTCTTGAATAGGAAGTCAACTTCTTTTCTTTCTTTTGCTGGAATATCTACACAATAAATTTCACATTCCTTATATGTATGACCAAGCAATTTGGTTCTCTCATCTTTCTTCCGAACCACCTCAATGTGAGAAAAATGTTGTAAGCTAGTTTCCCTCTTATCTTTAAAATATGGCTCCATGAATGCTTTCTCTTTGCGTTTATCATGTTTATCCCCGGGAGTGTTTGGTTTCCTGGTGGAGCTGAAGATTCCTCCTCTTCATCTACTAGTTGGGGGATATTCTTCACGTATTGTCCTATTGAACATATCTTGCAAACTATCATTTATTTTTAATTCTGCATTTGGACTTTTTCTCCCTTCTCCTCCTTTAGGTCTTCTTCTCAGAGAGGCTACCTTGATCCCTGGGTTAAATAAGTTTCCCTGTTATTGTTTCTCAGAACACAATGCTTTTCTTTCATAGCATTCATCAGAATTTAATTAAATGCTTATTGCAGTGCTTATTTATTTAATGTCTATTTTCCTACTAGATAATAAGACATTTAAGGTCAGAAACCCAGTCTATTTTTTGTTGTCACTTAGTTTGGTTGGGTTTTTGTTTTTATTTTTTTGTTTGTTTGTTTGTTTGTTTTTGCTTTGTCGTTTTTGGTGGGTTTTCTCTGGAAGAAGGGGAAGGCTTTTGCTTTTTTTAAATTACAGTGCATCCAGTCAGTAACTCTGACACATAGTAAATGATAAATAAGTATTCATTGAATCTGTATGTTAAATATCCCAGAAACTCTAGGCTGGGATCACTGGATTTGTTCATCAGAAAGTCACAGGGGACTTTATAAAAAAGTGTCATTAAAAAGCAAAAATGTCTGGAAAGCAGAAGGCAAAGGACTGAAGAAGGGCTGGGAGCCCAGGGAAAGGAGGCAAAACACACTTGCCTTTGCATAGCAGGACTTGTGATCATCATGGTAAACACAAAAGCGTCCAAAACACAAGACTCCAATCAATGACTCTTGCCGATCATGAACGTTTATTTCAGAATGGCACATAATTGTGATTCAGAATGGCACATAATTGTGATTCAGAATGAACACGTTCATGGTGCTTTATTTGCTATGGTAAATGCTTAATTGCAGCTTGTGTTGTTGGCCTTTATTTAAATGTCAGTAAAACTCTCTCCCACAGATATTACATTTTATAATTCATCATTCATGAAGTCTTCTTTAATCAACTTTTCCTTAAGTGTTTCCAATTCTTGTCAGGCAATTCATTTCTCTTGTAATGATCTAAGAATTAGTTCTAGGTAGCAAAATGACTATGTTCTTTCTGAGCACATTTTTCCTAAGAGTTTGAAAACATTTGTCTACATTAATCTGAGTTATTATGCAGTGGGGCCCAAGCCACAGTAAACACAGTGTAATGAGTAACATCTGTCAACCCTAATGGCAAAGGTTATCAAGCATTCTCAAGCCCTTTGCATTTTTATGACAAATAGAATAAATTGATACATACATTCAGTGAGTCAGTCAATTAACACTTGTGGGAGCAACAACCATAAGTCACATCTGGTAATAAAATGGCATATACAACACTATACCCGCCTCATGGAGTTTATAGTCCAAGTAGAGACACACATGAAAGCCATAAGACCAACAAAGAGTTACAGCAGCTATGATGGAGGCAAAAATAATTGATTTTTCTAAATGTTGGAGGCTGAGTGTGGTGGCTCACACCTGTAATCCCACTTTGGGAGGTTGAGGTGGGTGGATTGCTTGAGCCCAGAAGTCTGAGACCAGCATGGGAAACATGGCAACCCCATCTCTACAAAGAACTTAAAAAATAGCTGAGCACGGTGGTGTGAGACTGTAGTCCCAGCTATTCAGGAGGCTGAGGTGGGAGGATCATCTGAGCCTGGGGAGGTCAAGGCTGCAGTGAGCTGTGATCTAACCACTGCTTCCCAGCTTGGGCAACAGAGAGAAAAGAAAAAAAACAAAGTTGGAGTTTAGGGTAATATGGGAATCAGACTGGCTTCTTGACTCAAGTTGTGTCTTAAAAACTGAGCACACATGAGGGTTAAAGTGGGAGGAGTAACAAGAAGAAAGGGTGGTCCAGGCATGATGAAGAAATGTTATCAAAGCTTCAGAAGATGAAACAGCATGGCTCTGGACATGCTGATGGTTAGATGCCTGCAAATTGCTAGGCATAGAGGGGAGCTCGGAGAGAAATAAGGTAGGAGAGGGAAGCAGTGGCCAGGTATTGGAGGGTCTTGTGTGCCATAGTAAGCAGTTTGGATTATATTCTCTTGGCAACGTGGAGTCTCTGGAGTATTTCAAATAGGAAGTGACTTGGTGAGATGTATTATATGATTTAGAGAGTTCACTCTGGCAGTTGTGCCGAGATTGGATGAGACAGTTTGGGGCCTGAAGACCTTTTATTCATTCAGTCAAACACTTTTAAGTGCCTTTAAAGTACTTGATACTTTAAGTAGTAAATATCCCTAGAGCTGTCCTAAGCTCTAGGGATACAGTAATGAACCAAAGAGACAAGATCTCTGCTCTCATGGAGCATTCCAGCAGGGGCATATATATGTAATAACAAGAAAAGTGAATACATAAACAAGAAAAATAGAAGATAGCATGAATCTCTGTGAAAAAATTCAAATAGGCTGGTATAAAAGAAGTATCCAGTGGTGACTTAAAATTGTGTGGCTAAGAAAGACCTCTCTGAGCAGAATCTGAGCGACAAGAAACTCATTCTATTACAGGATTGGGAGGAGAGCATTCTAGGCAAAGGAACAGCTAATGCAAAATCCCTAAGAGAGAAAGAGCTTGGCCAGCTCAAAAAATGGAAAGAAGACCAACATGGCCAGCAATAAGACAGCCAGAAGCAAATGGTAGGCAGTGACATCTGATAAGTAGACCAAGCCTAGAATTCAAAGGCCATAAGGTTTAGGGCAATGTGTTTGGATTTTGTTTTAAGGGCCGTAGGAAATCACTATACAGTTTTCGGTGGGTAAATGATATGGGAAGGTGTATATTTTTAAACGATAACTGGCTGCTCTATAGAAGGTAGACAAGAATAGAAGTAGAAGGAAGTCAGGAAACTATTGAAGTGGTCCTCAGGGGAGATCAAGATGGACCAGGGAGATAGTAGTGGAGATGGAGAGAAGCAGATGGAATTGGGATACGTTTGTGGGCAGAGTTAAAAAATAACTTGCTGGTGGATTAGATATGGAAGAAAAAATAAAAAGTGGAATCAAAGAACACTGATGAATGTTTGGCATGTGCAATGGGCAGATGGTGGTAATGTTTACTGAGAAAGGAGCAGATATGAGAAAGGGAAATGAGAATTCCTATTGGGCTATGTTAAATTTGAGATAACTGTTGCATTCCAGAGGAGATGTCAAGTCAGCAAGTGGATGCACACATCTGGACTTGCAACGAAAGTCAAAACCATAGGTAAAGATTTGGAAATAACCCCCACATAGTATTTCTAAAGCCCTGGGAATAGGTGGGACACTAGGGAGATAGTGTAACTGGAGGAAAAGGGAGTACCCAAGAATAGGCTCTGAATGCTTAGGAGTTGTAAATACGGTTTTTTAAAAAAGCCACGAGATATCATGGCATCATGAAAGCCAAGAAAAGAATGAATGGCTTTAAAATATTATTTTAAAGTAGGATACCATTACAACAGGCAGGGCTTCTTTTCAGCAAGCTTGCTTAGCCATGTCTCAGTCATCTTTGTAACCTTAGTGATTAACACAATGTCTTAGCACTGAGTGGTAATAAATTAATCTTGCCAAGCCTAAAGAGCAGGCAAGAGGCCTGGGTCGAAGGTTTGCATAGACATAGGAATCTCCAGAATTGAAGTTATTTGAGTAAGGGGGTGAGATCACCCAAGATAAGTGTAGAATGAGATGAAAGCCAAGGACAGACACAACCCAGCAAATAACAACTTGTAGCAGGTAGCAATGCAAATGGAGAAGGAACATTCAGGGAGATAGGAGTGGAGCCGGAAGAGTGTTGTTCTGGAGGAATAGTGTGGAATGCTACAAAGGAGTGAAGAGTTTGCTAGTAGACTGTAGAGAACAATAGTGTAAAATATACAAAGAGAAACTTGGTTGTGGTGGGTGAAGAAGAGGTAAGAAGCAAGGAAAGTAAATGTGGACTATTCTTCCAGGAATCCCATCTATGAAGAGAAGGGGAGATGTTAGAAGGGTCCAAGATCACAGGAAGTTTATAAATTTGCAAGGAGAGAGCCAGTAGAATAAACATGTTAGAAATGCAGGTGACTGTTGGTGGGAATGCAAAATGGTGCAGTCCTAAGGAAAACAGTATGGCAGTTCCTCAAAAAATTAAAAACAGAATTATCATATGATCCAGCAATTCCACTTCTGAGTACAGACATAAGAAAACTGAAAGCAGAGTTTTGAAGAGATATTTGTATACCCAGGTTTATAGCAGCATTATTCACAATAGCCAAAAGTTGGAAGCAACCCAAATATCCATCAATGGATGAGTGCACAGACATTGTATATATTCCATACACACAATGGAATATCATTCAGCCTTAAAAGAAAGGACATTCTGCCACGTGCTACAGCATGGATAAAACTTGAGGACATTATGCTAAGTGTAATAAGCCATGCACAATACGGCAAGTATGTATGATTCCATTTATATGAAGAACCTAGCATAGGCAAATTCATGGAGACAGCAAGTAGAATGGTGGTTGCCAGAGCAGGAGAGACAGAAGAATGGGGAGGTATTATTTAATGGGCATTTAAGTTTCTGTTTTGCAAGATGAATAGAGCTCTGGAAATTGGTTGTACAACGATGTGAATGTACTTGACACTACTGAGCTTTCCACTTAAAATGGTTAAGATGGTCAATTGTATGTTATGTGGATGTGAGTAAAATTAATTTTTTTTTTAAATGTACATGAACAGCAAAGACAGAACAATCATGAGATTGGTGAAAAGAGACCCATCTTGCTCTGAGGCTGAAGAAAGGTAGTTGAAGGAGATGCAGATGAGGATAAGTTTGTAGGTATCAGGACTAAAAGCCAAGGGTGGCATGCCCTTTAACATTGATGTTCTCTTTTAAATGTAAGGTAAGATCATCAGTGAGAAAGAGAAGAGCAGGCAGGAGTCACTCCAATCCCAGTGATCCGCGATGATGTTTGAGAAAGAGCAGAATGAGATCACTTCCGCAGAGGAACCAAACCTTATGTTTGCCCTCTCCTCTCCTGTTAGACATCTTTCCTACATATATAATGTGTTATTGTAGTCAGTCAATTGGAACAAGGAATCTCATTTCACAAATAAATAAAAAATCTTGCATTTGAAAATATCCAGATTTATATCAAACTCAGCATCCAAATTATGTCTTTTGTTCTGGTTATACAGCACCAATAAAATCATGACTTCCACAGATAGCTTTGAAAATTTTTTTATTTGTTGACAGCTTACCTTGCAATCTCAGGTTGTCCTTAAATAAACAAATCTAGAAACAAAAAAAGAGGAATAGTAGTACTTTTCCTTTTAAATTTGAAAATTTATATCTAAGAGTTCCTTTCATTTTTTATAATGTCAGAAAAAAAAGCACTCATAATATACAAAAAGCACCAAAATATCTACCATGAAATATCATGACACAGCAGCACTCTCCTGATTATTAATGCCAGTGAGAACAGGAGCAGAACAGAGGCACCTAAACCTTGCCTGGCATTTTGTTTATCACAGTACACATCGGCAGTAATATTGTATTTGCTTGTCAAATTTTATGTGTATCACTACATGCAGGCTTGAATTTTAAAATGAGCAGTGTAGGGCAGCACCATTTTTAATCAAAAAAGTTTTACACTTTTTGTTTTATTCGTAAATATTTCAGTATGTATTTCTTACAGCTGGGAACTCATTTTTTAAAAACATAACAATACTATTATTACATCTAAAAATGTTAATAATTCCTTAATATCATCAAATGTCTACTTAGCATTTAAATTTCCCCAATTTATTTTTTCATTGTTTAAATAAGGATCCAAGTAAACTCCATATTTGCAAATGGTTGATGTATACTACAGATGTATACCTACAGATTGAAGTGTCTTTCAATCTATAGGTTCCTGTTCTTTCTTTTTTTTTTTCCCCCTAGACTCTTTTTTATTGAAATTGAACAATGGGCCAGGAACTATGTGAGGTCCTTGTATTCATTTGCTAGAGTTGCCATAATAAAATCACAGACTGGGTGGCTTAAACAGAAATATATTTATTTATTTTTTTAGTTTATTTACAGCTAAAGTGAAGACTAAGTATGTTAATGAAAGACTATATTATCTCCTAAACTGCAAGCTACTTTCAGGCAGAAATTGATAACTAGGTCACATGGTTTATTAATGACATAGTGTATTCCTTCATTCAATAAATATTTATTGGGTGTCTCTATGTGGCAGACGCTGTACTGGGCACTTCAGAGAAGAAGATAAAAAAGCATGAAGTCTCCCTCCACAAAGACATCATCTGGAGGAGCAGACTGACATGTCCATATATAAAAACTGTACACTGTACACAAGCAAACAAACAGCAAGCTCAGGGCAGAAGGTATGACTGCATCCTCTCTTCCCTCAAATGTTCCATGGTTAAGTCTAGAGGTGCTGCCTCTAGCTGTCATTGACATGATGTATAAAAATGAAGCCTGGTTTGAATTTAGAAGCTATTAAACTAAAAATTAGATTCATAAGGAGACTGAGTAATCAGAATAACAGCAGATAAAAGCCAGTGGGAGATGATTTTTCAGAATCTAATATTCTTCGTTAAGCCTCAGACAATTAAACCATGAGGCTGATTGTGCCACCTTTGGAATATTTCATCTTTATGTCCACTGGGAATCTATCTTGGAGTGATATTACAGATAATACTGAAAAAATATGCTTGTTTTGGAAAAAAATAAAAGGAGTAAGAGAATTAAACCTTATAATTATTAATGTTTAAAAGTCTCTGCTTTTTAATTTCTTCAAGTTAAAAGCTACCTGGCATCATCCTGAACTCTAAGTGAAATAGCTAGAGGATTAAACAATTATTAAAAATATAATATTCAGTTATAGTACATCAATAAGCAATATGACAAAAAATTAGAAATGAATAAATAAAATGTCAAGGGTACTTAGACACAACTGACTATCATAAAGAATAGGGAACTGCTCTCTGGAGGCTCCAGAATGTACTTTAAATGAAGTTAGAAATTTATGGTCTCTCCTAATGAAATGCCATGGGTAATTGGGCAACATAAATGTGTACATAAGTGGGCAATGCTGCTGATATCCCATGAGAAATAGAACTAGATATTCTATAGGTCCTAAAATTTAGTGATTGCCCCCTCCTAGGCCACCTCTTCCTGACTGGAGCCCAGTAAATGGCATTCTCAGAGGACATTCTGTGGAGTCACAATGTGAAATGGATCTGCATGGATATGAATATCAGACTAAGAGTGGAGGTTTCTCTCCACGGTGGTTCATAAAGACATATTGCTCTCATAAAGATTTAGCAGTGATTATCAACTATGTTTGAAGGCGGAAGACAAGCAAACAAGTAGTAAATTAGTCTATCTCTGTGGTTTACAGCTTATGGTTTAATTCATATTTGTAATTAAACAGCCCAGAAATTACACCAGGAATGTTCCCCTTTCTGTCCTGTCATTTTTCCCATCTATTGTTTGGGTCATTTCCAGTGATATATAAACACAAGTTGATCTTAATCACCTTATAAACATGTTCTTTCTGGATTCTACTTCCCCTTTTAGCTATGCCTATATCTCTGATCTCCTTCGCACAAAACTTCTCAAAAGATTTGACTATTCACTGCCTCCAATTTCGCCCTCCAATTTTCTGTTATCACACTCTAATTAGGTTTTTGCCACTACCACTCCACAAAACTGCCTTTCCAAGGTCACGGATAATCTTCACATTGCTGTATTCAATAGTCAGTGCTCAGTCCTCATCTCACTTAACATAACTGCAGCATTTGATATAGTCGATCACATTCAGCTTCTTGGAAATACTTTCTTCACTTGGAGGTATGACCACACACTGCTGTTTGCTTTGCTAGTTTAGCCTCTTCTTCAAGCCCAGGGGTTGGTCCTCAGGCCTCTTCTTTGTCTACACATCTTGGGATCTGATGGCTTTGAATATGTTGACAACTGCCAGATTTACACCTCCAGAAATCTTGACTCATTATCCAACCATCTATTCAACAATTCTATTTTGATATCTAGAAGGTATCTCAAAATTAATATGCCCAACATTGAGCTCCTGATCTTCTTGCCACCCTCAAGTTTGGATCATCCAATTTTTTCCATCTCAGTCAATAGCATCCATCCTTCCACTTGCTCAATTCAAAAATCACATAATTACTATCTACTTTCCTGAAAGTTGGAGTTGCTTTTTTTTTCTTTTCCCAAGTGTAAAGGGACCCTAGTAAAATGTCATAAATCCCTTTGAGGAAGGACCCAATGCTATGAGGACCATAAATCTTCCTCCTAGCCTTCCCCAAAGGAATGTGGCCAGTTACCAAGATAACTGTGCACAATGGAAATGGAAATACCCAAACTTTTCTGGGATTACTAAGACTGGCTCTAAATTGGTGCTCATTCCTGAGAACTCAAAATACCACTGTGGTCTACCAGACCAAATGGGAACTTACAGAAGTCAGGAAATAAATGGAATTTTGACCTAAATCTCACAGTGGGCCTGGTGTGTCCAGAAACCCACACTGTGATTAGTTCCGCAGTGCCTTATGTTTTCACTGGAGTTGACATTCTCAGCAACTGGCAGAATCCCCACATGAAGGGCAATATAATGTGGTGGTTAAGATCATGAACTCTGGAGCTAGCCAGCCTGGATTCAAATCCTAGATATGATACTAGCTGTGTGACCTTGGGAAAACTACTTCTCTTCTCTATGCTTCAATTTCCTAATCTTAAAAATAGGACAATAATATCCCTTAAGGGTGGTATGGATAAAATGAGTCAGCATTTGTCAAATGTTTAGAACAATACCTGCACATAGTAAATGCTACATGTAGGTTAAATAAATAAAATCCTTAATCTCTTTCTTTATCTCACACTCTCCCCTCCAATTCATCAGGAAATCCCTTTGATTTTACCTTCAAAACATGTCTAAAATCTGACACCTTTACACCAGTTCCACCACTACCTTCAGAGAGTGAGCTGCCACTACCTCTTGCCAGGATTATAGCAGTAGTCTCTTATCTAATCAGGCCCTCCATCCCTTTCTGACATGATCTCTTACTACTCTCCTCCATATTTACTCCGTTCCAGCCACACTGGCTGCTGCTTGCTCTTCGGATACTCCAGGCTTGCTCTCACCTCAGCGGCTTTGCACTGGCTGTTCTTTTTACTGTTCTCTTGCCTCTAATATCCTTATGGCTCAATCCTCCTTGATATTTTGATCAATTGCCGCCTTCCTAATAAAGCCACCCTGACCACCCCTATTTAAACGGCAAGTGTGCCCATACATGCTCCCAATACTTCATCCTGCTCTATTTTAACAGCATTTATAACTTTCTATAACGCGTATAATTTACCATGCTTATTAGATCCCACAGAGAATCATGAGAAGATCCCAAAGGATTAAAGATCCACGAGACGGAAGGGACTCGTATGCCTGAGTCACTGCTTGGAGCAGAGCTATCTAGGAGAACCTCCTGACCGGCAACATATGCATTGGCCTTTCCATGAGGAATGACTGACCACTCGCCAGGAAGTACATCACCAGTTCAAAGGAGCACAGACCACTGCTTCCCCCTGGCTTTGCCATCACTTAAGTGCATTTTCAACTGCCGGCTTATAACCCATGGGTGAATAGAGCCATGCATAGAAAAAAGAAAGTAACAATAGCATCCACAGGACCTAGCAACCAGAGAGAGGAAAAAGCAAGCAGAATGCCCAAAACAGGCAGCTTCTTATAAACTGGAACTTCTTATAAACTAAAGAAGAGAGGTGGCAACTGTAGTTTTTGAATGAGATAAAATAATAATAATGACAACAATCGCATTTAAAGAAATTCAGTCCCAATGTGAAAAAAAAAGACTCTGAAATTCAAAGAGGGTTTTTGTTTGCTCAACTTTACAGTTTACACAGATGAATTGAAAGAGTTGTTAGTCTCTTTGAGGATTGAATATGGGCCTGTAAGATCAAGCAAAAAGATAGCTCAATGCAGAAAGCAAAATCACAAACAGATGGAAATATGAGAGAAATTATTGAAAAGGGATTGGAGGACAGATGAAGAGACCAAACCTATGAATAATAGGACTTCCAAAGGAGGGAAAGGAACAGATGTAGGGATGCATTAATTAAGGGAATAATAGGAGAAATTTTCCCTGGTTTTAAGAAAGATTCAATTCTGCAAATTTGAAGTGCTCATCAAGTTCCAGGCAAAATTTATGGGGTAAAATTGTCTTTTAAAAAATACTTGGTTATATCTTGGTAGATATCCTAAATTCGAACATCACAAAATTTGTAGGCTGTCAGGCATAAAAACTGTGTTACACACAAAGGAAAGAACCAACATAAATTGGACTAACACAGGAGACAGAAGACAGAAGAATTACAGCTACAGAACACAGGACGCCAGCTTCAAGTCCTACCCTCTGCTGAGAGAGCCGCAGTGCACCTGCCAAGGTGAAAGAAAGGTGCTCACAAATATGGAAGGATTTGAGGCTTATGTCACCGCCATATTCCATGTAAGGAAATACTTCAGGAAGGGCTCTAGGACAGCAAAATATGAACCTGAACAGAGTCCCTGGTAGGGCACAAGGAGGTGAGGAACCAGCCATGAGTTTGAGTCTCTATCTCTCTATGTGTGTGTGTATGTGTAACTTTCCACTTAGGCATACCCATATTGAAATCTAAACTGAAAATGATAGAGTGACTGGGAATTTGTAATATAAGTGCTGAGTAATGATTATACAAATAGAAGAAGCATTCTACAGGAGAAAACCTAAAAATGTCTAAAAGTACTAAACTATTTAACAAAATCTTGGGAAGGGAGGAGGGAGTAAGTAGAGAGGGAAGTACAAATTTTCTTAAGGTTTCATCTTAGATAAGCATAGGGAAATGAAAGCATTATAAAGGTGGAAGAGGGCAGTGAGAAAATAAAGCTATTTGAGTGAGAGAGATAGTTGGCATCTTGTTTTCATTTGGTCGCAGAGAAATCAGTGGTCCAACAGGAGTGAACAGAATGGGGAAGCATTCACTAGAAGAATGGGAAAGTGTGGTAGAATCTTTAAATTTAATAAGGAAAATGTAATTATAGTACCTTGATGAATCTACCAAAATTAAGTGAAGAAAAGGAAAAACAATGTCAAATAAATAATATACATGAGGTAAGATGAAATAAACAAAATCGAATATATCCGTTATTAAATTAAATATGAACTGAATTCATCTTTCAAAGACAAACATTTTCAGACTAAATAAATCAGATGTATCTTGATTTCAAAACACACTTAAAGTGTTTTCTTAATGTTAAAAATAGGTAAATGGATATCAGGAAAAGCACATATTTTTTAGAAAGGAAAAAAAGAAAAGAAAGGAAGGAGAAGAAAACAACACTACTACAATTATTGGCCAACACAGCATTTAAGATTAAAGCATTAATCAGGACAAAGGGGAAGGTTATAAAACATAAAGACACCATTTATGAAAGGGATAAAGCAAAACCCACTAGAAATCTTTTTTTTAATTGACACGAACGTTGATTATATAATGGGTTATTTGAATGATCACTTTCATAATATAGCTTTTTTTTTTTTTTTAGAGACAGAGTCTCACTCTGTTGCCCAGGCTGGATGGAGTGCAGTGGTGCGATCTCGGCTCACTACAACCTCTGCCTCCCGGGTTCAAGTGATTCTCCTGCCTCAGCCTCCCAGGTGGCTGGGATTACAGGATTACAGGTGCACACCACCATGCCTGGATAATTTTTGTGGGTTTTTTTTTTTTTTTTGAGATGGAGTCTCGCTCCTGTCATGCAGGCTGGAGTGCAGTGGTGCAATCTCGGTTCACTTCAACCTCCACCTCCCAGGTTCAAGCGATTTTCCTTCCTCAGCCTCCCGAGTAGCTGGGATTACAGGCGTGCGCCACCATGCCGGCTAATTTTTGTATTTTTAGTAGAGACAGGATTTTGCCATGTTGGCCAGGCTGGTCTCGAACTCCTGACCTCAGGTGATCCACCCCCCTCCTCAGCCTCCCAAAATGCTAGTATTACAGGCATGAGCCACCACACCCAGCCCATAATATAACATTTGTATTTTTATTTATTCCTCCTCTACTTATTCTGGGATGGCTGGCCATGTTTATGTTTTGATACTCAGGTATTATTCTTAGGAGAAGGACGCCTTTAGGTATTAAGTCTAATTATAAAGATTCCAACCGGGTCTGCCTGTCTTAAAAGTTGGTGATCTTCTTCGTCATCACATCCTGATGCCTCTGTGGCCCACGGAGAGCCCAGCAACAAAATCACAAGGCCCACCATGGTAGAGAGTGGCACAGAGGACACCTGGGGACCTCCCCGCGGGAATGTGCAGGCACCACTGATGCAGCCCAGCCCAGACTGGCCCTTCCAACATGGACCCCCAGTGGAGACCATCTGGTTCCTGAAGGTTTCTGATCCTCAGGCTGCAGCCCCCACACGCTAGTGCTTTACACCAGTGGGGCGAAGAGGCTGAGGAGCTGTGAAGGGAGGCCTTGAGGAATTCTTTGTCCCCTGAATGGGCCCACTCCCTAGATTCAATCCTAGGACTTGGCATTCGTCTCTCTACAGTTTAAACAATGTTTTTGAGCACACAATATGTACCAGACCCTGTTCCAGGCTGCTTTTTAATTTTCTAATTTTTAAAAATTTTTGAGACAGGGTCTGGCTCTGTGGCCCAGACTGGAATGCAGTGTCATGATCACGGTTCACTGCAGCCTTGACCTCCCAGCTCAAGTGATCCTCCCACCTCAGCCTCCTGAGTAGCTAGGCCTATGGGCATGTGCCACCACACCTGGCTAATTTTTTTATTTTCATAGAGACAGGGTCTTGCCGTGTTACCCAGGCTGGTCTTGAACTCCTGGACTCAAGCTATTCTCCTGCCTCAGCCTTTCAGGGATTATAGGAGGGATTATAGGTGTGAGCCACTGCACCAAGCCCAGGCTGCTTTTTTGGAAAGCACATATTTTTCAAGACTTCCCTCAGATCTGATGAGTGGATTAAAGTTCTAGAACTCATGTTTGGTTTCAAATTGCTTCCCATTCAGGGATTGTCAGACAACAGTCTGTAGGCAGTGCTGATCCGTGGCATAGTTCCAGCAGGCTGAGAAAAATTAGAGATAAGTGCAATAGAGTGAGTTTTTAATGAAGCTACATCTATTCCATCTAAAAGTTTGTTCTTTATTCTGATATGATATCCTTCCTCTTTTTAGATTTAAAGTAGCATTTCTTTCATGAAATGATAGTAGATAGTAGGGTTTTTTTAATGTTCTTAACTGAAAAATAAAAAGTTGGCCATCCTGTGACCCCCAAATAAATTAATATATAGATTGATAAATGATGTATCACTCTGTGAACCCAGACATGTGTGGCTTTGTTCTCTGACATTTGCTTTCTGCAGCTCTCAGGACTCTCCATGCTGAAAAGACACAATGCAATATTTCTGCAGTCCTCTCTCTCTCTCTCCGCAAATTCACCTTGGCCAGCAATACAAATGGTCCAGTTATTCAAGGAGCCAGATTTTCTCTGGAGGGATGGGGGCTGCATTATGCAGAGTCCCGCCCCGGGGCAGTTGGAAGAACACACTGCTTTGCAAACTGTTGCTGAGCCTGAGTATTTCTAAGCCTTCCAAAATCCTTGGTACAGTCTGTCCTCACATTGCCAACTGAGGGAATAATCCTGAATACTTGGTCCCCCACATATTCTACTAAGGAAGCTCATCATATTCCAGTGTCATTCTGAAAGAAAGATTCTCAAATATACATTTGGCAATCATCACCAATCTGACAAATTTGACCTGAATCTGTCTTCAAAAATTCTAAAGAAAAAAAGAATGAAAATTGGAGGTTATAATTTTACCAATATCAAGCCAAAGATAGACATGTTTCACCTTCATTTACATCAAGCTTTTATCCTCCAAAATTTTAAAACCATTTCTAATGTTACCTCCATCATTTAGCAATTAAAATTTTAGGGAGTTTACTTGAAACGCAAGTTGAATTTGGAAGTTTGGCTCATTTGACGTGGCCTAGTTAAATATGGCAATTCCCTTCTTTTTGCCACAGGAGGCAGCTTGGGGTAGAGAATTTGGGTCTGTCTGACAGCAAAGACCTGAGTTTGAATCTTGACTGAAAATTATTCAGTGGCTATGTTACTTTCAGAAGGCTTTTAACCTCTCTAATCCTTAGCTTCATAATGTGTAAAATGGGTATTGTAAGACCAACAGCATGTAATTGTAATGAGTCTGGCATAAAGTAAATGCCAATCCTGTAAAATGCTAATCCTGTTTTTTAATCTAATTAGATATCTAATTTTAATTTTAAATGAACTTAAGCAGGATGTCTTTTTTCCGTTTTTAATATTTTAAAAACTGGGAGGAAGAATCTATGAAGGCAAGTTTGTTTTTCAAGTTTGTGAAGAGTTACACAAATGATTCTAGAGTAAAATGGCCTTATACCAAATGTTTTACCTACTCACAGTGCCAAATATCCACAATGTCAAACAAGAACTGCAAATGTTCTCAGCTTTAATTTCACACCAATGTCACTTTAACCAAACAGTCTCCTTAGCAGGGTACTTCAGTGCTGAATCATTATTGACTCAGAGGTTTATAAATACCACTACTTGTATTACTTGGAGTTTTCTTCAGTGGTTCCCTATCGCCCTCTCTAAGTTCGGTTAAGCCTGACCGTGCAAAGGGAGTAATATCTGACATGCTCACTTCCCACATTAGTGGGGTTGCTAAGCCTGTATGACGTACATGATACATTTATAAAAAGGAACATTCTAAAAATAAGTTTAATGTATTCTCATTCAACTCCCTAAAAAACTGATGTAACTTGAAGACAGCAAGTTATGCTCATCAGTTTTCTCTAACAGCTTAGTAAATGTCAGAAAGAAACGGAAATGTTCTAAATAAGGACATCACTCGAAGTCCTTACAAAGTAAATCAGAATGCATACTTTTTCTATAAAAAAGCTTTAAAAAGATGATATAAATATATAATGTTCAAAGTCTAAATCTCATTTAGTAGGAATGGTTTAAAGATAACACTCGAAAAGACAGCTAAGGTGTTAGGTGGAAAGCAGCGGAAATGTATATAAAATCATTTCAATAAGGGATTTACTTAAGGAATAGGGTGAGGAATTACAGATATACAGTCCACACTGTTAGAGTCAACTCATCATCTATGGTAACAATAATGGGCAACAGGGAAGATAATCTAAAAATCCTGTATATTCACTTTTATATTCTAACATTATTGTTTGCAGTAGATTTATCTTCCCAACTATATTTAAGATTTGTTTGCCTTTTTGGGTATTAATTACCTGATGGATGGAGAAAGATACCCAATAGCACTCTCAAGGGCACAGCAAAGCCAAAAAAGTAACATTTTGCCAGAGATTATCTACAAAAATAAATTGTGTCTGTAAGAGAGTAAGAGATGTGGCCTGGATCACTGAGAGCGTGGAGTGAGGCCAATCCAAATAATTGATGTCTCTACAGTCTATCAGCCACTACCCGACAGTGGCCCAGGGATAAGGGTGGATGCAAGCACTTCTACTCCCTGCAATTACTCTCCTTTCTTTCCCTCAGGCACGAACCCCACTCCTCCAGAGTGGTTGTGGTCAGAGCATTTTGGGCAATAGGCCTCACAAAAGAAGCATCTTCAAATTCAGGGGACAAATCCAAAGGAAGCTAATATGAATCAACTGAAAAATGAACGAGCTGAGCCACATGCTGAGAGTGACCTGAAGAAAAATCGGTAAAGAAGTTTTATCAAGTGACTTGGGTGTTTTGATTCTTAAGAAGGAAATGAAATGCAAAATTTGCAATTTATGCAGAATTCTCTGTAATCTCTTGAATTCCAAGGGAAGTGACAGGTCTGTTTCAAATCCTTCTCCCGGAAACAGACAAAATTATAAAAGTAAAATACTGGAACAAAGTTTCAGTGCTGAGAGTAAGTGATGTTGCCAACATCTTATAAACTGGGAAGATTAAAGCAAAGGTGAAACAAGATCAAAAGCTCTCACTGAAAGCCCCCTCTGGTTTTCCCACTCTGGAAGTGGTGCAGTGCAGTAAGAAGTTAAGCAAATCTTTATAAGTATCACCAGCAATCCTGAATAATGAGAAATGAGGGCAAGAGGTGAGGGTGAGCAGTAGACCAGACAGAGCCACAGGTCAGAGGCTACAGGGACAGGGCAGAAGAAGCAAGCCTGTGGGTACATCAGAAAACTCTGCAGCAACTCAGTGTGCCACCTGCCCAGTTTCTCAATAGCAGCCCTAGGGTTATACTGACATGAGGGAGCACTTTCCTAAAATGGGGAAGCGGGGCAGGACCCTCAATCCCACTCTGAGAAGGCAAGAAGGACCATGAGACAGATGAAGACCACTCCCCATGGAGGTGCTTTTGCTATTGACACTAACCGCAGTGTATATTGGAGCAGGGCCACCAATGAAACTCTGCCGGCCACAGGAGTTTTCTCTCATCCAAAATTTGACCTAACTGGCCATTTCCTTCTGATATATTCAAATGTATTCCCAAATTAAAGGGACAGCACTCCACAATGACAGGACACTCCCCAATTTGGTGGATAAAAGCCCCAGGAAACATCCCAGAGGAAGCTGTACCCATTCTGTGCACTTGGATTAGAGGTCAGCTGAACAGAAAACTGGATATAAAAATACTGGCCTCTGGTGCAATAATCTCTACAAAGAGAGAAAACAGAGCTTCAGTGACAAACATCCCTTCTTTTCTGACCCACATGCAACCCCAATTTCCTCTCTACACTATTCAAGTTGCCGAATGAGCAAATGATATTCTCCAGCAACATCCAGCTCTCCAGGTTATCTACGAGAAAACAAACAAACAAACAGTCTGGAATTGGCCATCTTCTCTGTGAAATTTAATGCCAAAAGAAACATTAAATGCCAAAAACATAATGGGATCACATTAATTTTTTAAAAGAAACAGTTATGACTCAAGAGTTTTTTGGTTTTGTTTTTTCTGAGACAGGGTCTCCCTCCCTGTCTCCCAGGCTAGAGAGCAGAGGTGGGCTCCCTGCAGCCTTGACTTCCTGAGCTCATGTGACCCTCCAACCTTAGCCTCCCAAGTAGCTGGGACTACTGGGGCACGCCACCATGCCTGGCTAATTTTTTGTATTTTTAGTAGAAACGGGGTTTCACCATGTTGCCCAGGCTGGTCTCAAACTCCTGGGCTCAAGAATCCACCCACCTCAACATCTCAAAGTGCTCATTAGAAGCATGAGCCAAAGCACCTGGCCTGACTCAAGAGTTTTATGTCAGTAAAGCATCCTTTTCATACAGAGATAGCAGGAAAATCTTATCAAATATGCCAATTCTCAGAAAGTATCAACCCATGTATTCTCTCTGGAAAAATGACCCAAAGATACGTACCAATGGCAAACAGGAGATGCAAATAAAGAAGTCACAGAGGAAGACACAGTGGGATGAAAGGCCAGATGTATGAATTAAAACATGTAATCAAATCTAAATGACTTGGCAAACAAGGTGAGAAACAAGACACAAATGTGATTATTAAAAGAAAAGATAATGCATTTTCAAAAATGATGTTTGAACAATTCAATAACTATCTAGAAAAAAACTTCCAGAGTATACCAATAGAAACCTAAGAAATGGGAAAAAAATATTATTTTTGATAAATTCCTTATCTTCATAGGTGGTAGTCATTAGATATTAGTTTATATTAATAACTTGAGAAAGTTTGAACCTAAAGATTTAATTATTAGCAAAACAAAATATCGGTTTTTTATCCACAGAATTACTAAAAGAAAATTAAAGGAAAAAAACACAGGTCATATATCAAAAAAGACAATAAACAAAACAGAAGAAAGGCAGAAAACATGAAATGAGATAAGAGAAGTAATAAACATTTGTTATAAAAAGAAATGTAATGGGAATATCTCATCTGTTGAAAGGAAAAGACTCATACTGGGTCAAAAAACAAAATCTAACTACAGTCATGTGTCGCTTAATGATATGGATATGTGTCGTTAGGAATTTCGTCATTGTGCAAACATCATAGTGTGTACTCACACAAACCTAGATGGTATAGCCTGCTACACACCCAGGCTATATGGCATAGCCTATGGCTCCTAGGCTACAAACCTGTCTAACATGTTACTGTACTGAATACTGTATGCAATTATAATGCAATGGTAAGCATTTGTATATCTAAACATAGAAAAGATACAGTAAAACTACAGTATAAAAGATAAAAAATGGTACACTCATTTAGGGTACTTACCACAAATGGAGGTGATTTCAGGACTGAAAGGTGATCTGGAAGAGTGCATGTAAAGGCCCAGGACATTATAGTATTGTAGACTTTATAAATGCTGTACACTTAAGCTACACTAAATTTATTTTTAAATATGTCTTTCTTTTTTTAACTTTTATTTCAGGTTTTGGGGCACATGTGCAGGACTGTTATAGAGGTAAGCTTGTGTTGCAAGGGTTTTGTGTACAGATTATTTTGTCACACAGGTAATAAACATAATATCTAATAGGTAATTTTTTTAATCCTCTCCCTGCTCCCATCCTCCACCCTCAAATAGGCCCTGGTGTCTATTGTTCCCCTGTTTGTGCCCATGTGTTCTCATTGTTTAGCTCCACTTACAAGAGAGAACATACGGTACTTGATTTTCTGTTCCGTATTCTAATATATTACGTATTCAATGTATTCTAAGAAAACATTGGTTTTCTTAGAATAATAGTCTCCAGCTCCATTCATGTTGCTGCAAATGACATGATCTTGTTCTTTTTACAGGTGCGTAGTATTCTATGGTGTATATGCATCATATTTTTTAATCCAGTCTATCATTGATGGGTATGCAAGTTGATTCCATGTCTTTGCTTTTGTGAATAGTGTTTCAATAAACATATGTGTTCATGTGTCTTATGGTAGAAAGAATTATATTCCTTTGGGTATATACCCAATAATGGGATGGATGGGTTGAATGATAATTCTAAGTTCTTTGAGAAATCGCCACACTGCTTTCCACAATGGCTGAACTAATTTACACTCCCACCAGCAGGATATAAGCATTTTCTTTTCTCTGCAACCTCACAAGCATCTATTTCTTTTTGACTTTTTAATAATGGCCATTCTGACAGATGTGAGATGGTACCTCATTGTAGTTTTGATTCGCATCTCTCTAATGCACCATCCAAGCTGAAAACCAAATCAGGAACACAGTCCCATTCACAACTGCCACAAAAAGAATAAAATACCTAGAAATATGCTAACCAGGGAGGTGAAAGATGAATTACAAAACATTATTCAAAGATATCAGACATGACACAAACAAGTGGAAAAACATTCCATGTTCATCAATAGGAAAAGTCAACATTGTTAAAATGGCCATACTGCCCAAAGCAGTGTACAGATTCAATGCTATTCCTATCAAACTACAAATGACATTCTTCGCAAAATCAGAAAAAATTATTTTAAAATTCATATGGAATGAAAAATGAGCCTGAATAGCCAAGATAATCCTAAGCAAAAAGAACCAAACAACAACAACAACAAAAAGCCATAGGCACCACTTTACCCAACTTCAAACTATACTATAGGGCTACAGTAACCAGAACAGCATGGTACTGGTACAAAAACAAACACACAGACCAATGGAACAGAATAAAGAGCCCAGAAATAAGGCCAAACACCTACAAGCATCAGATCTTTGACAAACCTGACAAAAACAAGCAGGGAGGAAAAAACTCTCGATTCAATAAATAGTTCTGGGATAACTGGCTAGCCATATGGAGAAGATGGAAACTGGGCCCTTTCCTTCCACTCTATTAAAAAAATCAACTGAAGATGGTTTAAAGACTTAAATGTATAACCTAAAACTATAAAAACCCTGAAAGAAAATCTATGACATACCATTCTGGACGTAGGATCTGGTAAAGATTTCATGACCAAGATGCCAAAAGCAATTGCAACAAAAGCAAAAATTGACAAATGGGACCTAATTAAACTAAAGAACTTCTGCACAGCAAAAGAAACTATCAACAGAATAAACAGATAACCTACAGAATGGGAGAAAATATTTGCAAGCTGTGCATCTGACAATGGTTTAATATCCAGAATATATAAGGAACTTAAACAAATTTATAAGCAAAATATAAACAACCCCTTAAAATTGGGTGAAGGACATGAACAGGCCCTTTCAAAAGAAGACATACATGCGGCCAATAAGCATATGAAAAAAATAATTTCTTTAATAATAAAGTAACTTTAGCTTATTGTAACTTTTTTACTTTATAAATGTTTTCATTTTTTAACTTTTTAATTCTTTTGTAATAACACCTTGCTTAAAACACAAACACATTACATAGCTGTACAAAAATATTTTCTTTGTTTATATATTTATTCTGTAAACATTTTTCTATTTTTAAACTTTTTTTTAACTTTTTACTTTACTTGTACTTTTTTAAGTTTTTTTTTGTTAAAAACTAAGACACACACACATTAGCCTAGAACTACACAGGCTTAGGGTCATAAATATCAGTCTTCCACCTTCACGTCTTGTCCCACTGAAAGGTCTTCAGGGGCAATAACATGCATGGAGCTGTCATCTCCTATGATAACATACCTGGAACGGAATACCTGCTGAAAAACCTGCCTGAGGCTGCTTTACAGTTTACTTGGTTTTTGTAAATGGAAGGAGTATACTCTAAAATAACCATAAAAAGCATAGTGTGCTAAATACATAAACCAGTAACACAGTCGTTTAGCATCAAGTCTTTTACACTGTACATAATTATATGTGCTATACTTTTATATGACTGGCAGCATAGTAGGTTTGTTTATACAAGCATTACCACAAGCACTGGAGTAATATGTTGCACTATGACATCCCTAGGCAATAGGAAATTTTCAGCTCCATTGCAATTTATGAGACCACCATTATATATGCAATTAATTGTTAACCAAAATGTCATTAAGTGGCACATGACTGTATATGCTATCTCTTTTTATTTTTATTTTTTATTTTACATATATGTGTGTGATATGTATGTATGAAAATATATATATATATATATATATATATATATATATATATATATATATTTGAGATGGAGTTTCGCTCTGTCACCCAACCTGGAGTGCAATGGCGCAATCTCGGCTCACTGCAACCTCTACCTCCAGGGTTCGAGCGATTCTCCTGCCTCAGCCTCCCGAGTAACTGGAACTACAGGCGCAAGCCACTACACCCAGCTAATTTTTTTGTATTTTTAGTAGAGATGGGGTTTTACCGTGTTAGCCAGGATGGTCTCAATCTCCTGACCTTGTGATCCGCCCGCCTCAGCCTCCCAAAGCGCTGGGATTACAGGCTTGAGCCACCGCGCCCAGTCTGTATATGCTATCTAGAGGAGATATATATTCGAAATAAAGTAGTTCAGAAAAGTTAAGATAAATGGTGAAATAAAAACATAATCTGCTGATATTCACTGCAAAAAAAGAAAACAACAAAAAAAGGTTTCCATACAAACATCAAAGTAGAAATCAAAGAAGAAAGCATTAAATATAATAGCAACTTTTGTTAAGAAGTGACAATTCACAATGAATTTTATCTATCATAAACCTATGTGCCAAATAACATGCAATCATATATAAATATATCTTTAAAATTCAAAATAAATTACTGTAGATATGAAGAAATTAACATCATTGCCTTATTCCTAGAAGATGGGGTAGTTCAAAATAAATAAAATTATTTTAATAGATTTATAAATGCCAAATTCATAGAGAGTAATGTAAATTCAGGCTGCCATGGACTATTTATGAAAATTAATTTTATATTAGGTAGCAATGTAAGTCTCAACAATTTCAAAATGTTGAAATAGTTCAGACCATATCTAACCACATGAAAAAAATTAGAGATAATCATAAAGAAACCACAAGAATCTCCAATTAGTTGGAAATTAAGAAAGGGAAGGAAAGAAGGAAGGGAGGGAAGGAGGGAAGGAGGGAAAGAAAAAGAGAAATGAAATGTACTTAAGTAAGTTTATGTAACTCTAGGGTCAAAGAGGAAATAAAAACTGCAATTGCAGACTATTGAGATATTAATTATAATGGAACATTATATATGAAAACTTATGAGATATAATTCTAAGTCAATTATCAGAGAAAAATGCATAAGCTTATTTGCTTTCCTTACTTAACAGGTCCCTTCTTTTCTTATGACTACTTCTTTTATTCATTTTGACTGTCTTGTCTCTCTTCTGTTTAAGAATATGCCAAGAAAAGTAAAAGGCAGAAAAAATGTAGGTAAAGTAAGGTTCAAATTACAGAAGAAATTATTTAGCATGGGAAAGAATAGATCATGTCAATCATTTCAGAAGGCTCCTTCGTAAGTCTCCAGGTTAGAGATGAAATAAGACAAAGCTTTATGGTCCAAATAGTTACAGCTCTAACAATTGATTACCCAAACCAACCCTCAATCTATACCTAAGCTCCCATTTCCTAATGAGTGGCTGACTTTGAAAGCAAACAGGGTTTACTTTAATCAAAGTAATAACATTTAACAACCCTCATGCAGCACTATGTGCTAGGCACAGTGTTAAGTACTTTCTATGAATTAATTCATTTGGTCTTGATGACACACTAGTAATGCACCACACTGTCTCAGTGTTAGCATTTTTTCAGGTGTTGATTTATTACTTAAAGTTTTTATTCTCTGTTCTTTTCACTTCCAGTTAAGAAAAAAAGTAATCCTTTTCTAATGTGTAAACTACACGATTAGCAGAGAAGAATGTCAAGGGACAGAAGGCCTCCTATTGTTCCTGGACTTGTGTGTCCTCTGTTTTTCAAATATATCTAAGATGTTGTCCTCAGAGGACCATCCCAAGACTTCTCTTAGCTGCTGTCATCTAAAACAATTAGAACAAACTAAGCTTATTAAAATTGTCATTTCTGAACTTGATGCAATCCAGTATCTCCTTCCCAACTGATGTTCAATATTTCTCCTACTTATGATGACAGAGAATAAGCTTCAGTGCTTAAAATATGTCCAAATATTAGCACTTTTCTTTTAAATTCTATACTTACAAGAAACAAAACCAAATAAATGGAGCCGATGGATGTTTAAAGCAGCATCCAGTTCTGATACACAATTGAAACTAGCCTAGGAGCAACTGTAATGATGTTTTGAAATGAATCACGTTCTAATCTTTTACAGAAAATTATTTAAATTAAAAATTAGATGGGTATAGCTTAGCAATCAGAAATCTTCCTGTGAAGCCACCACAAATTCAGCCTGAAAGGTCATTGCAAATTCTCCCAGCTCTCTAAAGATAATTAGTCTCTTTTGAATAATGCTTAAAGGAAAATAGTCTTTCAGCTCTATGAATGTGTTAATCTACTGGGATTTTTTTTCCCCAAGAAGGAAATTCCTCTAAAGCTATACAGAACAAACCTACAAAAAGAAAAAGAAAAAAGATCCTAGGCAAATGAACAAATAGGGAATCAAAATTGATTGTTTTATTCAATTTCATTATCTTTTATTATGTCTGGGAAGAGCTATCATGCTTTATTTTTTTACCAGCTAGAATGGAGAGGAGAATGTGCCTAATAGAAGTTGGAAATACACATACTCAGGAGCTCAACAAGCTAAGCACAAGCACATTTTATCAGACAATGGAGTAGATCCAACAGGAAGGACCCTCCTAGATCAGCAGAGGACACTTAGAGGCAGAAAAGGGGCATACCTTGCAACAGCAGTCATTTTATCATCCTTCATACTCCAGTATCCATTAAATATCAGTAATGCGTTAGCTACTATGTTTATTTAACATACATCCTTCATTATTATTTCTATTTATTATTCCTATTCTAAATAAACTATTTGTCATGTCACATTGCTGGTTATTATTTGTTAAGCCCACTATTAGAAAATGGGTCATTTTTCACCTTTCTCAGAAGGACTGCATCCAATTAGAAACTGTCTCCAGGTGGCCGGGCATGGGGCTCACACTTGTAATCCTAGCACTTTGGGAGGCCGAGGCAGGCAGATCACAAGGTCAAGAGATCGAGAACGTCCTGGCCAACACGGTGAAACCCCGTCTCTACTAAAAATACAAAAAACTATACTGCATGTGGTGGCACGCACCTGTAGTCCGAGCTACTCGGTAGACTGAGACAGGAGAATCACTTGAACCTGGGAGGCAGAGGTTGCAGAGAGCCAAGATTGCACCACTGCACTCCAGCCTGGCAACAGAGTGAGACTCCATCTAAAAAAAAAAAAGCAAAGCAAAGAAACTATCTCCAGGTTGCTGCCACGGTTTTCTTTTCCTAGAGTAAGAATAGTGAGAAATATGCTGCATTGTCACTATGCTCAGGGCAAAAGCAAACTGAAATAGAACTTAAGGGCACTAAAATATAAAAGCACAATGTATTTTCCTTAAAAAGAGAAAGTAACCTTGGATTCAAAGTAGACCACAAAAGTATGAAACTTTCTATCTGGAACCTAAAGATCTGTCACAAGCCAGAGATTCTGGCCTCCTTGGTCTGTGATTTGAACTCTGGAATAAGACTCAGCACCCACAGGTATGGTGGGTGGACTGACCATAAGATGGTATTGCACATCAATTTGGGTTGTATCTGGTTGATTTT
Organism: Homo sapiens; assembly: GCF_000001405.40. NCBI lineage: Eukaryota > Metazoa > Chordata > Mammalia > Primates > Hominidae > Homo > Homo sapiens. The sequence continues at coordinate 110,010,213 of NC_000011.10, forward strand.
CCTCTACATCAGAGATGTAATATCTTCAAGATACCTGTAATGAATAGCCTTTTTCAAGAAAATTTTTGAATACAATAACTGAATAATTAAATTTGTATGTTGGCATAGAAGGGTAAGAAGACTATGAAAGAAATTATGATATGTTCCTAAGATTTTCTTAATAATAACATTTTGGTTGGAACTTCTAGTTCTGGCCATTAGGTAGTGACAGGCTCTGGAATTACCCTCCTACCATAAACAACTAGAAAAAGTGAACAAAAAACAAGTTTCAGATATTGAACAACAACACAGAACTGTGATTTCTTGAGGAGGAAAAGAAATGAGATGAGTCCTACCAGCTTTCAACCTGAAGACAATTTCTAGAGGACAGTGCAGGGTGGTGGAACCCAAGCAGAGCCCAGAAATAGGACTGAATTGAGGAGACAGAGACTGGAGATTGGAGAAAATGAGATGGCCAGAATTTGTAGGACAGGGTACTACAAGAACAGGGAGCTACATGGAGAAAGGCACCAGAAATCTGCACATGGGTCTACTTGAGTTTTGGACTGAATGCCAATCTTCATGTGCATAAGAGAAACCACACAGCCAGGAAAAATCAGCTTCTGGGGAAAGAGTAATTACTGGGTATTTGTAATTAGGACAAATCCCTGAGCTCATGTAAGACTGGGAATCTTTCAAGTTCCCAATAGTTGAAGTAGAGAGACATTGATGAATACATTAGGCATTTAGTCAAAATCCCAAAAAGGTCACACACATAGTGGGATAAAATTAACCATAGAAAAAGGTATTCTGGACATTTTTATTGAGGAATTTTTTTAAACTCTTGATCTAATATGAAAGTCTTGATCTAATCTTCACTTAGTTTAATTGTACACTAAAACGAAGTTCGACACTCTTTAAAGAAATACAACAAAATCCAGCATTCAACAACACAAAACTCACTAGGTTCATAACTCAATCAAAATTACTAGAATAAACATAAGGAGTAGCAGAAAAATGTGATTTATAGCGTGGAAAAAAATTAGTTAATAGAAACATACTCAGAAAGGATAAAGATGATGGAATTAGCAGGCAAGCATATTAAAACAGCTTTTTTTTTTTTTTTTTGAGACAGAATGTCACTCTGTCACCCAGGCTAGAGTGCAATGACATGATCTTGGCTCACTGCAACCTCTGCCTCCCAGGTTCAAGCTATCCTCTTGCCTCAGCCTCCTGAATACCTGGAACTACAGCTGTGTGCCACCATGCCCAGCTAATTTTTGTATTTTTAGTAGAGACAGGGTTTTGCCATGTTGGCCAGGCTGGTCGTAAACTCCTGACTTCTGGTGATCTGCCCACCTTGGCCTCCCAAAGTGCTGGTGTTACAAGTGTGAGCCACCATGCCCGGTCATAAATATTTTCAAGGTATTTAAGGATCTAAAGTTAAACATGAACATATGAAGAGAGATGGAGGATATGAAAAAGAACCTGATGAAATTTCTGAGATAAAAAAATAGAATATCTAAAATGAGAATTCCATCTAATAGAATTATCATTAAGCTAGACACTGCAGAAAAAAAGATTTGTGAACTTGATGACATAGCAAAAACCAATCTAAAATGAAACTAAAAAAAGAAAAAAAACAGGCATTCAGTGACCTAAAGGAAAATATCAAACAATCTGGCATATATGTATTTGAAGAAATAATGGCCAAAAAATGTCTTAATTTGTTGAAAACTACAAATACACATATTCAGGAATTTCAACAAACACCAGCCAAGATAAACACACACACACACACACACACACACACACACACACACACACACACGTGAAGCCACCAAGGTACAACATAATCAAATTACTGAAAATCAATAATAAGGAAAAAAATCCCAAAGGCATTACAAAGTTTAAAAGGCACATTACATACAATGCAACAAAGTTAAGAATTACTTCATCTTTTTTGTCAAAAACTATACAAACCAGAAAAAAATTACCTTAGCTATCTACTGTGGCACAGCAGATGACCCCAAAATTAATGGCTTAAAACCACAATAATAACATATTAATTCTCACAATTCTTGTAGGTCAGGAATTTGGGAGTGGCTCATTTGGGCAGTTCTGTGTAGGTGTCTCTCATGAGTTTTCTTGACTAGGGAAGGAAAATTCGCTTTCAAGGTATATCACTCTCGTGTCTGACACACTGATGCTGACAAGTTTGTTGTTCCCCAAGTGGGCTACTGTATGAGACTGCTTGAGCATCTTCATAACATGGTGACTGGCTGTGTCCAGAATGAGTGTTCTAAGAAACCAAGGGGTAAGCTACAATAACTTCATGAAACAGTCTTAGAAGTCATATGATGTAATTTCAATGTGTGGGATAGGACTACACAAAGGCATGAATACCAGTAGGAGAGGATCATTAGAAGCCATGTCAGAGGTGGGCTATCACAAGAGATCAACATTTTTAAGTGCTTGGGGAAAATTTGTCAACCCATCTTCCCTCATTGCATGTGAGGCAAAAATATCTTTCAAAGATAAAGGCAAAAAAAAATAACTTACCAAACAAATCTGAAAGAAGTGCCGCCAGTAGACCTGAACTACAAGAAATATTACAGTAAGTACTTTTGACATAAGGAAAATTATACCAGATGAAAATTTGAGTCTACCCAAGGGAATAGAGACTGCTTGAAATGATAAATATGTGGGTACATGTAGAATACATTTTTTCTCAAGTTTAAATTTATATGAAAGATAAATAACCACTTAAAAATAAAATATGGGGTTTATAATATGTTTAGATATAAAATGTAGGCATACAATAGCACAAAGAATACAAGTAGAAAATGAAAATATATTCTTCTCTGATTTTTATACTATATGTGAAGTGACAATATTATATGAAGTTGGACTGTGATAACTTAAAGATGTATATTGTAAATATTAGACTAACCACTAAAAGAAATACATCAGACAAAGTAAACTTCAGAAGAAGGAATATTACATGAGATTAAAAGGAACATTTTATAATGATAAAGAGGTCACTTCATCAGTGAGTCACAATAATCTCGAACATGTATGTATCTAATAACAAAGCTTCAGAACAGATGAAGTTAAAGTCTTCAGACTGTAAAAGAGAAATAAGCTAAGCACAGTGGCTCATGCCTGTAATCCCAGCACTTTGGGAGGCTGAGGCAGGTAGATCAACCGAGGTCAGGAGTCGGAGACCAGCCTGCCAACATGGCGAAACCCTGTCTCTACTAAAAATATAAAAATTAGCTGGACGTGGTGGTGGGTGACTGTAACCTTAGCTACTTGGGAGGCTGAGGCAGGAGGGTTGCTTGAACCTGGGAGGCAGAGGTTGCGGTGAGCCAAAATCACAACATTGCACTCCAGCCTGGGCAACAGGAGCAAAACTCCATCTCAAAAAAATAAATAAATAAAGGAGAAATAGACAAATTCCTAATGTCTAAAGTTAAAAAGATTAACTCTACAAAGTGTTGGTGAGGATGTGAAGCAACTGGAACTATCATACACTGCTAGTAATAATAGAATAAGGTAAAATTACTTCAGAAAACTGACAGTTTCTTAAAAAGTTAGAGGTATGTGTTAGTCTGTTTACATCTCTATTAAACAAAGAAAACCTGAGGCTGGGTAATTTCTAAAGAAAAGAGGTTTATTTGGCTCTGCAGGCTGTACAAGCATGGCACCAGCATCTTCTTCTGGTGAGAGTTTCAGGGAGCTTATAATCATGGCAGAAGGTGAAGGGGAGCCAGTGTGTCACATAGCAAGAGAGGAAGCAAGAGAGAAGGAGTAGGGAAGTAGGTGTCAGGCTCTTTTAAACAACCAGATCTCACATGAACTCAGAGCGATAACTCAATCATTACTTTGAGGATGGCACCAAGATATAAGGAATCCATTCCCATCATCCAAACACATTCCACCAGGCCCCACCTCCAATACTGGGGATCACATTTCAACATGAGATTTGGAAGAGACATACATCCCAACCGTGTTATTCCACCATGGCCCTCAAATCTCACATCCTTCCCACATTGCAAAATACAATTATCCCTTCCCAATAGTCCCCCAATGTCTCAACTCATTCCAATATTAACTCAAAAGTCCAAAGTCTCATTTGATACCCAAGGAAAGTTTCTTCCACCAATGAGCCTGTAATCAAGAACAAGTTCTTTACTTCTAAGATACAATGGTGATACAGGCACTGAATAAACATTTCCATTCCAAAAGGGAGAAATGAGCCAAAACAAAGGGGCAACAGGCCCCACACAAATCCAAAACCCATCAGGATAGACATTAAATCTTAAAGCTCCAAAACAATCTTTGACTACATGTCCTGCATCTTGGCACACTGATGCAAGGAGGGGGCTCCCAAGGCCTTGAGTGGCTCTGCCCTTGCAGCTTTTCCAGGCTGAGTTTGCAAACTGCCAGGGGTCTACTATTCTGGGGTCTTAGAAATTTCTTCTGCTAGATACCCTAGCTCATCAGTCTTAAGTTCTACCTTCCACAAGCCAAAGGACATGGAAACAATGCAGCAAATTCTTTGTTAGGGCATAACAAGAGTGACCTTTACACCAGTTCCCAGTAAATTTCTCATTTCCATCTGAGACTTCATTAGCCCATATTTTTATCAGCATTCAACTCACAATCACTAATTTAACAAGTCTGTAAAAAGTTCCAAACCTTCCCTCAACTTCCTGTATTCATCTGAGCCATCCAAACTCTTCCAACATCTACCCATTACCCAGTTCCAAAGCCACTTCCACATTTTCAAATATCTTTATAGCAACATCTCACTCTCAGTACCAATTTTCTGTGTTAGTCCATTTATGTTGCTATAAAGGTATACTTGAGGCAGGGTAAAGAAAAGAGCTTTATTTGGCTCACAGTTCTGCAAGCTGTACAAGCATGGCACCTGCATCTTCATCTAGTGAGGGCTTCAGGAAGCTTGCAGTCATGGTGGAAGGCAAAGGGGAGCCAGCGTGTCACATGGCAAAAAAGGGAGCAAGAGAGGAGGTGCCAGGCTCTTTTAAACAACCAGATCTCACATGAACTCAGAGTGAGAATTCACTCATTACTGCAAGGACAGCACCAAGCCATTCATGAGGGATCCACCCCCATGACCAAAACAGCCCCCACCAAGCCCCTCGTCCAACATTGGGGATCACATTTTAATATGAGATTTTTGAGGAGACACACATCCGAATCATATCAAGGTACATCTACCATATATTTTCCATTTTTGGTGAGCACATACCTACCACTCCTAGATAACTTCCTGCAGAGAAATGAAAACATATGTGCATACAAAGATTTGTATATAAATGTTTATAGTGGCTTTATCCACAATAGCCAAAATGCCAATGATCCAAGTGTCCATCACCAAGTAAACAGATAAGCAAGTTATGGCATACTCATACAAAAAAATATTGGGCTGCAATAGAAAGATTAATTTCCATAACATTATGCAAAGCAAAATAAGTCATACTAAAAGAAGAGCATATCCTAAATGATCCCATTTATGAGATGTTAGGAGACAATTCTGGCATTTATGCATGTCTTCTGAGTGAGGGGCATTGACAGCTTTGTTCAGCAAGGTTTGCAAAGCTGCTCCATGGCAGGGATCAGATTTGTTTACATTCTAGCATAATAAAGTTAGTCTTCTCTTCTCTTTCCAGAGATATTCCAGGGTTGTAAAGATAACACTCAATCTGAATCAAAGGACAAATTTGTTTCCTGACCAAGATGATCAAGATAATATCTGTCTCCACAGGGGAGGATGGACAGGTTTGCCAGCAGCCCCTGTATAATATTAGGGATCCTAGCCTCAGTGTTCCTATGTGTCATAGATCCACAATGTGTGCAGTATTAACCTGGGCCCACCTCCACATCACCCCATATGTCTTGAGGATCAAAGAGAATCAGTAAGAACACAAAGCTCAAGTTGCCTACTGTGTTGTAATAAACTGTCTAAATCTGTTTGGGATCATGTCTCCTCACTGGCCAAGACTATGGCAGAAGAGCAAGCTGGACTAGTACCAGAAGTAGTCACTGTTGCCTAGGAGCTGCTTGACTGCTTGATATATGAAACTCTAGAGAAAACCAATCTAATCTATAGTGATTCATAGTAGATTGATGGTTGCTTGGGACTAGGTGTGGGGAGGACTCACTGGAAAGGAGCTGAAGGAAATCTTTTTGGGGTGGTGCTACATTTGTCAAGGCTCACCCTACTATACACTTAAAATGTGTGACTTTTATTATATACAGTATACATCAATAATTTTTTTTTTTGAGACAGAGTCTCGCTCTGTCACGCAGGCTGGAGTGCAGTGGCATGATCTCAGCTCATTGCAACCTCCACCTACCAGGTTCAAGCGATTCTTCTGCCTCAGCCTCCCGCGTAGCTGGGACTACAGGCGCATGCCACCATGCCTGGCTAATTTTTTTGCATTTTTAGTAGAGACAGGTTTTCACCATATTGGGCAGGCTGGTCTTGAACTCCTGGCCTCGTGATCTGCCTGCCTTGGCCTCCCAAAGTGCTGGGATTACAGGCATGAGCCACCACGCCAGGCCAATAAAATTTATTTTTAAAATAAATTTTGGTCTCCATCATATGACTAGTATATGTCTGAGACACTGTGTAAATGATAAAAATAATGCACATGTCCAAGGTAATATTCCATTATGAAAAAAGTATTCGACTAAAGTTAATTTGTCGCCTTGGATAAGTGAGGTAACCTTTCTCTATCCAAATTATTTGGAAAGGTGAAGTGAAGGCTACATACTTCTTAAGTTTTGACTGAGTGAAAAAGCTGAGATTTAACATACCCACACTGAGTTCTTTGAAAAGGGTTTCATTTTAAAATTTTTTGACCAGGTGCAGTGGCTCACACTTATAATCCCAGCACTTTGGGAAGCTGAAGGGAGAGGATTGCTTGAGCCCAGGAGTTCAACAGCAGCCTGGGCAACAAAGCGAGACCCCATTTCACACTCACGAAAGAAAACAATTAGACAGGCACTGTGGTGCGTGCCTGTAGTCCCAGCTACTCAGGAGACTGAGGTAGGAGGATCACCAGGAGTCTGAGGCTGCACTGAGCCATGATTGCACCACAGCACTCCAGCCTGGGTGACAGAGCAAGACCCTGTCTCAAAAAAAAACAAAATTTTTTTTTTCTTTTTTTTGAGACAGAGTTTCACTCTTGTTCCCCAGGCTGGAGTGTAATTGCATGATCTCGGCTCACTGCAGCCTCCGCCTCCCAAGTTCAAGTGATTCTCCTGCCTCAGCCTCCCAAATAGCTGGGATTACAGGAGCCTGCCACCACGCCCGGCTTATTTTTTGTATTTTTAATAGAGATGGGGTTTCACCATATTGGTCAGGCTGATCTCCAACTCCTGACCTCAGGTGATCTATCTGCCTCAGCCTCCCAAAATGCTGGGATTACAGGCACGAGCCATTGCACCCGGCTAAAAAACGAAAATTTTATAGTTGCTGTATATGCTTTGAATTATGAGTTTACTTTCAAATAAAGGTGTTTCTGCTAGAACGTATCTGAAAATCCTCACTTTAAAAAGCTGAAAAAAAATTGGGGACAAACAACTCAAAATCTATGCAATGTTCTAATCTAAGCAACAGCAAAACAGTATCAATCCCAACAGAAAACACTACTCCACTAAAAAGACACTATAATCCTAAAAAATAAAGAAATGCTAAAATACATACAAGAATATCCCCAAAAGGTGAAGTTTTGATGATGAAAGGGGTGAAGGATTGAGCATTCTGTTTTATAAAGAGACAAGGTAAATGTTGACAGGTTGGAAAGAACCACACAATAAGTACTTCTAAGATAGAGCATGTGTCTAAACTAGAGAGGAGTATAACAGGATGCATGGACAATCTGTATAGCTCTGGATTCTCCCACAGTTCACTGTATTCAGCTCTATGAGAGTATTTTGCCTTCATTGCAATCTTGGATACAGGTACTATGTTGGGAAAAACCTACATAATCAATCAAACAATGTGACTTCCATTTTATACTGACACTATTCCCCAATTTACCATTTCAGTGTAAGCAAATTTGATTTACAGAAATATGCACATTAGTAGCAGAATAGACTGTCCTTTTCTTTAATATTTGAGATCCAAAGTCAGTTCCTTAAGAAAATCTTCCCTGACCTCTTGCCCAAGACTTGGGCAGGCCCCACCAGGCACACAACCTCATAGCTGTCTGTACTTTTCGTTTATAATATAACACAGTTTATAGTCTTATGAAATTATTTTCATATTGTCTGACTCCTTCACGGACTCTAAGAGGTATTTTCACTCACTACCATATGCCCAAGCACTGGCATAGTGCCTAGGCACATAGTAGGTGCCCAAGAAATACTGATTAACTGGAAGAATTAATTAATTAAATGTTATTATACCATTAAAGTATCCCCTTAATTGCTGTGCTATGGCTTTTATAAAATTAAAATTTATAATAACATTCTTTTTCCTTTTGCTACTGCTTTCTTTATTTTTAAAATAAGTGACAGAAAGGTTGGTTTGGGGACAGATACATCTGTTGGTGATAGGGACAAAGAACAGTAGGATAAAAGAAGACATGGGAAGAAAGATAATAAGCTTGGTGAATTAAAAAAAAAATTCTCACTGTGGCTACCAGATCTCTGTTAGTATAAAAGGTTATTAAGTGAACTGTTTAAATCAATATAATACCCCCCCTTACTTCACCTATCCAACCTATCTCAAAAAATGAATTTAAAATCTCATTGGAAATAACATTACTATAATTATTTGCTTCTATAAAATTCATTCAGTGATTTGACGTCTCCTTTATTTCCCATTGTAAATGGCCCTACAAGGTAATTTGTCTCACATTGATTAGACAATAATACATACACAACTTTACAATGAGTAGGGGGGAATGGAATCAATCATTCTTTATTTTTCCCCTCCAGAATAGTATGCCATCACCCTTTCCCCAAAATTCTACATATTAATGAGATTGAAATTATCATCAAAATTATAAACTAAGGCCCAGAGAAATTAAATGTTTTCTTGCCCGAGGCCATACAACAAATTTATGGAAGAGCTGGGGTTAGAATTCAGATTGTCTCTCAGTTCAGTGATACTGAGTTTTAGGACTCTTTTCTTCTCTTTGTAGGGATTTCTAAATGTCTTCCTGCTTTTTCTTCTTCTTAAACGAAGGCTTTGCTTTCTGAAAATCTACTATAAATCATGACAGCCATGTAATATCATGACAGATATGGAAATAAAATGCTTTGATTTTGCTATATTGCAGTTTGCCAGTGATTCCATCTGTGTATGAAAGGTGAAACACAGAAAACGCACACACAAATGAGCACACCAAAAAATAGGAATTATACCCAGAAAACCAAAAAGATGTTTTGAGCATATAACTTACAGCAACAACAAACCTAGGGCAAAGTGAGGCTTCTAAATCCAAAATTTTCTACCACTATTATCACCTTGTCAACTAGCGATATGGTTTGACTCTGTGTTCCCACCCAAATCTCACCTTGAATTGCAATAATCCCCACATGTCAAGGACGGGACCCAGCAGGAGGTAATTGAATCATGGGGGTGGTTCCCCCATGCTGTTCTCATAATAGTGAGTGAGTTCTCACGAGATCTTGTGGTTTTATAAGGGGCTTTCTTCATTTTGCTCAGCACTTCTCTTTATTGTTGCCATTTGAAGAAGGACATGTTTGCTTCCCCTCCCATCATGATTGTAAGTTTCCTGAGGCCTCCCCAGGCCTCCAGAACTGTGACTCAATTAAACCTCTTTCCTTTATAAATTATCCAGTCATGGGCAGTTCTTTGCAGCAGCATGAGAACAAACTGATACAACTAGTGATCATTTTTATTGCCCTCAGATGTGCTTAAGGTTTGGCAACGTCTGTGTTTTGCCAGGCATTTGACAAATTGGAACCAAGGAACCACTACCAGTTCAGGTGGGCTCCAATGTAAATTTCCAAATTGAAAGTCCCAAAGTAACATAAACTCAGAACCGCAATTTAAGGGCTCCTCTACCAAGCAAGCTAGATGGAACCTTAGACCCCGAGTAAATTATAACCTTCTTTTCAGAGATGTATGCTCCAATGCATCCTGGCAATATAGTGATGAAAAGCAAAGAATGCATTTTAAAGGAGAGAACTTACTTAGGAGGCATGATGTGTGGTGGTGAAGAGCACAAACCTTGGAGACACAAACTCTGTTTGTATTCAAATTCCAACTCTACTTCCCACTGGCTGCTGTCCTTGGGCAGAAGTTATTTAACATCTCTGAGTTTTAATAATGTCCCCTATTCAAGTGGTGGGTGCACTGAAAGCCCACACTTCACCACTATGCAATGTATGCATGTAACACAACGGCACTTATCCCCTAAACCTATAGAACAAACAAACAAACAAAAAACACAGCTATGAGATGAAGGTATTGATAGCACTTACATCAAGTACTTACATCATAGAATAGTTGTAAGGATTAAATTAATTGATATTTATAGAGCACTTAGAGTAAAACCTGGGACCTCTAAGTACTATGCATGTGTTTGCTAATAAAGAAAATGATCTCCCTGGTAGCATTTGGGGACTTCTTTTTTTTTTTTTTTTTTTTTTTTTTGAGATGGAGTTTCGCTCTTGTTGCCCAGGCTGGAGTGAAATGGTGCAATCTTGGCTCACTGCAACCTCTGCCTCCCGGGTTCAAGGGATTCTCCTGCCTCAGCCTCCTAAATAGCTGGAATTACAGGCGCCCACCACCATGTCTGGCTAATTTTTTTTATTTTTTTTTTAATTAGAGACTGGGTTTCACCATGTTGGCCAGGCTGGTCTAAAAACTCCTGACCTCAGGTGATCCACCTGCCTTGGCCTCCCAAAGTGCTGGGATTACATGCGTGAGCCACCTTGCCTAGCCCAGGGGACTTTTTTCAAGGAAGTTCTTTCTCCATAGTTCCTAAAGTACCATACATGAGATTGTTTTCTCCCACTTGTAAGACAGTTTGGAGAAAGTGCTCCTTTGTTCCACTTCAATGTGTAAATAAATGGAAGCCTAACAGTTAAAGCTGAGAGGCTGCCACTTTGCAGTTAGCCCCTGAGGTCAACACTAATCTCTTAAGGAAAAATGAAATAATCAAAGAAAAATACAAACCAGAAATAACAAAGTCTGTATGCAAGACATAACTTGAGACCTTGATCACGGCACTGATACTGATTAGTAATCAGGGCATTTGCTGGTGTCTCTCGTTCTTTCAGACATACTTTCAATAGGCCGAGTGTGGTGGCTCATGCCTGTAATCCCAGCATTTTGGGAGGCTGAGGTGGGCAGATTGTTTGAGGCCAGGAGTTTGAGACCAGCCTGGCCAATATGGCGAAACCCCATCTCTGCTAAAATTATGAAAATTAGCTGGGCCTGGTGGTGCATGCCTGTAATCCTAGCTATGTCAGGAAGCTGAGGCACGAGAACTGCTTGAACCCAGGTGGCAGAAGTTGCAATGAGCCACGATCACGCCACTGCACTCCAACCTGGGCGGGAGAGTAGGACTCTGTCTCAAAAAATAAATAAAAAAGATATACTTTCAATAAAAAGTAGGTTGTTAATTGTTGCTTCACAGATAACTGAGCTAATTCTAAGTGGGCAGTCCAAATGTTCCTACAAGACAGGTCAAGGGGGATTGACACATAGTGAACATTTAATGGATAAATAATAATAGCAAATACATATTTTGCATAAACCTTGTGTCAAGCATTTTTCTAAGTGCTCTACAGTAATTCTATAAGGTTATAACTGATTTTGTCTCCACTTTAAAGAGGAGGAGTATGAAGCACATAGGTTTACTAGATTTTCTAAGGTCACACAGTGAGCAAGTGTTGGAGCTGGGATTCAGACTGGGATTCTGTCTAGCTCCAGAGTCTATGCACTGAGCAATTAGGCCATGAATAAATTTAAGATGCAATTCAGAAGGACAAAGTGGCAGCCAAGAGAGTATGCTGCTTGGGTCTCCATTCAGCTGCAAGGAGTTCAACAGCTTCAGCCTTTATCTGTGCCTTCAGAATCTGCAAATTTTGAACTGAGGCCATGTTCTTCTTGGTCAGTTTCCCACCAATGATTATATGAGGAAGCCTGCTAAAAGCAGGACATCTCTAACAGGAGTCTTCACTCTGGAGCTCCTTGTTGGCTTGGCAGAGACCATCAGAGGGGCACAGCGGCCCCAGGCTCTCCCCACGTGATCCTGCTCCATCTCCCCTTTCCTTCCACAGGAGACAGATCAGCATTGCAGTCTGAAGGCTTCTCCTGTTCAATAATGCTTCCTTGCCATTTTTGCTTTCACAGATGTCACCCCCTCCTCCAAGAAACTTCTTGCACTGCCATCTCTTCTCAGCATCTACTTCTCAGAGGAAGTATCTGGTATTCCCAGTCAAGTATCTGGCTGAGATCTCACCAGTAAGAAAAGAATATGAAACTTCAGTAACAAAAATCTGAGCTGCAGGAGATAAGTCCAGACATGTCAGAGAGAATTGCTTAGTCAAGGGCAAGCAAGACACTAGCTGCCTCACTGTAGCATTAAACCTTTTGTGTCACATTGCTTTGCCACTCTGCTGACGAAGTCTTCATCTTCACTCAGGTACTGATATTAATCTTATGCTAGAATACCTGCTTTCCTTTTGTCATTTTCAACACAGTAAGAGGATGAAATCTGACTTAATTGTATAATACTGACATTTTGGCAGATGCAAATGCTTCCTACTCCCCCAGTTTTACCTGGAAGAGAATATAAAGCCTCATGCCCCATGCGACTCCATGACTGAGCTGACTTCTTCCCATTTAAAAGGCAGACAAAGCCCAGTGTGGTGGCTCACGCCTGTAATTCTAGCACTTTGAGAGGCTGAGGCAGGTGGATCGTTTGAGCTCAGGAGTTCGAGACCAGCCTGGACAACATGGTGAAACCCCATCTCTACTAAAAATACAAACTGAGGTGGGAGGATCACCTGAGCCTGGGGAGGTCAAGGCTGCAGTGAGCTGTGATCGCACCGCTGCACTCCAGCCTGGGGGACAGAGTGACACCCCATCTCAAAACAAGTAAAAAATAAAAGGCAGACAAGTGGGATTTTCACTAATCTTTTATGTTCAGGCAAAACTAGATGCTTTCTTAATTGACTTCCTCAGTAAAAATTATAAAATCATATGGTAGGAAGGAGAGAAAGATGAAAACAAGTCCAGGTTTCTCTACATGGATTTAGCCTCCTAGAAATAAAGACAGATGGCACATTATGGTCAAGTCAAAAGGCAGGAGATTGCTTATAATTTTTTTAACTTGTACGAATAAGTATTGTAGAAGCCATTAGGCAGATATACTGTAGAAGTATTTATACAGTAGATAAGCACACCACTATGTACAATAGTTGCATTAGTTAGGGCTATTTGTTTGTAAGCAATAGATAGCACTCTTTAACTATCTTAAAATAAATGTATCAGAAGGATGTGAGGTTCACAGAGGCAATGAAAGGCTAGAACCAGGAACAACAACAATGGCTTGTAGCAAGAACAGTATGATCAAGGAGCCCTGCTAGGATGGGATGGGAATCCAATTATTGTCAACATCATTGTTCTTCTGCTCAATATTTGAATTCCAAGGAGGGAACAGCAGATTGGCTTAGCTTGTATCATTTCCAACCACTGGGGAGGAGTAAACAGGACCCCTGATTATAGTCCCAACTGATGATACCCAGTGGGAAAGAGAAAATTCCTTAAAAGGAAGTCAGATAAGAAGGAAGGAAGGAAGGAAGGAAGGAAGGAAGGAAGGAAGGAAGGAAGGAAGGAAGGAAGGGAGGGAAGTGGGGAGGGAAGTGGGGAGGGAAGTGGGGAGGGAGGGAAGGAGATGGGGAGGGAGGGAGAGAGGGAGGAAGGGAGGAGGGAGGAAAAATGACTGTTGGACAGCCAAATAACTTCAGCTATTTAATAGTTTAGGTTACATTTCCCAATTTTTTTTTTTTTTTTTGAGATGGAGTCTTGCTCTGTCACCCAGGCTGGAGTGCAGTGTCGTAATCTCAGCTCATTGCAACCTCCACCTCCTGGGTTCAAGCGATTCTTCTGCCTTAGCCTTCCACGTAGCTGGGACTACAGGCGTGTGCCACCACATCTGGCTAATTTTTGTATTTTTAGTAGAGACTGGGTTTCACAATGTTGGCCAGGCTGGTCTTGAACTCCTGACCTCAGGTGATCTGCCCACCTCAGCCTCCCAAAGTGCTGGGATTACAGGGGTGAGCCACCATGCCTGGCCTCCCAATTATTACTAGTAAGCAAATTCAGTAAGATGCATATGATTTCTCCATGTGCCTCTCTCTATCTGCCCCTCTCAAGGCTAATCAGCCTTTGACAGAAGGCATACAACTGGAATAAAAACTTTCTTAGTACTATTGAATCAGTTCTTTGAAAGAGATATAGATAAACCAGAGTAACTTTTGAAGACGGGACCAGTACGGTGAGAGAATCTAAACATCATAATATCTAAAGAAGAGCTTAAGAAACTAAGAATATGTAATCAGAAGGAAAAAGTCTCAGAAGGCATAGAAAGTACAGATTAGCTGCTGTCACATGTTTGTCGTGTTTTGATGACCTTAGAGTTACCATCTTCCCAAATTGTTGATTTGGAACCTATGGGATTCAGAACCAATGGACAGATTCAGAAAAAAAATGAGAGAGGGTTGGCTCTGTCTTCACTGGGTATCAAATGCTGAATTGATTCCTGTTGGAAAGAAATAAAACAATATGGGAAAACTAAGAGGCAGTGTTAGCAAATTGTATCAAAAGAGAATTGAGCTAGATATGACAATGGCAACAATAATGGCTTTATTTTGAACACATAATACTAGGCACTATGTCATACTTTTAAAATATCACTGCCTCTCAAACCTTCTCACTCTAGGATCCTTAATGACAGAAGAAAAAGAATTATTACTTCCAGATCCCTGGAGACAAAAGAATTCATGGCAACAGTAAGATTGTTGGGAGTTCTTAGATTTTACATTAAAAAATCATGACACTTTTAAATTCTGCTTCATAAGACAGTAGTGTTTATTTTAGTTTTTATATTTATCTGCCTTTTGAGATAGACAGATATAGATAGGATATAGATATAGATTCTTAAAAAATATAGATAGGGTCTCGCTCTGTTGCCCAGGCTTGAGTGCAGTGGCACAATCATGATTTGCTGAAGCCTCAAACTTCTGGCCTCAAGCAATTTTCCCACCTCAGCTTCCTGAGTAGCTGGGAGGGCGGGTGGCGCATACCACCACACCTGGCTAATTTTTTAATTTTTTTGTGTTTTGAGACAGTTTCTTGCTTTGTTCCCCAAGCTGGTCTCAAACTCCTGGCTTTAAGCAATCCTCCGGCCTCAGCCTCTCAAAGTTCTGGGATTACAGGCATTGAGTATCATTTCCGACCCTTGAGGAGGTGTAAACATGACCCCTGATTATAGTCAGGGGTGGTGGCATGCACCTGTAGTCCCAGCTACTAAGGAAGCTGAGGTGGGAGGATCACTTGAGCCCAGGAGTTTGAGGCTTCAGTGAACCATGATTGTGCCATGGCATTCCATAAATAAATACAAATATATATGTATATATATTTTTTATTATATATCATATTTTGTAATATATAAATATACATTTATATTTACATAAAATTTTTTGAAACTCTGGGACCTGCCCTTCAAGAGCTGTATTTATCATATAACTTGTTTGAGGGGGCCTCTTGAAGCACCATTGCATAACTCTGTGGGTATACATACTCCAGTTCCTGAATGACAGCCAAATATTTAGGAAGAGGGTGTTTTTAATATAGTACTCTTCGAATAATATAGAACTCTTTGAAGATAGAAACTTGTACACAGAGTGACTACTAGGTTCCCAAGGATGATTTCAAACCAAGGATGATTTCAAAATCAATTGGATTTAAGTCTACTCCTTCAATTTCCCCAGCAGAGGCACCTCTATCCCTCAGAATTATCCCAACTCCTAGGATGTGAGGAGTGAACACTCAACTGCTATAGGGTAGGGCAAAAGGTAGCAAAAGGTCAAGGACAGGTAGATGCTTTAAATAGACAACCATTTAAATGTCTATCCAAATGGACAACCCAACAGATAGAAGAAATTAACTAGTTCGCTGCTGAATTAAATAAGCTCTAAGTCCTAAGCTCTATGTCTCCTATTCCTACAGTAGACACTAATATATTCAATGTACTTTTGTCAGTGAGCCTGGCAAAAATATGGCACTTATTAAATTATTCAGTTTTGAGCTGGAAGAAATCTTAAGGCTAATTTAGTGCAGCCTCCCTCATTCTACAGTTGAAAGAACTGAATCTCTATAAACGTAAGTTGCTTGCTGAAGATAACATGGATTTAGAACTGGGCTGGACCCTTTTATTCCCAATTGAATGTTCTTTTTACAGTGACAAGGCAAGCTGTCATGGAAAGAGAAGCTTTAAAATGGTACACACAAGTGCATCACTTTTCTGGCCTTGTGACCTTGGGCAAGTTTCTAATCCCTTTGAGCACCAGTTGTCTCATCTGTAGAGTGCGAATGATCATAATCTTCAATGGATTCTTCCAGGGACTTAAAGAAGTAATGCTTGCAAAGGAACTAGCACAATGCCCAGCATATGGAATTTGCCTATGAAAATACTTTTGTTCTCCAATTTCCAGCCCTTCTTGTTGGGTTGTTTGCCAAGTCCTCCTGCTGATACTGCACCCATGGTATTAGGAACAAGAGTGGACTTTCCCCTCCTCTTTATAAATTATACAACAGAGAAAGGGGGAGGGGAATGCAGTGAAATATTAACAGTTGAGGAACTGGATGAGAGGAGCCTGGGAGATCTTTGTACTTGCAAATGTTCTGTTTAAGCTTGAAACCATTTCAAAATGAATTATTTTTCCATGGAAAAATAAAATGGACACCTCCACATGTTGCTTTCTTCCATTCCAAAGCCCAATTGCATAGCAACTGGACTGAGGTTTTCAACCCCAACGTGTAATGTAAACTACATATTAGTAAGCTCACCCTTCCAATCCTCTGTTCTAGAGGAAGTAGGGCTTGTGATTCCCCTTTCATTTGTTGAACACATAACACAAAGAGGAACTGTTCTCAGGCTCAAGTCACGGGCTGGAACTCAGAAGTGCTTTGGTTTAAATGATGAATGCATGGTCACCCATGTTTAACCACCAATTGAGAGGAGGTCACATGCTAAATCAGAAAAGTCCCAATGAAGGGGAAAGTAATTGAGAGTCTTTTGTACCCAAAATAGTACAAATAGGTTCCAGCTGAGAAGGAACTCAAATTAGTTTTCCTTTCACAGAGCTTTAATGCTGTATTTTTCAACATGATTTGGAAGACACCTATACCAACAAGTGTTATCATATACACATTCTTCTTTATCTGATAAAGCACCAAGATCCTGGTCAAACCATAAGTTTGGTAAGCAGAAATGGCCCCTACCTACATTGTCTTTAACTACACGGAAAGCCCTTCATGTTTTGAGGTGTAAATAATCTGTAGACAGTTTCTACAAGGAAAAGAGGAATAATAATAATATTGTCTTAACAAGGATCTTTTCAGATCAGAGTAGAAATGCTAGCATAAATCCAAAGCAACTTACCCTCACCTAAATCTCAGCATAAAACTCATTCATTCACTCGCTTATTTAGTATTTCTTGAATTCCTCTTCATTGCCATTTACGCTAGATGGTGATTAGGGGATATTATGGAGAGTAAACCAGATGTGGTCTCTGCTTTCACTGACCACAACCTAGTGGGGAAGACAGGCATGAACAAGAAATCATAATGAGTGGTATGAGTTCTCAGGCAGATGATGTGGGGAAACACACAGGAGGGGCACTCAGCTCAGTCTAGTGGGGCAGGGGGGCTTCCCAGAGGTAGTTACATCAAAGCTGAGATCCAACGTTCAAGTTAGAAGTAATCAGCCAAGAATGTTTCCCAAGCAGAAGAATGACATGTGTCATTATCTGAAGATTAGAAATCCCAAAAGGCTGAAGTGTGGAGTGCAGGAAGGTTGAGGTAAGGAGGAAAAATGAGACCAGGAGGAGGTTTCACATGGCACATGTTGAATGTTAAACAGCACATACTCCCTCCGAGGGAAGACCTTTACCATGGAGTTTGCAGGGCTGTTTCCCTGGCCTTCTTTCTGAGACCCAATTTTCCCTTGGGAGATAAGATGACCTGGGTAAAGTGGACTTTGGACAAATGTGTTCTGTAGGCATGTTTTCTTTTGTGTCTTCTCTCTCCCTTATTCCAGTCCCTTTCTTCAATTCTGGTGTTATAGCAGAAATAATTAACATTTATGGTATGTGCCTGGTACCACCAACTCTCAAAATAACCCTAAGGGATATTATTATTATTCCTATTTTACGATAAGCAAACTTGGGCTCATGTACTAACTTTCCCAAGGTCATAGTACTAATAAATGGCAGCACTGATATGAGAACCCAGTGTTACCTGAATTCAAAGCTCATCCTCCTAATTATCCTGGTACCCAACCTCAAGTCATGTAGTTGGCATCCCATTCCCTGCAAAGCCTTTCTCTCAGTTATCTATCAGCTAGTTAATTAAATGAAGTCATTATGGGCTGGGCACACAAAAGATATTCAAAGTGCTGATGACTGCAGTATCAACTGATAGAGTTAGCTACATTAACCATGGTGTTTAAATAGGGACTTCTCTAAGACTAAAAATACCTTTAGGGCTGAAAGCCATGAAACTCTTCCTATGAGAAGATGAGTGGCGTTGATAGATGGAGTTGTAACCATGGCAGCCCCTTAAGTCATACCATGGAAACAACTGAGTGCTTTCCTGCTTGTTGCTATACTACTTGCTCTTAGGTGATGCATCTGAGGTCTTAACAGAAACCCATCCCACACCACCCCTTTCTTCCCCTGTCACATGAATCAGAGTGTTACACAGAGGAGAAAAATTAGGCCCTTTCCTAAACTGCACCTATAATAGCAACTACAGAAGTAGGAATTTCCACCACGGTCAAAAGGGAAATTTAGAACACTCTCATGCCAAAAATGTTCTTCCTACTCTGCAATCCATGGAACGTATATATTTTTTAAACCAACAATATGACTAGCTGTGTGTTCTTGGAAAAAAAAAAATTCACCTTTTGGAACCTATTTTCTTTTTTCTATTTTTTTAAAGCTTCAGAAAAATTATCTCTAAAGATCACTCCAGGTAAACAACTCTAAGAAACAAGCTGCATCGAAGAATTTTCTCAGGTGGTATCTTAATGCATCTAGATACAGCGTGAAGTTGAAAGGGACTTGAGGGACCTTCTAAGCTAACCCTGCTAGACTGCTTCACTAATCTTTGCTTTCCTTATCTCTAGCATAAAAAAATACTCAAATGTTTGCTATTGTTGAGCGACCCCCTAATCTGATGTGAGAACCCCATATGATATCATCTCTCACACATGGCCACTGTCCATTGCGTGTTCATTATACACCTCGAAGGCTGAGAAGCTCACTAATTCTGGAGACAACTCATTTATTTTTCGGGCATCTATAACTGCTATTGACTTGTCTTTAGAGTGAGCCAAAATCCACTTCCTGTCATTGTACTCTTCAGAGAAAAACACTCTGGACCACATGAGAGGTGGCCCAGACAAAGGACAAAGCTGCATGGGCTTTAATAAGCCATAAAGTTATGAGGGCCCTTAAAGGTCATCTTTGAGCTTCCTTTCCACTGGATGTGTAAAAAATAATCTATGCGAGGAGAAAAGACAAAAATACTGACCTTGTGAACAAAAGGAAATGGGGTGAAAGCGAACCAGGCCTCCCTGTGAACAGGGAGCGTGTTCATGCTTTTTTATAAATAAAGGATGAGAGGGGCCCAATCCAAACTATAAATGACCCACAGGTTCTTCTAGTCATGAAAGAGAGAATGTGAGAAACTCAAATGAATCACTTTCTTAATTCAGGCTACTAGGCAGACATGACAGTGAAAAATGTGTCCCAGGAGAAAGGGTCGTGCCTATTAAGACAAGTGTAGTGTCGTTTCAAACACAACTTCCCTGCACTCTGATAAAAAGCCTTGCTGGGCTGCTCAGTCTCTAGAGAAAGCGCCCCATTCACTGCCTCACACCCTGGGAGAAGGAGTAGAGGCCACTTCTGAAAAGACAAGTTGTTAAGTAAAGTGCAATAGAGACGGGCCACCTGCCAAGGGTCAAGGGTGGGATTTAGGGGCATTCTCTTGTGGATCCCTTTTTGTCCTGTGAGGGCATAAAATAGTTTGGGTTGTACAGAAGGAATGAAGTTTCATGGAGAGAAGAGAGTAAGGCTTCCCCTCTGATTAGCTGCAAACTTGAGCAAGATCCTTAACCTCTCTGTAGTTTAGTGCGCCAGTCTCTGACCAAAAGGTGGAAGCGTGCCACACAGGCCTTCTGTTGGGGTCTCGCATTTACTTATATTATTTCCTCTGTTATGGGTGCTCTGATTCCCAAATTCTAAGAAGGAAATATGTAAACTTCCCTACCCCAATCATCTCCCCTAGCAAATGGCCATGGGAATGGTCAACACTGCTGAGGAGCTGCTGGGAACCCCACATTTGTTGAAGTCCCGTTCTAGGTTCTTTCATTGTTCTGAGCCAAAACCTGATCCAGAGCTACCAAGGAGTGACTTTTTTTCCAGGATTATGAGTCACTCACAAAGTACCAACTCCCCCCTCCCCAGGACCCTTGGAGCTTCCTAAAAAAGCCCAAAGCCATGGCTCATGTTCTCCATATTTTAGGGTAACCTTACCCAGAGTCTACACTGAACCTGATATGAAAACCTAATAAGAGTTCCCAGGAGCCTTAGAGGCAGACTGTAGATCAGTGTACTATGGGGTCTAAACTTGGCCACTGAACAAGCACACTTAGCTTATTAGAGTGAGAGGGTGGGCAGACACTGCTGCTAACTATCCTAAATCTCAAATCAAAGATTTTTCATGATACCTTTCTTAATTTCAGTCATGCCAACAGGGACCAAAAGTAATATTTGGGTGAAACAAGACAACCGTTTAGTTTGTGGCCAATGATCCCATCTTTTCCCCACCCTCCTTCAGGTGATTCACCAGGAAAACATCAAAAGGACTTCCCCTCTCACCCACAGCAACCTAAAGGGTCTATGAGTGGGACTTACAAGGACCTTGCTGCTGTCTGGATTGATGACACTAGGCAGACTGGATACATGGGTGTTCATCTGTCACTCAAAATTGGCTGGACTCTCAGCGATAGTAGCAAGGTATTTTAGCTTTTATAAACCTGTTTTGATCATTGTCAAATCTTCCAACTATGTTAGATCTTAGGATTTGCTTTTAGAGCCAGAGAATGAACAAACAATGTTCATAAGAGACTTTCCAACTTTAAATGCTACAATGTTGTGAATGTGACTATGATAAATTTTTTAAAAATTCTTCCTGTAATACAGGCCTCAGAAAGAAACTACTTCTTTCCTTCCTGAATGTTGGTATTCACATTAGTTTTTGTACACCACATGGTCTATAGCTCTGTCTCATTGCTAGTAGAACTATCAATGACAACTCACTTGCCCTAAGCACCTACACGTTGTTAAGAATGTATTAATTACAGTAACAGAAAACAACTCCTTCCTTGTGGCTTTCATGAATTACACAAACTGTGTTTTAATTTTTCTGATTTTTCAAATAAGTTCAACCATGTGCTACACCACTAAAGTTACTTAATAATGTTTTAAGTCTAATTCTGTAAAGACATTATTATTCAACATTCTTGGTCAAGTATTCCAAAGGCCCTGATGTATTGCAAAGTATACCCTTAAAAGAGTTATTATTTTTTCCACTTTTGTGTATAATTTTCCCACTAACCTGCACTTCACCTGTTTTTTTCTTACTTTTCCATTCATTCTCTCGTCTTTGATTCGTGCTCTATTTTGTGCCTTTCTGTTCCTTTTACAATATTCTTATCTTTTCTTTGTTTCTGATAGTTTCAGCTCCATTCCATTCATCAGCATTTTCGTATTCTTCTTCACTGACATCTGCTGCTATGGGTTTCTGTTTTTGTTCTCTGGATTCAATGCACGGCTTCCCTTCCATTTTCCTCCCTCTCTGTCCTCCATGCCTGAGAGCTTCTTTGTCTTTTTGTGCTGCTGATCGGACTCTGGACAGCCTTTGAGAAGGCTGTAAGGAGTTGGCATTCTGGCCACAGCTAATGACGATCCAACAGCTATTTAAGCAGCAGGCAACTTACAATATTCAAGCAAGAAAGAAAAGCACAGACAGCACACTCAGCCACATACTTTTCAGAAATATCAGTGTTCTACAAACGCAGTGGAGGCTGGCTCTATTTAGTGTTCAAATTGGCTTGCCTCATTCAACAAATAGATCTTATGCTCAGCCTCTGGGAGTGAGTGCTGAAGACCTTTTCCCTTCTAATGGAGATTGGATTTTGTTTGTGCTGTGGTGTTTTGTTCCTGTTTCCTTGTATGCATCTATTTACCAAGGAAGTAATTTCACTTCTTTGTGCTTTGCTTTGCCCACCTGACTTGCTGGGAGGTTTTCTGGTGCTTATTTCATCTCCCATAGTGGAGACAATGCTTTATGCCTGCCTAGGTGGCACCACCATGAAAGGGGGCATGCCAGATATGGGGGTCACAAACACAGTTTGGCAACATGGTCTCATGGGGCATTTCCCAAACTGCATTACCCTATCAATCAGCATGTGTTTCTGAGCACTTTATAGTTCTCTGTTAGATTTTGAAGGTGGTACAGAGATTTATTAAGCATGTTCACTGCCCTCCTGAAGGCAGCAAGCTAGCTGTGGAGACAAGACTAATGCACACCAAAGAGATAAAGTCCCCAAGCAAAGCTCCATGTGTGATTAAATGCCACAGTGAGGGAGACAGATTGGAAGAGCAGCTGGAATTGAGATAAAGACAAAATCAGTGTTGACTGGGACAAATAGAGAGAGCCCCTGCTTTGATGTGGGCCAAGAATGTGGGTAGCATTAGAGAGCAAGCCCAGGAGGTGCAGAGGGTTCCAGGCCACGATTGTGACACATGTCACTCTACCTGTTGGGCTGCCCCAGGTCTCTTCCCCATCCAAATTCTTTCCCATGGCTTTAATACTGTCTAATAGGCCAATGATTCTTAAATGTATGACTCAAGCCAGGATCTCTCTGAGTTCCAGACTTGCACACCTATTGTTTACTTGATCTTTCCAATTGGTCATGACATAAGCATTTTCAACTTAACATGACCAAATCAAAATTATTTTTTTCTTCTCCAAAACCCACTCCTCTTAAAGTCTTTCTCATATAATTAAATGACACCGCAAGTTACCAGTTGCTTAGCCTGAGAATCTAGGAGTCATTCTTAATTCCATTTTTTTTTTTTTTTTTTTTCGAGACAGAGTCTCTGTCACCCAGGCTGGAGTGCAGCGGCGCCATCTGAGCTCACTGCAACTTCCACCTCCCGTGTTCAAGTGATTCTCCTGCCTCAGCCTCCCAAGTAGCTGAGATTACAGGCATGTTACAGGCACCACACCTGGCTAATTTTTGTATTTTTAATAGAGACAAGTTTTCGCCATATTGGCCAGCCTGCTCTCAAAGTCCTGACCCCAAGTGGTCCACCCACCTTGGCCCCCCAAAGTGCTGGGATTACAGGCCTGAGCCACTGTGCCCAGCCCATTCTTGATTCTTCTTGTTCCCTTACATCCACATTTAGTTAGGAAGTTCTGCTGTTCAACTCTAACATATTGCACACATCCTGCCAGTCCCTACTATCTCCATTGCTATAACTCTAACCCAAATGACCATTATCTCTCGTAAACTACTATGATGACCTCCCACTAGTAGGCCCAACTCCACTGTTGTCCCTCTATGTGCCGTTACCCACACAGTAGTCAGAACCATCTTTCTAAAGTGAAAATCAGGGCATTTGCTCTCTGGGTGAAAGTTCTTCAGTGGCTTTTCATTCCAGTAGAATAAAATCCAACTCCTTACCATGGCCCTGCATGATCTAACTCCTGCTTCCTTCTCTGACCTCATCTCTCCCCACACAGCTCCAGTCACACAGGCCTTCTTTCACTCCTTCAAACATCCCAAGTTCACTCTAGCCCTGGCCTCTGCACCAGCTGTTGCCTCCGCCTGAAAAGTGTGTGACTCCCATTTCTTTATTCTCTTCAGCTGGAATATCTCCTCTACAAAAATAAAAAGATCACTCTCTATCCAATGGCTGTGTTTTATTTTCCTCCCAAGATTTATCTAAAATTGGCCAGCATGGTGGCTTATGCATGTAATCCCAGCACTTTGGGAGGCCGAGGCGGGTGGATCACCTGAGGTCAGGAGTTCAAGACCAGCCTGGCCAACATGGTGAAATACAAAAATTAGCCAGGTGTGGTGGTGTGCACCTGTAATCCCAGCTACTTAGGAGGCTGAGCCAGGAGAATCGCTTGAACCCGGGAGGCGGAGGTTGCAGTGAGCCGGGATCGCACCACTGCACTCCACCCTGGGTGACAGAGCAAGACTCTATCTCCAAAAAAAAAAAAGACTTATCTAAAATTACTCTAGATATTTATTTGTTTTTGAGTTTGCTCTCTGTCACTTCCCTGAGGATAAAATCCATGAGTACAAGTATTGTGTTCATTGCACTGTTTCTCCAGTGTGTAGAATAATGCTAATGAGTGCTCAATAAATGATTGTTTAATGAAACAAGCTGACGTGGAACGAGTCCCTATAGGGATGGGAGGAAAATACAGTCTGAATGGGAGCGTGCAAACTTGGCAGGAGGACAGAACTCAGGGATGAGGTGGAGATCACAGGATACATCTCATGCATAGACACTGCTCTCATCTCATCTAGGCAATTTGGGTTTTAGACTTTGGAGAAGCCCTCAGAGAGAAGAAATCAAATAACAACGTATATGCCAGTATTTCTGTGTACATACTGAGGGCACGAGGCAGACTATCCCATTGGCAGGAGAAGGTTACTGTTAACAGCAGTTTGACAGGAAGATGGTTGGAGCCTAAAGCAGAAGTGCCTCCTGTGTGCCAGATCTTTTCCCTAAGCACTTTGCATTCATTAGCTTATTTCATCCTTACAACAATTTCACTCTAAAATAGGTATTATTATTATCATTTTATAGATTAGAAAAATCAAGGCTCAGAAAGGAGGTTATGGAGTGATATTTTGGCAGCATGTAAATAACCAATTCCTTTCGCCTCATGCAATGGTTTGTAACCTGGCGCTCATTAGAAATCACTGGGAGCTCCTGAATATCTTGATGCCCAGAAACCATTTCAGACCAATTTCATCAGACTCTCTGGTGGTAGGATATAGGTGTCAATAGTTTGCAAAGCTTCTCAGTAATTGCAGTGAGCAGCCAACCTTCACAACCACTGATCTAATGGGTTTTGTGACCACTGATGATTCTGCTTGATCCATGCCTCCATTTTTTAAATTAGGGGTTGAAAATTAGTGATATGCTAACCCTGTAATTATTTCTGCCTGTATTAAAAAAAAAAAAAAGAGCTTTCCCTCATCAGTTGGGTTACCTGACTGTTCTGAAATACAATTCTACTGAAAAGGCAGGACAAATTCTTAATTCTTTTCTCATATTTTTTTTTTTTTTGAGATGGAGTTTTCATCTTGTTGCCCAAGCTGGAGTAAAATGGCATGATCTTGGCTCACTGCAACCTCCGCCTCCCAGGTTCAAGGGATTCTCCCGCCTCAGCCTCCTGAGTAGCTGGGATTACAGGTGCATACCACCACGCCTGGCTAATTTTTTGTATTTTTAGTAGAGATGGGGTTTCACCATATTGGCCAGGCTGGTCTCGAACTCCTGACCTCAGGTGATCCACCCACCTCAGCCACCCAAAGTGCTGGGATTACAGGTGTAAGCCACCGCACCTGGCCTCTCATATACTTCTTATTCCATGCGGGAAACCCACATGGTTACACTAGTCAGATGTCAAAGAGGCTAATAGAAGGGGAGCCCACCAGGATTCTGACTCTCAAAACCCTCATTCAAAAATTATCTTGTGTATAATCTTTGATACCCTCGCTGTGTGATTATCTGGGCTGATTTTCTGTTTGGTCTCCGTATTAGTTTCCCATGGCCACTGGAACAAATTAACACAAACTTGGAGGCTTAAAACAACAGAAAATTTCTCTTCTCACAGTTCTGGAGGCAGGAAGCCTGAAATCAGTTTCAGTGGATTGAAATAAAGGTGTCAGCAGGGCCATGCTTCCTCCAAGTTCTAGCAGAGATATTCCAGCATCTGGTGCTTGCTGGCATTCCTTGACTTGTGGTTGTGCCCATCCAGTCTCTGTCTCTGTGGTCACATTGCCTCTTCTGGGTGTGTCAAATCTCCTTTGGGCTCTCTCTTATAAAACACCTGTGATTGCATTTAGGGCAAATCTGGGATAATTTAGGATCATCTCCTCATCTCAAAATATTTAGCTCAATCACATCTGCAAAAGGCATTCCCCCCCACCCCCCACCCTCTGTTAGTTAAGAGGTTCCAGAGATAAGGAGGTGGATCTCCTTGGGAAGCCATTTTTCAACCTACCATAGTGTGACAGTTAATTTAATGCTGACACACTTCCCTGGGCCACAGGGGGCTTAGAGATTTGGTCAAACGTGATTCTGGGTATTTCTGTGAGGGAGGTTTTGGATGAGATTAACATTTAAGTCGGTGGACTGGGTAAAGCAGATTGCCCTACATAATGTGGGTGGGGTTTATGCAATCAGTTGAAGGTCTGAGTAGAACAACTGACCCTCTTCCTAAGAGCATTTTCCTGCCTGATGGCCTTCAAACTGGAACATCTTCCTGCCACCTACCAGCCTTCAGACTCCAACTGGGACATCAGCTCCGAAGATTTTGAAGTTGCCAGCCTCCATAATCATATTAGCCAATTCTTTAAAATAAATCTCTTTCTCTGTATGTACACATCCTATTGGTTCTTTTCTCTGGAGAACCCTGACTAGTATAACAGTCTCAGGAGAAGACCAGCCTTATGAGGAATCAGTCAAGATGTGGTTTTCCTCTTTTCACTCCCTCCCTCCTCCTAAATCCTATCAATATTACCTCTTCTCCTAAATCCTATCAGAGGAGGAAAATATATATGTATAGAGGTTGAGTATCCCTTATCCAAAATGCATTTCAGTAGTGTTTCATGTTTTGGATTTTTTTAGATTTTGGAATATTTGCATATATATAATAAGAAATCCTGGGGATGGAACCCAAATCACAAAATTCACTCATGTTTCATATATACCTTATACATGTAGACTGAAAGTAGTTTTATACAAGATTTTAAATAATTTTGTGCATGAAACAAAGTTTGTGTACATTGAAACATCAGAAAGCAAAGGTGTTACTATCTCATGCCAGTGTTCAAAAGGTTTTAGATTTTGGAGCATTGTGAATTTCAGATTTTTAGATTAGGGAAGCTCAATCTGTGTGTGTGTGTGTGTGTGTGTGTGTGTGTGTGTGTGTGTGTGTGTGCATGCGTGCAACCTAGCAATCACCTATTAGAATATTAGAAATGCCCATCTCCCTGCAAGTATTAACAACTCAGTCTCCTCTCCCTCTCCTTCTCTGTAATTTCACTTCCTTTGTATTACAAAAACCTAAAAATTATCTTTGTTCTTGCTCTTCTCGTTCTGTCTCCTTTTAATTTATATATATTAACTTCTATTCCTCAACTTTATGATAGTTAAACATTTTTCATCTTCTTTCAAGATTTGCTCCACAGTTAATCTCAGAATGTGTTTCCATAGCTTCCTGTGCTTCTTAATAAAGTTAGGCAATGCTAGATTTCAACAGAAAAGAAGGATGTAAATCTCTCAGATAATATCCCACTTCATTCCAGACCTGTGGTTTTGTTGTTGTTGTTGCTGTTTGTCTTGTTTTGTTTTGTTTTGTTTTGTTTTTTGCAGGACAGTTTAACCTTGTCTTTCTACAGTTTGGCGAGGCTCATCAGATCTCAATTGGTTCCACAGTCTTTTCCCCTACTTGAGTTCTCAAATAGCTCTATTTAACATCAATATTTCTTTCTGTGTTCATGGCAGGTGGTAATTCATTTGTAAGTGTTCACTTGGCCTTGAATGTCTTTCACAGTATTCTGTCACCAACCGAGGGAAGGAAAGTGCAGTGCAGAGGCACCAACCAGCATGCCAAAAAACAATTATATCCTTATGCTGGGCATCCTATCCAAGAAACTTCACACCGGGTTTTTTTTTTTAATCCCTTGCTTTCCAATTTCTCAGGGAGGTACATAAGTGTCCTCACATTTTACAGGGAAACAAGATAGTACTTGATATTAAATTACAACAATCAAGGCACTGCATTACAGGAACATGACTTTTTTAGTTCTGTTTATTTGTAATAGCTAAAATACTTCCTACCATGTCAAATAAAGTGTATTTTCTATTAACTCACATATACTTCTCATCAAGCCGATACTCCTACTATGTGACTCTGTTGCTAGACCTCAATTATTCGGAAAAGTTTAAAAATTGGGTGTGTGGATAATTTACTTTTCTGGTAACTCAAAAGAAAATCATTTTTATTCTCAATCTTTATTACTAAGTAACCTTTCTTGGCCAGGCATGGTGGCTCACACCTGTAATCCCAGCACTTTGGGAGGCCAAGGCAGGCAGATCACCTGAGGTCAGGAGTTCAAGACCAGCCTGGCCAACATGGTGAAACCACATCTCTACTAAAAATACAAAAATGAGTTGGGTGTGATGGTGGGCACCTGTAGTCCCAGCTACTTGGGAGGCTGAGGCAGGAGAATTGCTTAAACCTGGGAGGCGGAGGTTGCAGTGAGCCGATATCACGCCACAGTATTCCAGCCTGGGTGACATAGTGAGACTCTGTCTCAAATAAATAAATAAATAAATAACCTTTCTAAAATGTGAGTCCATTCCTCAGTCTCAGTAAGTATGGAATAATAGACATAATTGACTTAGTTCTAGATGACTAGGGACCTTGCAATATGGTGGGATGAATATTCTAAAAAAAAGAAACTATAACCAGAGCAAATGTTCTTCATCTGGGGCTCAGATAGAGCTCCATGGTTTATGAACAGCCTGAAGTTATATACAAAATATAGTACATTTTTCTTTGAGAAAATTGATAATTTTTATGAAATTTTTAAAGGAGCTGAGATGAAAATAGACCACCTTTTTAGAATATGCAATGTATGTAGAACATGATACTAATTATAAAAGTTTTTTTTAACTACAAAAAAAAAAAACACCTACATATTCCTGTTCACGGCTCTACATAAATATAGTAAAGTATAAATCCTCCTTGGAGTTGATAAACACCAAATTCAGAATAGGGCTGACCTCGGTGCCTTAGTTTCCTCAGGCTGCCATAAGAAAATAGTATAGACTTGGTGGTTTAAGCAGCACAAATTTATTTCCTTATAGTTCTGGAAGCTGGAAAGTTCAAGATCAAGCTTTCTGCTGATACAGTTCCTGGTGAGGGCTCTCTCCCTGGCTTGCAGACGGTCACCTTCTCACTGTATTCTCACATGGCAAAGAGAGCTCTGGTGTTTCTTCCTCTTCTTATAGGACAACCAGCCGTATGAGATTAGGGACCCATTCTTATGACCTCATTTAACCTGAATTTCCTCCTTAGAGGCCTCATCTCCAAATACAGTCACATTGGTGGTTAGGCTTCCACCTATGAATTTTCCAGGGGAAACACTATTCAGACCATAGCACTCTGAGAAAGGGAAATGAAAAAGGAATGGGATTGGAAGATACATGGAGAGTTTTGAGACTATATACAGTGTTTTTCTTTTAAATAAATAAATAAATAAATACTTGAAGCCAGTGTGGCAAAATTTGAAATCTAACAGGGTAAGATATATATGAGTTCTCGTTATATAATTCTCTATGATCAAAATATTTTTAAAAACAAGAAAAAACCAAGCACGAACTTGTTTAGATTTTACTAGAGTGTAAGCTCCACATGGGCAAGGATTTGTTCCCTACTATACCCACATTCCTTAAAGCAATGCCTGGTCCAGAATTGGCATTCGTTATATATTTGTTGAATTGAATGAAAAGCAATGGATAGGAAATTAACTTGTATCATTCCTGAGCCAAAAATGCTCAACAACCTTAAGGTAATGTTGTATTCATTGTCTAGGATTTATTTCCATAAATGAATATTAAAAATCACCTTAACATACAGGAAATAACGGCCTAAGTATCAAAATGATAATAGTAGTGAACCCAGGTGTGAATGCAATATCTTAATTTATCATAGAATTGATGTGTCAGAGGTTTGGGATTAAACTTGACTTTTTAAAATATTATTCATGCCAATTACATTCCCTTCTAAGGAAATACGACTTCCCCCCAGCCCTGCTAAGGGATGGCAGCAACGATATCTAACGTAGTGCCTGTCTCTCCGTGACTGTAACTGATGGAATCAATGTGGGCACCTGAGCTTGGAGTGCCTCATCTTTTAGCTCACCAGCAAGCTATGAACTGGGTGAACTGTTTCAAAAGAATAAGCTGAGACAATCAGATGCCTCTCTAGTAAAAGAGTTCATGGAAACTGACAGATGGAGCAATTGACAGCAAAGGCAGAAACTGAAAATTAAGAACTGTCATAAAGTAGAGGAAGTTGAGGCAATCATGGTGGACCAGGTAAAGGCCAAAGTTATAAGAAAAATGAAAAGTTTGCATATAAAAATGCAGATGAAGGCAAATGGTAAGGGGAGGAGCATAGAACAGACAGAAAAAGAGATGTTGAGAGAGACGGAAAGAGAAAGGAAGGCTGAGATCATTCCTAAATCAACCTAACTAAAAATCATCTCATCAACCTCCTTATTTTATAAGCCTAAAAATTGATAAGTAGCTGACTTGCCCAAGGTCAAGAGTGATGGGGAAAACACCCTTGCTTCAGTCTTTTAATCTTACTTCGTGCTTCTCAAATTCTATAATGACTCCAGTGATGAGGAGAGTGATGAGGGCTCAGAGGGCACAATCTAAATACGAAATTCCTCTGAAGTTGCAGTCTATTCCATGGCACCTCTGCTTTAATATATGATGATATTTAAATGCATGGTATATGGAAGTGTATCACACTTGATCTTGTGGTTCTCTACTCTGCTCAGCACACTGCATATACTCCCAGTTTGAGAAGAAGGCTCTATCACAATCCAGGACTATCTTCATTCCCACATCTGGCAGTTTCAGGTGGAATTCTTTGAATGTGAACTCTCTCCAAGCGTGTAATAGACATTCATTTGGACAAGATCAGATAGATGGACTTCAGGTGGACTCTTGCCTGCAGAGTTATCACCTATACTTATGAGTCCCTAAAGCCTCCAGCCTTCTGGAGTCAATCTTCCCTTTAACAGCTTGTTTCAGCAGCGTGACCATCATCATTTCATATGCTGTGAGATGGCCAGTATCCTCCCCAGGAGGCGGTGCCTATGTTGTCATTGGCTCCCTTCACCTCAGTGAGCTCTTCCTACCAAAATCTGAATCTGCAAGTCGAACACTAAGTACACCCCTAGAAGACAGCTGCATTGCTGCAATGTCCAGCAAATAACTGGAGCACCAGACACCTTTGTTCTTAAATGTTCCCAGATCACCTCTGGAATCCTGTTTATATCTTATCCTGCTACTTGCCCCCAGAGGCTTCACCCCTTCCCTGGGGAGGTCTCTAAGCAAACTTTAAACTCCCCTCTCTTTCTTGAAC
Organism: Homo sapiens; assembly: GCF_000001405.40. Taxonomy (NCBI): domain Eukaryota; kingdom Metazoa; phylum Chordata; class Mammalia; order Primates; family Hominidae; genus Homo; species Homo sapiens. The sequence continues at coordinate 110,041,990 of NC_000011.10, forward strand.
AGAGCAGCTCAGATCTCTGTTGGTTCTGCTCTTCCTTTTAGGCCCATGTCCTGTGGGCATCAGCTCCCATTGCCAAACAGGTCCATTTATGCATTTTGCAGAAAGAAAAAAACATTTACCCAAGTTAAGGGAAGTTTACAATATTACATTGTAAGGTCAGGGTAGGCCTCACTGAAAATATGAGATTTCAACAAAGACCTTAAGGGCATGGAGCAGCTGGCTAAGTCATTTTCTGGAGATAGAACATTCACAGGGGGAAGAGCAAAAGTCCTCTGGCAGGAGGGGAGCTGGTGGGGGCAAGGAGAGAGAGTAGAGAAGGAGATGGGAAAGGCAAAGAGGGTATGATCCGGTCACAATATGCTTGCAGCATATTGTGTGGACTAATGGGAACCATTCTGAGGTTTTGAGCCAGAGAAGTGACATGATCTGACTTTGGTTCAAAGGACTCTGCCTGAGCAGCTTGAGAAGGCATCTTTGTGTGGGGTCAGCCTGGCACGGGATGTCAAAGCCCATGCAAGGAAAGGGTATCATCCTAGGCAGTAACAACCTGGTGAAGATAATCAGAACCCTGAGAGAAATGATGTCTGTGTAGGGGAGGGGTTGCAATGAAAAAGAACCAGCATGCCTTGGAGAAATGCCTGATTCCAAGGCTCAGACAGGGAAAGTATAGGATGGGCCTGGAACATCTCACTGTGCCAGAAGCCAGAAAGTGTTCAAAGAATGATGGGGACAGGGCAAAAGGACACAGATGCCAGCTTTAAATGGTTTCCTCTAGCCAAATTAAGATCCATTCAAACATCAAAATAATGATAGCAATTAGTAAAGTAGGAATAAAATAATAAAATGAATAACATTAGATAACATTAAATGAAAAGTGGAATAAAATAAACCTTGAGTCCATACAAATTTAAATAAATACAAGGATAAATTAATGTATGATGAGAAATGAAATAGTTACATAGTTTCCAAGTAACTTCATGCAAAATATTCATTAATTACAAAGAAGAAAATAGTAACTTTATAGTGGAGAAAATAGGCAGAAACCAAGATATCAAATTGAACCTCATCAGGAATAGAACAAATTAAAGTTTTGTGCCACCTTATAGGATAGAACAAGAAAAACATGGCTAACTTATGTAATGTTTCTGCCACTGAAGCATAGTCTGGATCTATTTATGAGGAAACGTGAGACAGATCCACATTGGGAAACATTTTACAAAATAACTGGTCTGTGATATTCAAAAGTATCAAGGTCTTAAGAGTCAAGGAAAGATTGGTCTAAAAAGACATGACAACTAAGTGCAACCCACGATGTAGAACTGATCCTGTTGTTATAAAAGGCATTATTGGGACCAAATTGGTGAAACTTGAATGTGGTTTGAGGATTAAGTAATGGAGATGCATCGTTGTTAGTTTCCTGATTTCAGTGTTGTATGGTGGTTACACAGGACAATGTCCTTGTTTGTAGGAAATATACACTAAAATATTCAGGAGGAGAGGAGTGATGAGAATTGGGTCAGCAATTTATGCTTAAACGGTTCCAGAAACATGAGTTATTTGTATTGAACTTGCAACTTTTTCTGTAACTTTGCATTTATTTCAAAGTAAAATGATAATAAAAGGAAACTTTAAGCTGCAGTATTGAGACTACCAATAGGGGTAGAGAGGGACTATTTAAGAGGCAATGACAGCCTCCCAAAGGTGAGAGATGAGGGTGGTTTGAAACAGACGGTAGCTCTGGCAGGGGCAGGAAGGGAATCCGATTATGGATATACAGCATACCGAAGATGCTGCATGATTTTCTGATGGATTAGACGACAGATATGAAGGAAAGAAAGAAAAAAAAGGAAGGAAGGAAGGAAGGAAGGAAGGAAGGAAGGAAGGGAAGAAGGAAAGAAAGAAAGAAAGAAAAAGAAAGAAAGAAAGAAAGAGAAAGAAAGAAAGAAAAGGAAGGAAGGAAGGAAGGAAGGAAGGAAGGAAGGAAGGAAGGGAAGGGAAGGAAGGAGGGAAGAAAGAAAGGAAGGAAAGAAAGAAAGAAGGAAAGAAAGAAAGAAAGAAAGAAAGAAGGAAAGAAAGAAAGAAGGAAAGAAAGAAAGAAAGAAAGAAAGAAAGAAAGAAAGAAAGAAAAGAAAGAAAGGAAAGAAAGAAAGAAAGAAAGAGAGAGAGAGAGAGAAAGAAAGAAAGAAAGAAAGAAAGAAAGAAAGAAAGAAAGAAAGAAAGAAAGAAAGAAAGAAAGAAAGAGAAAGAAAGGCAGATATTCAACGATTCCAGTGTCTGGGGCCTGAGCAACTAGAAAGATGGAGTTAACATCAATGACCCAGAAAAGGTTATAGTTCCACCCTCTGCCTCCTTCCATTCCTCCCCCCTTGCTTTCTTTCTGTGTCCTGACTGAAAATCACAGAGTGCCTTGACCATTCTGTGACCCAGCCAGCTGCAGGTTTTTCCCAGCAGATGTGAGCCCAATCCAAGGCATTAAACATTCCCAGGCGCTGATAAAGGTATCTAGGCTGTTCCCCAAAACACTGAAAGAAACTGGCCTCAGCTGAGTCAAATTCCTTAAACCCTCATATAAAGCCCATGCTCTGAGCCCCTTGCAGCAGACACACCTACGTAGAACACCCGTCTCCCCTTGCTCTCCGCACCAAGGATTGCTGCAGCACTCTGTATAAGTTTCCTTAGTAAATGCTTTGAACTGGTCACCTGGCCTTCAGTGCTTCTTTCTTTAGAAATCTAACCAGTTCCATCTCCAGACGGGTTGAGAGACTCCCTTGTGGGAATTCCCCTGCCCCTACTTCCGGGATGATTCTAGCAACAGATTTGGCAGTATGAAACAGTACGGCGGACTGAAAGCAGGGTATGGATGGGAAGATCAAGAGTTCAGCTTTTAATCTATTGAGTTCAATATGTCTATTGGATATCCAAGTAGATCAATTAGACTTTGGAATATATGAGTACAGAGTTCAGAAGAGAGGAGTTTGGGATGAGATATAAATTTGAGAGTAGTCACCATATGTAAGTTGGAAAACTAGATGAAATCATTAAGGATATGACTATACATAGAAGAGAGAAGAAGACCATATCCAAGGATCCAGATTTATATATATATATATAAAATCTCCAAACATTTATTACTTTAAAAGAAATATATCAGCCGGGCACAGTGGCTCACACCTATAATCCCACACTTTGGGAAGCCAAGGCAGGCAGATCATTTGAGGTCAGGAGTTTGAAACCAGCCTGGCCAACATGGTGAAACCTGATCTCTACCAAAAATATAAAAACTTAGCTGGTGTGGTGGCATGTGCCTGTAATCCTACCTACTCGGGAGGCTAAGGCAGGAGAATCACTTGAACCCAGGAGGCGAAATTTACAGGGAACCAAGATCGTGCCACTGCACTTCAGCCTGGGCGACAAAGTGAGACTCCATCTCAAGAAAAAAAAAAAAAAGAAAAAGAAAAGAAAAAGAAAAACAAAAAAAGAAAAGGAAAAGAAATATATCAGCTTTATTCATAATTGCCAAAACTTGGAAGCAACCAAGATGTCCTTCATTGGATAACTGGATAAATCAACTATAGTGCATCCATACAATGAAATACCATTCAGCACTAAAAAGAATTGAGCTATCATATAATGTAAAGACATGGAAGAGACTTAAATACATGTTGCTGAGAGAAAGAAGGCAATCTGAAAAAGCTATATACTATATGATTCCAACTACATGACATTCTGGAAAAGGCAAAACTATGGAGACAGTAAAAAGTTCAGTGCTTGCCAGAGGTTAATGGAGAGAGACAGATGAATAGGTGGAACATAGAGGATCTTTAGAGGAGTGAAATACTCTGTATGGCACTGTAACAGTGGACACATGTCATTATACATTTGCCCAACCCATAGGATATACAATACCAAGAGAAACCCTGGTTATAACTAAGGCAGCTGGGTGATGATAATGTGTCAATGTAGGTTCATAAGTTGTAACAAAGGTAAGTAACTCTGGTGGGGGATGTTGGAGCGTGAAGTATATGGGAACTCTCTGTATTTCTATTTTCAATTTTGCTGGGAACCTAAAATTACTCTTAAAAATAGACTTTTTAAAAAGAGATACTTATAATAACATTTAAAAAGTTTGTCTCTTTGATTTGCCACATCAAACTTATAGTTCTGATAAGCTGAACAATCTTATACAAAATTAAAAATATATATACTTGTCTCCTAAAGATACCTAGAGAAAAAGAGAGGAAGATTAGTTATGCTGAATATAGCTTTTGCTTTAAAATTAAATTCATCTTTTTAAAATGCCACTTGTTTATAATAAAATGACCAGTGACTTGTATTGGCCTGAACAGTTCTGTATTTTACCTTCTTGTCTCAGTGGCCCTCTGTCTTAGATTCTATAACAGATCATTGTCTTAAGGGCCCTGCCAAAGGCTACCTAACTCTAGGATACAAATGTCAGTCTCATCTCATGAGTGGGGATCTGAAGTCAGAAACAGAGAGAAAGGAAGGGAATGATTTTGCAGATTTTCATGTAGTAGACACAGTAGATTATAGTAGACAAGTAATCAATATTTGCTAAGAGAATATAGACATATAATTGATACTAATTGATGATAGAAAGAATGAATGTGTTTATTAATTTGCAAAGTGATTGGAATGCTCAGCTTATACTCAGGACTTTTTTTCTCATTAAATTTTAGACTTGGAGGTTGTACCCCTCTGGGCTTATTTAATTTCCTACATAAAATAACATTTTGCCTTGAATATTTATCAAAAATTTAAAGTATCTTAAACATCCTTAAACCAATTCTGCTTTTCCATTTCCCCATTATTGTCAATAATGTCATCCTTTTGTTCTCATGGCATAATATGCATGGAGCTGCTCTATGTGCCCTGACAGTGCAGCGACTCCACTCCATGTTAAGCTCAAGAGACACTTGAGCCATAAAGGACAAAGTTGTGGCCTTAGCCAACAGAGCCCTTGCTCCCCAAACAGTACAATCTATGACATAATCCACCAGGAAGTCCCAAGCCATTAGTTAAAATGTGGAACTTCAGAGAAAGGGAGTGTTTGTTTTCACAAAGAAATCTTGATGATTCTTCCTGACTTCAGCCTGTCCTCTGTCCCTTTACTTTCTCAGTACCTCCACTCTGGCCAGAGTTTGCCCCCATCTGCCTGCCTGCCTCCTGCTTCTTTCAGCTGCCACAATTCCATACCGTACTTTGCCCACTGGGACTTTCCACACTGGTAAGGAAGCAAAGTAGAAACCAAAGCAAAATGTGCTGAACAGACCAAACACACATTCATATGGATAAGGGTATAATCCAAGCTATAAAACTCTTAGAAGAAAACAGGGGGAAAAGCTTCATGACATTAAATTTAGCAATGATTTCTTGGAGATGATACCAACAGTATAGACCAAAAAAAAAAAAAAAAGAAAAGAAAAATAGATAACTGGACTTCATCAAAATTAAAAACTTTAGGCCGGGCATGGTGGCTTATGCCTGTAATTCCAACACTTTGGGAGGCCGAGGCGTACAGATCACTTGAGGCCAGGAGTTTGAGACCAGCCTGGGCAACATGGTAAAACCCTGTCGCCACTAAAAATACAAAAATTAGCCAGATATAGTGGTGCATGCCTGTGGTCCCAGCTACTCAGGAGGCCGAGGCAGGAGAATTGCCTTAACCTGGGAGTTGGAGGTTGCAGTGCGCCAAGATTGCACCACTGCATTCCAACCTGGGAGACAAGAGTGAAAAACTCAATCTCAAAAATATAAATAAATAAATAAAAACTTTTGTGCATCAAAGGACACTATCAACAGAGTGAAAAGGCAACACACAGAATGGGAGAAAATCATACCTGATAAAGGATTAATATCCAGGATACATTTAAAATCCTACAACTCAAGAAAAACAACAACAACAAAAATCTGATGAAAAAATGGGTCAAGGACATGAACAGACATTTATCGAAGGGTATACAAATGACCAAATAAGCACATGAAGAAGTGCTCAACATCACTACGCATTGGGGAAATGCAAATCAAACCACAGTGAGATACCACTTCATACCCTTAGGATGGCTAGCATAAAAACAAAACTAAACAAAAATTAACCAGTGTTGGCAAGGATGTGGAGAAATTGCTGTATGTTGCTGGTAGGAATGTAAAATGGTGCAGCCACTGTGGAAAGTGGAATGGAAGTTCCCCGAAAATTACATATAAAATTACATAATCCAGCAATTCCATTTCTTGGGTATATACCCAAAGGAAAGAGATATTTGTTCACCAGTGTTCATAGCAGCATTATTTACAATAACTAAAAGACAGAAACAACACAAGTGTCCATCAATAAGTGAATGGATAAACAAAATGTACTATATACATTTAATGGAATTACGCAGCCTTTTGGAACAAAATTCTGTGACATGCTACAACATGGGTGAACCTTAAAGGTATTATGTTTAAATGAAAGAAGCCAGTCACAAAAGGACAAATATTGTATAATTCTACTTATTTGAGGAACCTAGAGTAGTCAAATTCCTAGAGACAGAAAGTAGAATACTGACTCCCTTGGGCTGGATGAGGGGTGAAATGAGGAGTTAGTGTTTATCAGGTGCAGGGTTTCAGCTGGGGAATGTGAAAAGGCTTTGGAGATGGATGGTGGTAACAGCTGCACAGTAATGTGAATGTAGTTAATGCCACAAAACTATACACTTAAAAGTGGTTAAACTAATACATTTTGTTATATATATTTGCCACAATATAAAATATAATCTGGCTGGGCGCAGTGGCTCATGCCTGTAATCCCAGCACTTTGGAAGTCCAAGGCAGGGTGCATCACTTGAGGTCAGGAGTTTGAGACCATCCTGGCCAACATAGTGAAACCCCGTCTCTACTAAAAATACAAAAATTGGCCAAGCATGGTGGCACATGCCTATAATCCCAGCTACTTAGGAGGCTGAGGAGGGGAAATGCTTAAACCCAGGAGGCGGAGGTTGCAGCAAGTCAAGATGGTGCACTGCACTACAGCCTGGGTGACGGAGCGAGACTCAGTCTCAAAAAGAAAAAGAAAAGGCAAAGAAAAAATATAATCTAACTTAAGACATAATATAAGACATACCAGTCTTGAATTTTATTAATCTCAAAACATAAAATAAAATAGAAAAAAGTTATAAAAAAATAAAAGAAAGGGAAGTCCTAGCCGATGTAATAAAGCAAGAACATAAGATAAAATGCGTAAGTATTGGAAAGGAAGAAGCAAAACTATTGTTATTTATAGACAGTATGATTATTAAAATCCTATTGAATCTACCCAAAACAAACACTAGAATTAATAAGTGAAATTAGAATTCTTGGAGCATATAAAAAGTCTAATTTTTTGCCACCTATTTGCCTATTTGCCTATTGCCTATTTGCCTAGTTGTCCTATTTGCCACCAGCAAACAACTGGAAAATAAAGCTTTTTAAAAATACCATTAAAAAATATCAAATCCCTAAAAAGGTATCCAGTGAAAAATATGCAAGATTTTAGGGCGGCCATGGACGACAAGGAGGAGATGTACCAGCTCTGGAAAATCCGCAAGACCATCATGCAGCTGTGCCATGACCGTGGCTACCTAGTGACCTAGGACGAGCTTAACCAGACACTGAAGGAGTTCAAAGTCCAGTCTGGGGACAAGCCAAGTGAGGGGCAGCGGCGGCGCACGGACCTCACCGCGCTGGTGGCCCACAACGATGACCCCACCGACAAGATGTTTGTGTTCTTTCCAGAGGAGCCCAAGGTGGGCATCAAGACCCTCAACGTGTACTGCCGGCGCATGCAGCAGGAGAACATCACGCGGGTCCTCATCATGGTGCAGCAGGGCATGACGCCCTCCGCCAAGTAGTGCCTGGTCCACATGGCTCCCAAGTACATCCTGGAGCAGTTTCTGCAGCAGAAATTGCTCATCGACATCACAGAGTACGAGCTAGTCCCTGAGTACGTTGTCATGACCAAGGAGGAGGTGACAGTGCTGTTGGCCCTATATAAGCTCCGAGAGAACCAGCTGCCCAGGATCCAGGCGGGGGACGCCGTGGCGCGCTACTTTGGGATAAAGCATGGGCAGGTAGTGAAGATCATCCGGCCCAGCGAGATGGCAGGCAGGTACCTCACCTACCGGCTCATGCAGTAGCCACCTCCCTGACAGCCCCTAGAGGCAGACACACGGACAATGACCCCCGTCACCTGCAGGATGGATGCCCCTGCCCTGCCGGAGTCTAGCCCCCCAGCTCTCTCCCGGCTGCTCCTCCTCTGGGCTCCCCAAGGCAGGCAGCCTCCACTCAAGAGCTCCCATCCTGGGATGAGTCTTCCCATGGCCCAGCCCGTCCCATTCACCTGTGTATTTATGCGAGATCCAGCCTCAGGAGGTACAAGACCCCCACAGGGAGGTCACCTGGGGGCAGCTGGTGCCTGGCGTCTTCGCCCAGACTGCACTGGGTCCACAGTGTTGGGGGTTTGGGGCCCGTGTCTCCCACCAGCCACTGCTTCCTCCCGGGCTCTCAGCCTCCCACCCCTCGTCTTCCCTACCTCAGTGGCCCTGATGCGTGGTGGCCCCCACCCAGTCTTGGCTCCTTACTCCATTCACAACTGCGCAGGCTCTCAAGCCACCACGGTGTGAGATTCCAACTCAGCAGAGTTTTCGGTTGTTGTAGGAGGTTGGGTGTTTTCAAACATTAAAGACATTTTGAGTAAATAAATTTGTATGTATGAGTAAATACAAATAAATTTGTATGTATGAGTAAATAAATATGTAAGATTTTATCCAGGCACAGTGGTGCATACCTGAAATCTCAACCTCCTAGAGGACTACTTGAGCACAGGAGTTTGAGGTCAGCCTTGACAACACAGTGAGTGCCTCTCTCTGTCTCTCTCTCTGCTCCCTCCCTCCTCCCTCTCTATCTCTCCTGCTCTCTCTCTGATTTCTAACTGAAAGCTGCAAAACATTGCTAAAGGAAATTAATGAAGAACAAATAAATGTTTATGGACAATTCTCTGAAAGCTGGAATGTTAAGATGTCCATTATTTTAAAATTGATATATAAATTCAATACAATCCCTATTAAAATTACAGTCAATTTTTTGTAAAAATTGACAAGATGAGTCTAAAATTTATACAAAAAAGCAAAGGAACTAGAAACAACTTTGAGAAATTACTTAATTTTAAGATTTACTAAAAAGCTACAATAGGCAGGGTGCTGTGGCTCATTCCTATAATCCCAGTACTTTGGGAGGCCCAGGCGGGCGGATCACTTGGGGTCAGGAGTTTGAGACCAGTCAGGCCAACATGGTAAAAATCCATCTCTACCAAAAATACAAAAAAATTAGCTGGATATGGTGGCATGCACCTGTAATCCCAGCTACTCGGGAGGCTGAGGCAGGAGAATCGCTTGAACCCAAAAGGTGGAGGTTGCAGTGAGCCCAGATAGCACCACTGCACTCCAGCCTGGGCAGTATAGTGAGACTCCATCTCAATAAAAAAGCTACAATAATTAAGAGTTTGGTATAGGCATAAGCACAGATAAATAAATCAGTAGAACAGAAAAGAGAGTTCAGTAATAGATATGCTAAATTGATTTTTGAATGAGGCACCAAGTCAATTCAATGGGTCATTTGGGGTTTTTTTTCAATGGGTCATTTTTTTTTTTTAAACAAATGCTTCTGGAACAGTAGAATATTTGTACAGGAAAAAAATGAACCTTGATCTCATGTCACTCAATATACAAAAATTAATTTAAGATGGATCATAAACCTAACCATAAAAACCAGGACTATAAAGTTTCTAGAAGAAAACATAGAAAAATATCTTTGTGACCTTAGGAGTCCACGAACATTTCTTGAATAGGACACAAAATGCATTAATAAAATATTAATAGACTGGATTTCATCAAAATTTTAAATTTTCACTCTTTAAAAGACATCATTTATAATATAAACAGACAAGTCACACATAGGAAAAAAATATATTCACCATATATGTATGACAAAGAATATATTTGTATTCAGAACATAAAAATATCTCCTAAAACTCAATAATAGAAAGCCAACCAATTTTAGAAATGGGCAAAAGATTTAAACAGTCACTTCATGAAAGAAGATACATGAATGGTCAATAAACTCACAAAAATTTGTTGAATGACAGCAGGGAAATGCTGATTAAAACTACAATGAGACAGTATTTCATTCACACTGAAATGGCTTAATCCATTTGGATGGCTGACTAAACCAAATACTGATGAAGATGAAGAGAAACTAGAACTCACATACACTGTTGGTGGGCATATAACAAGGTACAACCTCATTGGAAAACTCTCTGGCAGTTATGTATAAAGGTAAACATATATTTACATATGAACCAGTAATTCCACCCATACGTATTTACCAAAGAGAAGTGAACATATATTCACAAAAAAAGAAAAACTTATGTAAGAATACTTATGAAAACTGGCCAGGCACAGTGGCTCATGCCTGTAATCCCAGCACTTTGGGAGGCCGAGGCAGGCAGATCACTTCAGGTCAGAAGTTTTAGATCAGCCTGGCCAACATGATGAAACCAGTCTGTACTAAAAATACAAAAACCAGCCAGGCATGGTGGTGCTCACCTGTAGTCCCAGCTACCTGGGAGGCTGAGGCAGGAGAATCACTTAAACCTGGGAGGCAGAGGTTGCTGTGAGCCAAGATCACACCACTGCACTCCAGCCTGGCCGACAGAGTGAGACTCTGTCTCAAAAAAAAAAAAAAGAATACTTACAAAAACTTTATTTATAATAGGCAAATTCTAGAAACAATCTCAAATGTTAATCAATGGGAAAATGTATAAACAAATTGCAGTATATTTATACAATGGAATATTACTCAGAAATGAAAAGAAACAACTGCTGATATACACAACATGTTTGAATCTTGCAGATATCATGCTGAGTGAAAAAGAAAAACAGACATAACAAATATATACTGTGTGGTTCCACATAAATGAAATCCAAAGACAGGGAAACTTAATTAATGGGGATGGAAATCAAAAAGTGGTTGCCTCTGGAAAGAGGAGGAATTGACTGGAAAAGGGTACGGGAGAATTTGTTTTATTTTATTTATTTATTTGAGACAGGGTCTGGCTCTGTTGCCTAGCCCAGGCTGGAGTGCAGGGGCACAATCATGGCTCACTGTAGCCTCAACCTGGAGTATGAAAGAATTTTCCAAGCTCATGTTAATATTCTATATCTTATTTTGGGGGTGGTAAAATTGAGTCAATCCAATTGTCAAAATTCAATAAATCAAACATTTGATAAAGGATTAATATCCAAAATATATGAAGAACTCAAATAACGCAATAGCAAGAAAACAAATAATCTGATTAAAAAATGGGCATCAAGTTCAACAGAACTGAAAAGGAAAAAAAAACACAAGAATCTGAATAGACATTTCTCAAAAGACGACATACGAATGGCCAAAAGGCATATGAGAAAATGCTCAGCATCACTAATCATCAGGGAAATACAGATTAAACCCACATTGGGGCCAGTTGTGGTGTATCAGGGGAACCACCCCCAATATTTCAACGTAGGTTCTTTTCTGTTTTCCCTAAGTGTCGGCCAGTCTGAGAAATGAAGGGAAAGAGTACAAAAGAGAGAAATTTTAAAGCTGGGTATCTGGGGAATACATCACATGTCGGCAGGTTCCACGATGCCCCCCAAGTCGCAAAACCAGCAAGTTTTTATTAGCGATTTTCAAAGGGGAGGCAGTGTATGAATAGGGTGTGGGTCACAGAGATCACATGCTTCACAAGGCAATAAAATATCACAAGGCAAATGGGGACAGAGGAGATCACAGGACTGGGGTGAAATTAAAATTGCTAATGAAGTTTTGGGCACGCATTTTCATTGATAACAACTTATCAGGAGATGGGGTTTGAGAGCAGACAACCTGTCTGACTAAAATTTACTAGGCGGGAATTTCCTCATCCTAATAGGCCCAGGAGCCCTATGGAAGACCGGGGCTTATTTCATCCCTTATCTTCAACCTTATAAGACAGACACTCCTAGAGCGGCCATTTTAGAGGCCTCCCCCTAGGAACGCATTCTCTTTCTCAGGGCTGTTCCTTGCTGAGAAAAAGAATTCAGCGATATTTCTCCTATCTGCTTTTGTAAGAGGAGAAATATGGCTCTGTTCCACCCAGCTCTCAGGCAGTCAGACTTGATGGTTATCTCCCTTGTTCCTTGAGCATCGCTGTCATCCTGTTCTTTTATCAAGGTGCCCAGATTTCATATTGTTTAAACACACATGCTATACGAACAATTTGTGCAGTTAACGCAATCATCACGGGGCCCTGAGGCGACATACATCCTCAGCTTATGAAGATAACAGAATTAAGAGATTAAAGTAAAGACAGGCATAGGAAATCACAAGAGTATTGATTTGGGAAGTGATAGATGTCCATGAAATCTTCACAATTTATGTTCAGAGATTGCAGTAAAGACAGGCATAAGAAATTATAGATGTGTTAATTTGGGGAACTAATAAATGTCCATGAAATCTTCACAATTTATGTTCTTCTGCCATGGCTTCAGCTGGTCCCTCCGTTCAGGGTCCCTGACTTCCTGCAACAGTGATGTCTCATGCCCATAATCCCAGCACTTTAGGAGGCCAAGGCAGGAGGATTGCTTGAGCCCAATAGTTCAAGACCAGCCTTGGCAACATGGCAAAACCCCATCTCTACCAAAATATACAGAAGATTAGCTGGGCATGGTGGCATGCACCTAGTCCAAGCTACTTGGGAAGCTGAGGTGGGAGGATCACCTGAACCCAGGAAATCAAGGCTGCAGTGAGCCATGACTGCACCACTGCACTCCAGCCTTGGCGACAAAGCAAGATGCTATCTCGAAAAAAGTAAAATAAAATAAAAATACTTTGAAACTATATTAATTACATTAGTGTGATATGGATGTAGAAATATGTAGATAAATAAAATATTTTTAAAATCCAGAAACAGGACCATACATAAATAAGAATTTAGTTTTCTCAATAAAGGTGGCATTTATAACCAGTTAGGAAAAAACATACTTATTTAACAAATAGTATTAGCATAAATAGCTACTTGAAAAAATAAAACCAGACCTTTACTTCACATTATATACAAAAAAATAATGGCAAATGTGCTAAAGAGCTAAAAGTGAAAAACAAATTTAAAAATCAGAATAAAATACAAAAAGAATTTATAATCTTAAGAATGTAAAGCCCTTTTTAAATTATGAAATTCCAGAATTCAAAATTGAAAAGACTGATTTAATTAAATAAAAATAAAAATGTGATGATTAAATATACTGTAAATTAATTTAAAAGACAATACTGGTATAAAATATTAAAACATAAAACAATATTCAATCTATATACAAATCAAAGGTTATAAAAAGGTAACTGACAGGAGACATATAACTGGACAAAAAAGCCTATCAAAAGTTGTCTGACTTCACTGATAATCAAGGGGGAAAAAGTGTCTTTATATTATATTTCTCCCACCAGGTTAATAAGAGTTTAAAAGGTTTATAACACCTAAAATAAGCAAAGATGCAGGAAAATAAGCACTGTTAATTAATAAATGGGTAAACTCTTTGTAAAAGGGAATTTGATAGTACTTAAAATTTCAAATCCATATACCTCTGGCCCAGGTATGCCATTTCTAGGAATCTGTTTTATAGAAATTTTGTTTACATGCACAAATAAATATGTATTAGAATCTTCATTATAGTATTGGCTAAAGCCTTTAAAAATAGAACAATATAATAGGGGAATTAATAAGCAAATTGTTAAATAAACCATGAAACAATCATATGGAAAGTCATGGAACTATTACCAGAAGAAAACAGACCAAATTTTCTGACATAACAAAAATTTTACATTCATAGTACAATTTGAAAAACAATGCATACACAATAAGCCTATTTACACATTTTGAATATATGTGGATATTGTGTAAATGTTCAGAAAAAGACTGGAAGGATACACTTCAAACATTTCACAGAGGTTACCTCTGGGAAGGGTAGTGGGAGTAAGCAAAAATTAAGACACCATTTAACATTTTGTTCCATATATCTTCTATTGTTTGAACTTTAGCTTGTACCTCCTTTATCTGATTGGACTATGTGGAATTACTGCTGTAAAACAAAAAATATCTGAGACAAGTCTTCATCAATTTAGAAGTTTATTTTGCCAAGGTTAAGGACATGCTTATGACACAGGCTTGGGAGGTCCTGATGACATGTGCCCAAGGTTGTTGGGCTACAACTTGGTTTAATACATTTAGGGAGACATAAGACATCAATCAATACATGTAAGATGCACATTGATTTGGTCCAGAAAGACAGTACAACTGGACACGGGGGCATCCAGATCATAGGCAGATTCAAAGATTTTCTGACTGGCAATTGGTTGAGTTACTATCTAAATACCTAGAATCAATAGAAAGGAATGTCTGGGTTATGATAAGGGGTTGTGGAGACCAAAATTTTATCATGCAGATGAAGCCTCTGGGTAGCAGGCTTAAGAGAAAATAGATTGCAAATATTTCTTATCAGACTTAAAGAGTCTGTTCTATCAGTCTTGAGATCTCTGCATTGATATTAATGCTGATCAGCTGGGTCTGAATTCCAAAAGGGAGGAGGGTATAATGAGGCATGTCTGACTCTCCCTTTTCATTACACAGCCTGAACTAGTTTTTTAGGTTAACTTTGGAATGCCCTTGGCCAAGAAGACAGGGTCCATTCAGATGGTTGGGGGGCTTAGAATTTCATTTTTAGTTTACACTGCTTATTCAACTATTTTAACCTACAAAAACAGCAATTTCATAAGACTCAATAGAGTAAGAAATTTATGTGTACTGGCTTTGTAATTTGAATAAATAAGAAAAAAGAATCTATACACTGCCTTGGGATGGAGTTAAAATGAGCAGCATTATCAGGACTCTAAGGGTTTATGAGAGGCTGTCCAAAAGGAGGGCAGCACACAGTCATTTCTCATCTAAAACAGCTGCCCATCCAGTACGTCGTCCTTTCTGCTTTCTGTTGTTCAGCAGTTGTATAATCCTCTCAGCATAGGAAGACAGAGGCCCCTGCCTTCTCCTCAACCCTCAGACCCTGGCTCTTGACTGTGACAGAGGTCTCATAGCTCTTTGTACACATCATGACATTTTTACATGCTAGAAATACAAATTTCACATTTTACAAGAGTGATGAGAAATGTGATTGTGCTATTTCTACACCTCCATTAGTAATTCTCTAAAAGTAATCCTGAATTCTAACAAATTACAGTAAAAACAATGACCCAGGCATCTTTTTTTTTTGCCATTACCAAAAACCCCATTAGCAATCTTATTTAAATAGACTGAGCCATTTCCTATAACCACTGCAAATGATTTTAAATCAATCCACATCTTTTCTCTAGTTGAACATACAGTGGTTAAAGACTTCATTTATTTTTTAAAAAATAAGCTATGCTTTCTTATGACCTTTGCACTGACTTACTAAGAATACCAGTGCAATAGTCTTAGTTTAAAAAAAAAACAAGCTCTTCCAATCTATTGAAAGATGGCAGGTATAATAATTTGCTTTTAAAAATTTCAACAAAGTAAATTTGAACAAGGTCTGTAGGTTAGGAAATAGTATTAGATTGATGTTAGTTTCCTGATTTTGACAATTTCTCTGTGTAAGAATATGTTCTTGTTTTCAGAAAATACACACTGAAATATTTAGAAGTAAAGGGTCATTATATGGCAACCCTCAAACATCAGAAAAAAATGATTTGCATACATATATAGAAAGAATTATGAAATGAGTGATAAAGTAAGTATTGTAATATGTTAATATCTGGTAAATGTGGGTGACAGGTCAACAGAAATTGTTATTCTGCTTTGCAACTTTAAGTCTGAAATTATTTAGAATGAAAATTAAAAAAAAAAAATTCCCTCAGCTACTCAGAAGGCCAAGGTAGAGGATCACTTGGGGCCACAGTTTGAGACCAGCCTGGACAATATAGCAAGACCCCCATCTCTACAAAAACAAACTTTTTAAAAAATTAAGCAGGTGTGGTGGTGTGCACCTGTATTCCCAGCTACTCAGAAGGATGAAGTGGGAGAATCACTTGAGACTAGGAATTCAAAGCTGCAGTGACCCACGATCATGTCACTGTACTCCAGCCTAGACAACAGAGCAAGACCCTGTCTCTCGAAAAATATATGTATTTTCCCCTAAAATGATTCATAAATTCAATAACAGTAACAAATGCTACTGCCCCTAAGTGCCCCTGTAGCAGGTGGCAGTCCAGGCCTTCACAAGGACCCTTTCTAATTCCAATTCCTCAAAGCGATATTATTGTCCCTGTGCTACTGAGTATGTGAGGGCCTCAGCCAGCAGTTCAGCAGTGCTCCCCTGTGCCTACATCCAGCCCCATCTATTGGCTTCAGGGAATATTTTAAGTCTTCACCTTCTCTTCAAGCCGCCTTCCTCCCTCATGCCCCCAACACCCTTATTCCCTCAGCACATTAATTCATGCCTTTGTTCATTATTTAATTATTTACTTTCTCTTCTACATATTCTGAATCTTTTCCTCTCAACTGACTTGCCTCAGGCCATACCATGGTGAAGGCACTCACATCCTTTTTTTTTTTTTTTTTTTTTTTTTTTGAGACAGAGTCTTACTCTTGTTGCCCAGGCTGTAGTGCAATGGCACGATCTCGGCTCACCACAACCTCTGCCTCCCGGGTTCAAGCGATTCTCCTGCCTCAGCCTCCTGAGTAGCTGGGATTACAGGTGCCTGCCACCACGCTCGGCTAATTTTGTATTTTTAGTAGAGACAGGGTTTCTCCATGTTGGTCAGGATGGTCTTGAACACCTGACCTCTGGTGATTCATCCACCTCGTCCTCCCAAAGTGCTGGGATTACAGGCATGAGCCACCACGCCCGGCCCACATCCTATTTTAAAAGTCCCCCTTAACTCTATTCCACGCTTTTGTCTTCCTTTCATAAGCAGGTTTTTGAAAAAAAAAAAAAAAAAACCTATATCTCCAGCTCATTTCCCATTCAAACCAGTGAAGAGAAAGGATGTATGTCTGTATCCTACTATGTGATATATATTTTTTTTTGCCAATTTTTTTGTATAGGCTTCTAGTGAGCAGAGAAAAATCAAAATAAGAAAAAGATAGGGATGGTATCTATAGGAAAGAAAATATAGACTTTCTCCCTGGTATACAAAAACACACAGTGAATAAAATAAACCATTGCTGAACATCTATGTACAAAGCACTCTGTTCTGTATTAGCTACTGGATTTTTGAGAGAAGTTTCTTGTCCATAATATATTTCTGGCCAAAAATATAAATCCCACCACCAGAAACAAAACAAATTCTAAGGACAAACATTCTTAAAGTAGAACAATGTCAAACAATCTTCTAGTTTTTTAGCTGAGATAAGATGCTGGCAACAAAGAATTAGGAATAAAAACTGCTGCCAGGTGAATCCAAGATCTAATTATTTTATCATCAAAGGATAGTCAAGTAACATCTCCAATTCAAAGAAGGCTTAAAACACAGGACAGTTTGGGGCTTATTCCTTTGGGCTCATAGTGTCCTGTGGATCAGGTAGGACACCCAGCAGAACCACAATTTCCAGTTGAATGAACCTGTCCCAGTTGCCACCTCCCTTCAGGAGGGGATTGTAATTCACTTCCTCTCCATTTTCTGGGGCCAAGGTACCACCCCCTGCATCTGAACACTTAGCCACTGTGTGAAGACAACTTGGAGTTGCATGAACAGGGGGAACATTCAGCATTGTTAAATGAAAGGATAAATGGGCAAATTGTATCTCTAGTGTCCAGCACATAGATGAAATTTTATGAATATTTCTTGAATGAATAAGTAAACTCACAACCCAATAGTCAGAATTCAGGGCAGTATTTCTGGCCCTACAGTTGTAACTCTAACCCTTCCCCACTCTAGACTCACATTCCCTTTCTTTCCCAGGCTCACCCCATCTTTTGGAAATATTTGAGGACTTGGCTGAAGGTGAAGACCATAAATTCATCAAGGATCGTTTCAGAGCCAAAAGCAGGTAAAAGCAAATAACTTGGATTGCCAACTCAGAGGTGTTGGTGGGAGATGACTGGCTCAGGGCCATGAAATGGTGCTGAACAGTTTCTCTTAGTTTTCAGTTTCTATCATGATTCATCCAACAAGTCATTATTGAAAAATTATTGTGAGCCAGACAGTATCCTAGTCATTGGGTATAGAGCAATAAACATGTCAACGAAGGCCCCTGAATTTAGGGGTTTCCATGTTCTTTCATTCAGATGACAAGTATTAACTGAGAAGCCAGGCCCTTTACTGAGCACTGGGTGTACATTCCTGCCTCCATGAAATTTACATTCTAGTGGAGGAAAGCAAGAAAATAATTAAATAAATAAATAACATATATAATATATTGAAAGGTGATCAATCTTGGAGGGGGTAAGAGGGGACTGAAGCAAGGAAAGGGGATAGGGAGTACAGATAGGGGATGCAATTTTAAATAGTGTGGTCAAAGTAGACCTCACCGAGAAAGTGGTATTGAAGCAAAGTTCTGTAGGAAGGTGAGGGAGTAGGAAAATGGGAAAGAGCATTCCAGACAGAAAAAAGCAAATGTAATATCCTGAGTTGGGAACACCCCTGGCATGTTCAAGAGGCAGTGAAGAGTCCAGTCTGGCTGAAGCAGAGCAAATGAGGAAGAGAGGAAATCATGTTGGGCCTTCTTGGCCATTGTTAAGACTTTGCCATTTGCTCTGACTGAGATGGGAAGGCACCATAAGGTTGCTAACAGAAGAATAACGTGATGTGATCCGGTTTTTAACAGAACCACTCTGGCTGCTGGGAAAAAAAACAGCAACAAATAAAACAGAGTATAGAATGGCAGAAAAGTGGTACGGTTGGTGTTGGGGGATAAATATCAGCATGCTTGTATGCTGATGGTTATGCTTGAGTGAAAAGGGAAAAATTGATGCTACAAGAAAAATAAAAGAAGATTGTTGGAGACATGTTCTTGAGTAAGCAAGAGGGGAATGGCTCTAGTATGCAAGTGGTGGAGCTAAGAACACAGAGTGTTAACCAGTAGTCCCGGAGGAAGGCAGAATTTACAGGAACAGATGAATATAAGTGGGTAAATGTGACGGTGGGAGGTTGTGCTATTTCTTTCACATTTGCCTCAATATTGCAGTGAAGCAGAAAGCAAGACCATCAGCGGAAAGTGAAGATGGAGCAGTAGGTACCACAAATTTGAGGAGAAAACAATCACTCATACATGAATGCATCTGTAAGTAATCTCTTGAAAAATGCATAAAACTGTACATGCATTACTAAACTCTTGGCTATAGATTTGGTTCCAGAAAAAAAAAAAAAAAGACCAGAAAACATTTTTACACATACAGCATATGGAAAGCCATCTGAATACAACAACATGTACAAACGAAGTGATGTGATTTGGCATGTTTCCATGAAGCAATAAAAGCTGTAAGTAATTTCCCTAAATTCTATTGAGATTTGAATCAGGCAAATACCTCTTTATTACTGGAAGTCATCTGAACCTAGGTCATTGCATTAGGAGTGAAATACTGGAGTGTAAAACATATGTCCAGTTGACATGTGTCAACCAATGTGAAACACTGGTGAAGGGGAACATTATCGTAGGGTCTATCTCACACCCACACCAAATCCAGTCACCAACTGCCTTTCTAACTGATTTATGTGTTCCCAAACGTTGGGAATCTGGAATTCTCAGGTTATATTTAACCCTCTCTTCTCCAGTAACAGCTCAGCTAACAGTTCTACTACAGGAAAACATGCTTAGATTACACTCATTTCCACTACAAGATTTCACTAACTGAGTAAGACAATTTGAGGGTACAATATATAAAGAGTTAAGATGCCAGCCTGGCCAACATGGTGAAATCCTGTCTCTACTAAAAATACAAAAATTAGCTGGATGTGGTGGCACACACCTGTAGTCTCAGCTACTCAGGAGGCTGAGGCAGGAGAATCACTCGAACCCCTGAAGGCAGAGGTTGCAGTGAGCCAAGATCACACCACTGCCCTCCAGCCTGGGCGACAGAGCAAGACTCTGCCCCCACCCAAAAAAAAGAGTTAAGGTGAATTAAAACCCAAAACATGTCATTCTATTCACTGTTTTTTAAACTTGCAATATTTTAAAGCATTACACCCTTCCTTGGTGTCTTGGAAGGCTGTCCTCCAGTCCAAGCTTTGATAATACTGTCCAGCATCCTATGGATGGTTGTTGATGTGCCGGTCCAGGCTTTGGAGAGCTAGTAACAAGGATAAGTAGACACTGCAGACCTCCATACACAGAGCACTTAACCAAGCAGGGGATGGGGGGAAGCCAGCAGTGCAAGGAGCGGGAAGAGGCCACAGTTCTTGTTCTCAGCCTTCAGCTCTCTGTGGACTTACCCGTGGCCTCATCTTGGAAGCCTAGGAGGTTTGTCCCCAGATAGAGATGCTAAGCTTTAGAATATTAATCTGTTACCCATTTTCACCTTCCCTTTTAACTCAGGGAATTTTCACTTTTTTAATATTTTGAGAAAATAAATGGCTTAATTGCATTATTTTTATTATGTTGTTTTATACATAAGTTAAATATCTTATTTATGTATGATGGTTTTATTTTATCTGAATGATATTTAACCTATCTTGTCCTTCCTATTTGTAACATTTTACCACTTTTAGTCATATTTAAAAGCCTGTATTTTTTATTTAATTTTGTAATGACTTTTACTTCTCTTAACTACTTTCTATAACAGCTATATTTATTTGTTTTGTCTTTTTTTCCTTACCTATTTGTAGTATTGCTTCTGCTTTGTTAGCATTGCCTAGTAGTTCCCCTATTTCTTCCAGTTTTAACAGCCACTCCCCATTCCCCTCCACACTCTCAAACTCCCAGCTAAACCCCTCAAGCCAGACAATTTATGAGATTTAACATCCACAGTTCCTTCCTTGGACAATACATTTCCTATTCTAGCTGCACATGCTTGCCCATAGGGAATGATATTTGTGTCTCACACCGTGCTCAGTAGCATCCTTCTGCTAGAAGTTCTGTGATCTAGAATCCATGGTCTCTCCTGTATAAAATCAATGCATGGAAACAAGATCTGTGGAGAATCACTGTACAACAGGAGGAGGAGGGCCACACGAGGTTTCTTTCACATTGTCCCCAAGCTTATTCTAGCAGGGGGGATCCCAATGTAACATCTCTCCAAAAAATGAACTACCTTAAAGACACCACAAAACCTGAAGGTGTTTTGTTGTTGTTTTTGAGACAGAGTCTTGCTTGTCGTCCAGGCTGGAGTGCGATGGTGCGATCTTGGCTTGCTGCAGCCTCCGCCTCCCGAGTTCAAGCAATTCTCGTGCCTCAGCCACTGAAGTAGCTGGGACTACAGGCACTCACCACCATGCCCGGCTAATTTTTGTATTTTTAGTAGAGACTGGGTTTCACCATGTTGGCCAGGCTGGTCTCAATCTCCTGGCCTCAGGTGATCTACCCAACTCGGCCTCCAAAAGTGCTAGGATTACAGGTGTGAGCCACCATGACTGGCCAAAACCTGAAGGTTTTTAAAAAACATAAACTCCCTCAACTTGCCTATAGCTAATATGATTAATCTGCTTTCCAATTTTGCTATAAAAAATTCTGTTCTTAAGTAAGTAACCCACACGCCTCTCTGAGTTTCAAGCTTCAAGGAGAAGTGAGCTATGCCAGGAATTATCCCTAATAAGAGTGTGGGTTTGGTTTGGTTTCAGTTTGTTTTTTTTTCAGATAGATAGATGACTGATAAATAAAAAGACAGATAATAGATAGACTGATTGATGTATAGATGATTGATAGATGGTAGGTAAATAGATAGATGATCAACAGATAGATGATCTATTGATTACATTCAGCTGTACTTTTGCTGGATCCCTTGAAGACCAGAATCTTATTAAGCAGCTGGAGTGTGCTGTGAACCTCAAAGCCTCACAAGAATGTATAAGCTGCCTCAATCCAACTAAAAAGATCACTCTTTCACAAGGGAGGCCACTCAGTTCGGAGAAGGGGCTGAGGCCAGACACCTGCACTCCTCTACTTCATTCCCTCAAAGAAAGCAGGATGCCATTTTGGTTAAAGCTGAGTTTCTAAAAACAACCTGATAAATGATCAGGGCCTAGCCCATGTCCATGATTCCCCTAAACTTAGAGATATTTCACAAGTTAATTTTCTACTTACATTTCCTGAACAATGTGCTTAAATAAGAATCAATCTCCTTCAGCCAGGCATGGTGGCTCACACCTGTGATCCCAGAACTTTGAGAGGCCAAGTCGGGTGGATTGCTTGAGCTCAGGAGGTTGACACCAGACTGGTCAACACGGCAAGACCCTAGCTCTACAAAAAATGTTTTAATTAGCTCAGTGTGGTGATGTGTGCCTGTAGTCCCAGCTACTTGGGAGGCTGAGGTGGGAGGATCACTTGAGCCCTGGAAGTCAAGGCTGCAGTGAGTTGTGATGGTGCCACTGCCCTCCAGCCTGGGTGAAAACCTCTCTCTCTCTCTCTCTTTCTCCCTGCTTCCTATTCATCAATTCCTTAACATTATCAATGTTCTTTCCTTTCCTGGGAAAACATTTTGGGGCTTAGAGCTCAGCCTGTTTCTTACCAAAATGTATTTAATAACTCCAACCTCCTGTTCTTCCCTACTGCCATGGTTGTGCATCCTTCTCAGCTGGCTGGCTCGAGGCATAGAGGCTCTTACGTGCCTGCTGAACTGCTTGTCTTAAAGGCCCACAGGGTCTTCATCTTAAAGTGTTATGCCATGCCCTGCCTTATGTACCTCAGCACAGATGAACCACAGCTAGCCGGTTCTGATTCCCATCCTCAACCAGCAGTGAAAGACAAATTCAGCACTGGGCTTCATAAGGCTTACACTCAGGCCCAGGAGCACCCTCCAGGGAGCATGGCTCCTCACAGGCCCAGGAGGTTCTCAGGAGCATTCCATCAAGAAACAGATATTTTTCTCCTAGAATGTGATAGGACAGCATCCTACTACCAAATATATTTTTGCATGCTTTAAGATATTATGCTACTGAGAAATCCATATTAAGAAAACAAGTTATCTTGTTTCCAATCATTGAAGCCTTTTTGATTTTCTTAGAGACAAAAATGAGAGAAAAGAGGGAATTAGCCTACCTAATTTACAGCCATGTGGAAGGGACTGTAACTCAGCTCCCAGGATCAGACGGCTGCTGCCACCCCCACAACCACCTCCTGGGAGGTTACTCTTGGGCCTGCAGCTGCCACTCCCTTACCTTGCAGTTGCTGTTTGGGATTGTTTTGCTCTCCTGAGGCTATGTCATCTATGAATCAACAAACAGTAGCTGCAAGATGACAGCTGAGGAAGGAAAGCCCAGACAAAATCTTCAGGATGAATGAAAATGTATAACTCCTCTGGATTTAATTATCTGTAAACACGGTTCTTTTCCTCATGCTTATCTAATATCTATGTGGATTTTAAAATAAAATTCATAACACAAGTTCCCCCCACCCTCAAAAACAAAACCTCCCAGGATCATATTGTAATAACACCTGTTTATGCCCACCTGATTCATATTTGTAATAAGGTGAGCATGATATGCCTCTCCTGCAAGGATGCACACTGATTGTTCAGGTGCTTAGCCTCTGGTAAATGTGGTATTTATCTCTGAAGATTGCAATGTCAAGACTGGCAACAGTCTTGACAAAGTTTTTCCTGAGACAGTGAGATAAGTTGGACCAAAAGGATTGTTCCCACGTGGCGTAGGCCACTTTTCTACAGAGTTATTTGGAGCTAAATGAAAAACCTCCTGTCAAATCTATACATTTCACCAAATATTGCTGAGTGACAGCCTAGCCGCTGGAATGAGGCTAGTGTAAATTTCACTTATTTCTCAATTTTACAGATTAATGTTTTGGACTTTCTAGTAGCTAGCCCTGGCTTACTTATTACTATTCTTGGGATGAATATTTTAGTCCATGTTGAAAACCACCATTTAAATTTCCTGTAATATATAAAGAGTACTTTCAAACAAGTGGGTTGGATAAGTAAAAATAAAAACTAGTAGAAAAAAATAAGCAAAAGATATGAATAGATAGCTCAAAGAAAAACCAAATCTAAATGCCCAAGAACTATGTAAAAGTATGTTCAAATTCATTCATAATCAGGAAAATTAAAAGTAGCATAACCATGAGGTATCACTTTACACCCATAAAACTGCAGAACCTAAAAAAAAACTCTAACATTTGCATTCAGGGAGATATAAGGGACAGTACTAAAATATATGGAGGGTGAATTTTGAAATTGATTACAGCATTTATTGAAAGCAATCTGGCAACATCTATGAAAATTAAAATATATACACTTATCAACTTCCCAATCCCACTCCCAGAAACCTACCCTATGTTAGGCAAACATGATAACACTACACTACAAAAACCTGCAGAAATCTACCATATGGAATAAAAGTGCCAAAATATTAGGACACATGTGAAAGGCAGGGACTGCAAACAAAGTGAATGTCCATCAGTTGGGCTGAATTAATTGTGGTATGCTCACAGAATACCGTGCAGTCATTCCAAAGGATGAACTAGAGCAATAGAAGATCTGGAAGAACTTCAGGAGCTACTGTTGAAGGAGAAAAGTCAGATGCCAGAAAAAGCATTTATAATGTAATCTGTTCTCATTTTAAAAAATAATTTTAAAAAATCTTTATATGATGGATAGATAAAAATAATATACCTAGGCCAGGTGCAGTGGCTCACATCTGTAATCCCAACACTTTGGGAGGCCGAGGCGGGCAGAACACCTGAAGTCAGGAGTTCAAGACAAGCCTGGCCAACATGGTGAAACCCCATCTCTACTAAAAATATAAAAATTAGCCAGACATGGTGGTAGGTGCCTGTAATCCCAGCTACTCGGGAGGCTGAAGCAGGAGAATCACTTGAACCTGGGAGGCGGGGGTTGCAGTGAGCTGAGATGGCGCCACTGCACTCCAGCCTGGGGGATACAGCAAGACTCTGTCTCCAAAACAAAACAAAGCAAAACAAACAAAAACAGAAATAATAGACCTCTATAGAATTATATAAATGTGGATAAAAACATTAAAAAAGGACTTACTAGGCTGGATGCAGTGGCTCACACCTGTAATCCTAGCACTTTGGGAGGCTGAGTCAGGTGGATCACTTGAGGTCAGGGGTTCAAGACCAGCCCAACCAACATGGTGAAAGCCCATCTCTACTAAAAATACACAAAATTAGCTAGGTGTGGTGGCGTGTGCCTGTAATCCCAGCTACTTGGGAGGCTGAGGCAGGAGAATCGCTTGAATCTGGGAGGTGGATGTTGCAGGGAGCCGAGATCATGCCACTGCACTCCAGTCTGGGGGACAGAGTGAGACTCCATCTCAAAAAGAAAACCAAAATAAAATAAAAAAGGACTCACTAGACATTAATATGGGTCATTTGAAATGGTCAAGGAACTGAAATGGGATATGAAAGTCTGGGATGGGTGGGATGACAGGTCTCCATGATAAAAACAGAATATATGATGTGATCTGGTTCATGAAAAATTTTTATATAAATTAATATACGTGTTTAATATATAAACATATATTTAATGTATATATATTTTTAAAATTGGTGTGTATATGTATATTTTTATATGTACTCCTAAAAAGATACATGAAAATAATGATCAACAAAAGGTGAATGATGGTTATCTCAGGATAGTGGAATTTTACATGAACTTGACTTTCTTTTTTTATTTTTATATGTAGCTTTAATTCTTTAAGATAACCATATGCTACTTACATTTTATATACATTTACTTACATATTATAGGTAAATAAATTTAGATGTATTGAGAAATATATTTTGTATTATCTAATTTATATTTTATATAAAATAAAGTTATTTAATTCTGAAAAAAACAGCAAAATAAATAGGTCAATGAATGTTGTAAAGGAAAAAAATTCCCCTCTTCATAGCCCTTATAGTAAGGATTCTGCACTTATACTTACAGATAATTGCACTACTAAAACTAAGAGATTATTAAACTAAAATGTGGAAAATGTCCCTGTTTTTTATTTATTTATTTATTTATTTATTTATTTATTTATTTTTTGAGACAGAGTTTCGCTCTTGTCACTCAGGCTGGAGTGCAACGCACGATCTTGGCTCACTCCAACCTCCGCCTCACAGGCTTAAGAGATTCTCCTGCCTCAGCCTCCTGAGTAGCTGGGATTATAGGCACCTGCCACCACACCTGGCTAATTTTGTATTTTTAGTAGAGATGGAGTCTTTGCCATGTTGGTCAGAACATGAACTCCTGACCTCAGGTGATCCACCCAACTCGGCCTCCCGAAGTGCTGGGATTATAGTTGTGAGCCACCGTGCCGGGCCTGTTTTTTGTTTGTTTGTTTGTTTTTAATTAAATAGAGATGGGGTCTCACTATGTTGCCCAGGCTTGTCTTGCCCCTGGGATCAAGTAATTCATCTGCCTCAGCCTCCCAAAGTGCTGGGATTACAGGCGTGAACTCTTGTGCCTGGCCAGTTCCTGTTTTTGTAAGAATTTTTTTTTTAACTGGAAGAGCTGTTCCAATTGCTCTGCCTAGCTCCTACTAATAGATATTAACCGCCTCAGCCTGAACCAGTCTTGTAATTCATGTGAATACACTTCATACACGAATAAAGTATACAGTGACTATCCTTTGTCAGAGACCATTTAGTTTCTACCGCTGACTGTGTTACTCCTTTCATTAAAAAATTAGAAAAGAAAAATATAAGACTGAGAAGTGAACACTTGCTTGAGAACCATGTTGTATTGTTTACCTTCTTGTTTTCCCTGAAGATGCCCTCACGAAGGTGTGGGTAGCAACTTAGAGGGCAGGATGACAAGAATTCTAGCTGAGCAGCATGGAAGGGAAATAGAATAAATTAGTGTAGCTACCCATATTACCCTGCATCATCAGGGTGTCCACCTTTAGAAGGGAGGTCAGCACCCCATTATCTGGAAAAGAGTGACGGGAACCAAGAGATGAGGTCAGTGGGTACTAGGAGAAGGACAGAGGACAAAGGCAACTGTGTCTGGGGATTAAATGCCTGGCCCTTATTCCCAAGGGTCCTAATTCAGCACAAGGAAGGGAACAACTGTGTGGGGCAGCACAATGTGTGCAGAAGCTACTGCAGGCTGTTTCCTGCAAAAGAGGAACATTATACCTCAGCCAGCCATTGCCAGGACATTGCAGGAGAAGGATCTCTGCCTGGCTAGTGCTTGGAGTCCTCACACACCAAGACATTTGGTCACATTCAGACAATCACGAGTCTCACTTCAGGACACGTGTAAACCAACCACTGGGCAGAGAAGGAGATGCTCTCATGCCTGGATTTTGGAACCAGACAATGCTTCACTGGAGCAACTCCAGCAGGGAGAGAGTAGTGCGGGCATCTCGTTACAACTGTTTATGACTTGTAATGCCCTGTCATTTCCCTTTCCTTCTGGAGGCAGGAAGTGGCTCTGGGCCAAGCTGCTGGAGCTCAATATAGCCTCTGGTTATTTATGTTCACACGAAACCAGGATAGACACAAGTGGTCTCCTGACAAGTCAGATGACAACCTCCAGTGGTATGCGTTCCCGCCCTACTTCTTTCTAATTTATATGTTCATAATTTGAAATTAGTGTAGCTGACCTGGAGGATATCTCCTGCCACAGACAGTAAGGAGATAAGTATTCTCCTACATTATATTCATATGGTTTTCTTATGAACCAGGGCATGGAGTCCATAAAAAATTGATTCTTGAGTCTATTACCAGAGAGTCTCCATATGTTTTTATGTAGTTTTATGTTAAAGCTAAAAGTATATGTCTTTGATAGTCTCCAAAACTAAACTCCAAAGTTTAACATTAAGTATCTACTTACTGTAAATTAATTTGATTTGTTATCTAGAAGTACATTTTTCTCTTAATTTGTCCTGGAAAATATCCCAGAAAAGCAACCCCAAAATTCTGAAACCTGTCTCTTCCTCTTCATCAACTCTGTCACCTTCTGATTTTTAATGTTTCTTGATTGGACAATTTCAACAGCATTTACGAGTCTCTGTGCCTCTGATCTGTCTCCTCCTGGCTACTTCCAGTGAACCCATTCAGCTCACACACATGTGTGAGAATATGCAGCTGTACACCAGGAACACAGAACAGACTACCATGGGGGCTGGCTTTCAGCCCTGGAATTTACTCAGGCCACCTCCTGTGCCCATGTATTCCAATCTGATATCCTTTGCTCTTGTTTCTTCTGGGTCACTGACTCTAGTGCTGATGGTTCTTTGTGGACATCCTACGCCAGTTCAACCTCATTATCTCTCCCAGGCACAATCTTGATAGTCACCTAGTTCTAGCATTCTACTCCTAGCACTTGGGTCTAGGAGACTGGTCCCACACCAGCGCTTCATTACCCAGTTGTTGGCTAGGGGAAGACCACTAATCTATCTATCTAATCTATTCTCTAAATTGAAGCTAGATTCTAATCTAGTTTTATATCTAATCCAGCCTCTAAACTGAAGCTAGGTTCTTCTTTCTTAAATTAAATGCTTATACTGTCTTTCCCCTGCTTAAACTTTTTGAGTGGCTCCTATGGTCTGCAAGGTAAAGTTCAAACTCCCTGTTGGCAAATACGGCAGTTCAAGTCCTTCCTGATGTTGCTCCAAACACCCCCTCCAGCTGACTCACAACTCCCCCATTGCCAGAATGCATGACTTTTGTCTTCACCATTATGATATACTGGCCTTTTCTCTGATGTACCATGATTTCCTACCTCTGATATTCCCCCTTTCTGGAATGCTCTTTCTTGTATTATTTACCAAATAAATTCTAACTCAGTCTTCAAAATTAAATATAAATGTTTTCTTCTCCAGAAAACTTTTCTTTTTTCTCTTTTGAGACAAGGTCTTGCTCTGTTGCTCAGGCTGGAGTGCAGTGGTATGAACATGGCCCACTGCAGCCTTAACCTTCCCGGCTCAAGCAATCCTCCCACCTCAGCTTTCTGAGTAGAGCTGGGACCACAGATGCACACTACTATGCCTGGTTAATTTTTAAATTTTTTGTAGAGACGGGGTGTCCCTTCACTCCCAGGCTGGGCTTGAACTCCTAGGCTCAAGTGATCTTCCCACCTTAGCCTCCCAAAGTGCTGGGATTACAGGTATGAGCCACCTCGCTTGGCCTTTTCTTGATTTCTCTCAGCAGAACCTACCAGTTCATTCTTGATGGTCCTACAGGGCCTTCTGACCTTGTTGTATATCACAGTCATCATTTGTTGCTAATGTTTATCTTCTCACTAAACCACAGACTCTAAGGAAAGGACTGTCCTTTGTTAATCTTTAATTCTGAGTTCCTAACATAATATCTTGCCCAGCATAATTGTTGAATGAAGGAAACTAACAATTGAATGAATGAAAGTTAGAGTAGATCTAAAATACATTCCTGGGAAAATTTTAATGTTACCTTTGGATTAATAACTTTTCAGAGTTGGGCAATATCATTGATTTCTTAATAGTGAAAGAGAAGGCGAAGCATGTATTCTACAGTCTGTGACCAACAATGTGAGAGAGGTCACAATTGTTTCTCTGGGACACATTCTCCAGGAATTCTGAAATAGAAGAGGTTGTGATGGGAAAGAAGGGAAGAAAAATAAAGAATTTCAAAAAGTCAGTGACTTATGGTTTTGCTAGATAAAAAAGGAAAATGTTTGCTTTGATATCATTTTCAAATATATGAACTACTAGCCAGGTGCGGTGGCTCATGCCTATAATTCTAGTGCTTTGGAAGGCCAAGGTGGGAGGATCACTTGAACCCAGGAGCTCAAGGCTGCAGAGAGCTATGACTGCACCACTGAGCTCCAGCCTGGGTGACAAAGTGAGATCCTGTCTCAAAAAAAAAACCCAAATATATATATATATATAAAATACATATATATTATACATATATATAAATAAAATACATATATATTATACATATATATAAATAAAATACATATATATTATACATATATATATATATGTTACCAGAAAGGAAACCATAACTAACAAATATTGTACAAGTTAGGAGAGAAGGAGTATTTGTGTCTGGTAATATAAAGCTGTGTAAGTGATACTATGAAGGCACATCATTCTGGCAGGCAGGCAGGACATTGGCTAAGAAGACATGATGCTCTATTAATAATTGTCATTATTGATAGAGTTCTACCGAAGTGTTCATAATTTTTTGTGGTCATTGTTTCCTTCTTAATGACGGGAAAAATAATATTTTTTGTGTGCGGCATCAGAGTATAGAATCTCGAGATCTGTTTACAACTTACTTAACTGATGTGTGTGCTTTTGATGGTTCTACTTCTTTATTTATTTGTTTTTATTCTGAAAAGTTAGATGGGGAAGAATAGTCCCCCAAACCCCACCTTCCACATCTCATAGATGCTGTACTTATGATTCTCTGATCCATTTCTATGTAGAGGTAGAATTAATCATCCAAGATGTACTGAAAGATTTTATATATTAATAATAGGATGACAATCTGACCTCTACTGTTTTTATTTTCAAAGCATGGTTCGATCTCAACCAGCCACAGAGACCACTGATGAATCAGTCCCTGGATGGTGCAGGCAACCTCAACATTACCCACCTCCTACCCGGCTTCTATCAGCCTTCCTGAGAGTGGTATTATTTAGAAATTCTCTTTTATGACATGCAATACCTCTCTTCTTCTAGGTCCTATATTATAGCCTTGAATCAAATCAAACTGTCAAATGAGATGTCTATCAACAAAATCTGCAAGAAATAGTCATAGAAAATTTACTATTTAACTTCCTATTAAAAAATCAGTGGGCTCATTAATGACTACTCCTTACATAAAGTTTCAAGTGTAACATTTCTTTAAAACAAAAAGAGAGAGAAAAAGAGTACAGGACTAGGAAAGTCTTCACTACCCTAAAAGAAATTGTGTGTGCTTCCTGTTTCTTAATAAGGGTAAGTCAAAATTACAGCCCAGAAGCCTGCTGACTTCTCTGGGTTCTCCCAGCCCTATTCACAGTAAAAGTTCTACCTCACCATTATCAGGCAACATGGCTACTCCAGCCCTTACTTGCTGTCTCTTAAGTTCATATCTCCATCTCTTCTTGCTTTTCTTCTATTTTTCTTAAGCCTTTAAGTCTTGCTCTTTGATTCATTCATGCAATAAATGTATTGAAATATATTGAGAGTCCACTATGTATTAAATATTATGCTATGTACCAGAGATTATGAATAAGACAGAAACAGTCATGGAGTTTGCAATTTAAGTGAGGTTTAGCTGTTTTACAAACCCATGATTTTTCTGTTGAAATTCCAGGCTTTGTACAGCTCAGTTAGTCCCCAGTATTGGTCCTCCTGGTCCAGAGGCCCCTGCAGACATTACGTGCCCATCAAGGAGCTGAACAGCAAGGTGATGAAAATCGAAGTTCTACTCATTTGCAACCTCCTGCTAAGGGGCAGATTCTGCCAAAGGCTACTGACTTTTGAGGATGTTCTAATTCCCCTGACATGATCTTTGTCTACCTCTTCACCCACTCTGTTCCTTGCATGCTCTACTTAGTACTTAATTATCCCATTTCCCTGATCACTCTGTCTTTCAATTTTTTATGTCTTTGCAAATGCTGTTCCTTCTTACCCTTCCTTTGCCAACTCATCCATCTGGCATACTCCCATTTATCATTCAAATTACTGCTTAGGACACCTTCTCCTAGATGCCTGCTGGCATCTCCTCTATTCTTTTCCTCCTTCCCCAAAGTACTCCCTCCCTCTTCTGTACTGGAGTGGTAGAGTGCAACAGTTTCTAGCTTGCTTTCCAAAGTCAAATTCATCTGAGTTCATCTCCTGGATGTACCACTTAGTCACTATGTGGCCTTGAACAATGTATATAATCTTTCTGGGTCCCAGTTTTGTGATATGCAAACTTTCCTGATAGACAGTAATACTATCTATCCCATAGGATTGTTCAAATTAAATTATATAAAGAATACACAGTACTTAGAACAGATTCAGACACATAGGAAGCAATTTTACCATTGGTCATATGACATTAGGTTATAGTTATTTATTTAGGTTCGCTCTATCCCACTAGAATGGCAGCTCCTTAAGAGTAAGAACGATGTTTTATTCATCACAGGGCCCAGCATACAGTAAATGTGGGTTCTGAACTGAACCTAATAACGGTATAAAATATGTATATCATAATTCATTGCAATTCAAATGCAAGGAATTTTAAATAACAACTCATAGGGACAGCTGTGCTAACTGCAATTAGAGATCACCCTGTTCCCATGGCCTTTTAAAAACTTCCTCTTCCTATATGGCTTAACATCCATCATTCTACAGTTATCTATCAAATGCCTGCTAGGTGCCAAAGCAGTGGAGATACCTTAGTGAATGTTGGCAGCCCACACCTCCAGAAAAGAAATGAACAAGTAAACCAGCTCTATTAGTCCATTCTCGCATTTCTATAAAGAAATGTCTGAGACTGGGTAATTTATAAAGAAAAGAGGTTTAATTCGCCCACAGTTCCACAGGCTGTACAGGAAGCATGGCAGCATCTCCTTCTGAGGAGGCCTCAGGGAGTTTTCACTCATGGCAAAAGGCAAGGAGGGAGCAGATATCTTACATGGCAAGAGCAGGACTGAGAAGGAGTGGGGAGGTACTACACACTTTTTTTTTTGAGATGGAGTCTGGTTCCGTCGCCAGGCTGGAGTGTAGTGGCGCGATCTCGGCTCACTGCAACCTCTACCTCCCAGGTTCAAGGATTCTCCTGCCTCAGCCTCCCGAGTAGCTGGAACTACAGGCACGCTCCACAACACCCAACTAATTTTTGTATTTTTAGTAGAGATGGGGTTTCACCATGTTGGCCAGGATGGTCTCGATCTCTTGACCTTGTGATCTGCTCACCTCAGCCCCCAAACTGCTGGGACTACAGGCGTGAGCCACCGCGCCCACCCTACACACTTGAACAACCAGATCTAACAGTAACTCACTCACTATCATGAGAACAGCGCCAAGGGAACGGTGCTAAACTATTCATGAGGAACCACCCCCGTGATCCAATCACCTCCCACCAGGCCCCACCTCCAACAGCGAGGATTACAATTGAACATGATATTGGGGTGGGGACACAGATCCAAACCATAGCTACTGTAACCGCCTAATGGGTCCACCTGGCCCGTTGCCTAGACAGAGCCGATTTATCAAGACAGGGGAACTGTAATGTTGAAAGAGTGATTACACAGAACCAGCTGTGCAAGAGACCAAATTTTATTATTACTCAAATCAGTCTCCCCGAGCACTCAGGGATCAGAGTTTTTAAAAATAATTTGGCGAGTATGGGCTCGGATAGTGAGGAGTGCTGATTGGCTGGGTTGAAGATGAAATTATAGGGGGTCGAAGTGAGTTCTTTCTTGCTGACTTCTGCTCCTGGGTGGGATTGCAGAACTGGTTGAGCCAGATTATTTGTAGGTCTGGGTGGTGTCATCATCTGCTGCATAAGAATGCAGGGTCTGCAAAATATCTCAAGCACTGATCTTAGGTTTTACAACAGCGATGTTATTCCCAGGAGCAATTTGGGGAAGTTCAGACTCTTGCAGCCAGAGGCTGTATGGCATGGCATAATTTCTAATTTTGTGGCTAATTTGTTAGTCTTACAAAGGCAGACTGGTCCCCAGGCAAGAAGGGGTTTTTCGGGAAAGGGCTATTATCAATTTTGTTTCAGAGTTTAAACTATAAATTCCTTTCCAAGGCTAGTTTGGCCTACGCCCAGGAATGAACAAGGACAGCTTAGAGGTCAGAAGCAAGATGGAGTCGGTTAAGTCTGATCTCTTACACTGTCATAATTTCCTCAGTTATGATTTTTACAAAGGTGGTTTCATTACCAGCTTATACCATAAAGTCCTGCTGGGAGTCACAGTGGGATACCATGCAAAATGCTGTGAGAAAACTTCAGAGAAGCAACTAACCAATTTTTGGAGTCCAAGAAAGGAAATCCTGCTGGAATTAGGAGACCATAGACTTTTCGAAGTGTACCCTTTACCCACTTACCCACTAAGTGATCAACCTGTTGCCCAGAGGCGCCCCTTGTCCAGAGACATCCTGTGCTAACTTGTTCTTGCATTGCTATAAAGAAATCACCTCAGACTAGGTGATTTATAAAGAAAACAGGTTTAATTGGCTCAGGCTTCTGCAGGATGTAGAGGAAGGATGCATCTGCTCAGCTTCTGGGGAGGCCTAAGGGAACTTTTACTCAAGATAAAGGTGCAGCGGGAGGAGGCATGTCAAAGGCAAAGACAGGAGCAAGAGAGAAAGTGGGGGGAGGTGCAAAACACTTTTAAAGGACCAGATCGCTCAAGAACTCATGCACTACTGAGAGGACAGCACCAAGTCATCAGGGATCCACCCACATGACTCAAACACCTCCCTCCAGGCCCCACCTCCAACGCTAGGGATTACATTTTAACAGGAGATTTGGTGGGGACGCATATTCAAACTATATCACACACTTCTGTTACTATTAAGGACAGATTCTGAACAGCAGTGCCTTAGGGTCTTGGACAACGCTAACTTCCTTACAGCATTACTCCCGGAAGGATATCCAGCCCTTAGAAGCTGATATAGTTAAAAGCAAATAGATTGTAAAAACCATAAAATGCCTGGGGCCATGCTAACTAGAGCTCTGAGGCCTCTGAGAATTGACTGCAGTAAATCTTCCTGTCTTATGCAACCACATGTCTCTTCTTAGAAGGATCCAGGTTTTTTCAAATCACCCGTTAAAATTATTCATCCATAAATTATTTTTATTATGATCTAAAAGGCTTTAATTCTGTTTGATGTAATCCGTGCTTTACATACAAAACATTCTGAGATAATCTCTAAGTTTTCATCAATTTATTAGACATCTACTGAGGTGCCATGATCATTATCACAAACTGAAGGGTTTTCATATCTTGACTTTTTTAATTCTTTGTCTCCAATCTTAATTATCACACACTCAATTTTCCCACACCTGTAGGTTTATTTATATAGTGAAGTAATTTGGGGAAGGGTATAAATACACTGAAGAATGCAAAAGTCAACAGAATCCCTCATCAGACTTTCAAATGGCTTCTGGACATAGCTCAGCTGTCTCCTTTCTGGAACTTCCAAACTGTATAGCAGGGGCTCCTTCCTTTATCTGAGCATCACACTAGGGCATGCTCAGGACAGTTCTCTTTAATTCATACTTTTTTTTCTTTCCATGTCAACTACAGTACTTTGCCCCTGGTATCACTAACAGAATATAATTCCAGGTGTTGAATTTGAGTTCATTGGTAAAGGTTAAGGGCTCTGATTGTCTGGAAGAACTCAGTTTGAATTTTAACTCAGCCACTGACTAGCTGTGTGACCTTGGGAAATTTACGTCACATCTCTAGACCTAGTTTCCTTATCTGAATAGAGTGGTTATAAAGATTGCATGAGATAACATATGTGAAAAGCTTAGATCATTTTAATAACCAAGAATCTTTCTGTTTTACATGTATTAACTCATTTATCCCTTATAAGATGACCATCCCATGGGACACTTAGGGATATATGTCATGTCACTATTTTACAGGGAGTTCATATCTCCCCTACATGGTACATTCTGTAACTCCCAGTCACAAAGATGAAGGCCAGCTTTCTTACCAAGGCCAGGCTTGAGGTGCTAGTTGCTCTAGGCATACAAGCCCTCAAACCCTTCTAAATAGCGCTTTTCACATGCTCCACGCAGCTGTTTCCCTGAGATAGGCAGCCTGCAACTCTTTGCACTAGCTGCAAACATGTCTCTGCATTTTAGTCCGACAGAGCTGGCTTTGCTGACATCAAGGACGTGGTGCAAAGCACAGCTCTTTAGTTTCCAAATGAATGAAAATGACATATTGAAAGCGGGGCTGGCCACAGTATCTAGCTAGAAAACAATAATGACTCACAGGAAAGACAAAGACTGAGTAAGCACCAACGAAAGGCCACTCATCCCTTCATTAACATCACTGGGGAAAATATGGTCTCACTATGGAACAACCAAAAACATACAGACAAAAGTCTCCTGGGCTTTTGAGCATAGTCTAATTCCCATCTGGCTTATAAATTTCCTAACTTCTAAATTAATTACACTAGGAGTTGGAAGAGAATAAACAGTGGCCATAGATATTAGAAATTTTTACATGTGGCATGTATCTGCATCACGACTAGCATTGCTAATCAATTGTGAAATGACTATTAGGTAGCTTTGATAAGAGAGTTTCTTATTAGTCTTAGATATTGGACTACAAAAATAGTCCACCAGCAACAAAAAGAGATTGAATCTTCTTTACTACATCTGTATATTGTCAGAGGTCCAGACAGAAATCTAAAAAATATATAAGAATAAATAAAATATTTATTGTGATACTCCTTCCTTGTTTAATATATTATCATG
This sequence comes from Homo sapiens, assembly GCF_000001405.40. Lineage (NCBI taxonomy): Eukaryota > Metazoa > Chordata > Mammalia > Primates > Hominidae > Homo > Homo sapiens. The sequence continues at coordinate 110,078,597 of NC_000011.10, forward strand.
ACAATACATGTCTTAATGCTATGTAATTTTGGCATATCTTAAATATAAAAGTGTCCAATTGATTCATTATTTTTATAGCTAATTATTCAATATATTAACAATTATATTTGTGCAACAAAAACATATCTTGATTTTTAATGCTGGTAAATGTTAAGATTTTGAAGTAAAAATACTATTTACATAATATTCCTGAGAAAAATTATTCAGGTAAAAGGCTCTTGTGAATCACTTTCTTGGGGACCTTGCAGGAATTACCAACAAAAATTGAGAGCCATAAAGGAAATGTCTGAAATATTAGAGGCTGTGTGTCAAAGTATCTTGTATTAACTAAATCAAGCGCTTATTAACAGAAGACAAACCTTGTATATATTTTTAATGTTTTTGGCTCCCCAGCATCTAAGCCCCTTCACTATGCATGAGAAACCTCATGAGGCAGAGCCCACCTCCCACTCTAGAAGCTGAACATTCTAAGTACTAGCTTGCCTGGCCTCTCTTGCAGCTAGGATGATGGCATGTGGCTTTGAGTCATCTGATTGGATGCATTCCCCTCACATTTTGAACCCAGAGCTCATGACCAAAGAAGGAGGAACCTCAAGGAGTCCATTCTGGCAAGGGTAATAGCAGGGACAGAAGCTATATTCATTTTGCAGAAGCAGCAAGCATAACAATTCTAGTGGCCACCTCCAGTGCCAGCATCAGGCTGGAGGTAAGACAAGCTGTGGTGTCAGTGCCTATTGGCAGAGGCATTGATATCTTCCTGGAATACTTCTGTTGCATAATGTTGGTCATAGTGCCAGGCTCCACAGCCTCCAAGCTCAGTTCTCCAGCACTTCTAGAGACTGTCAGGCATACCAATATTCTTTAATAAATTCTATCACATGAGACCAGAATCCTGATTATTTCATTGTTTTTACTTTAGAAAACATTGGACTTCTTTTAAAATAAAAAATGAACAAAGTTTTCAATATTTATTTTTAAAAATATTTACTCCAGCTATATATTATAGCTTGGGGAATGAGGTAGTTTCTCAAGCAAGCCAAGGTAATGCACAGGCTAATTAGTTAAGAGAGAAAAGGACACAGAAACACAAGTTTTGCAATGGCAAGGCAATTGTCAGCCTTGAGATTGCAAAAACATGTGCTGTGAGTTTGGGGTATTCTCACTTTAAATCCCAGAATATAGTTTCCAGGAGGCAATGACTGTGTATTAACATGCAATGTGCATCAGCATTTAACTGTTTTCTCTTACCTCTGCAGTCCTCATACCATACTTTGGCTTCCAGCCTGTTCTCTCTCCTCAGCTGACTGGCCTACTAAGGGGGCGTGGCTTTGGGAGAAATTCCCAACCACTGAGAACATCTTGGAAATCCTAGGTCGGGCTAGGGGCAGTGGCTCACGCCTGTAATCCCAGCACCCTGGGTGGCTGAGATGGGCAGATCACCTGAGGTCAGGAGTTCAAGACCAGCATGGTCAACATGGTGAAATCCCGTCTCTACCAAAAATACAAAAATTAGCTGGGTGTGGTGACACACACCTGTAATCCCAGCTGCTTGGGAGGCTGAGGGGGGAGAATCTCTTGAACTTGGGAGGTGGAGGTTGCAGTGAGCCGAGATCGCGCCACTGCACTCCAGCCTAGGCAACAGAGCAAGACTGTCTCAAAAAAAAAAAAAAAAGAATAGAAGGAAAGACTCCTAGGTCAACCTTCTGGCCCCATTGAACTTGCTCTCATTTTATTAATTCTCTTTCCACTTTCTTGTCAGAGTTCCTTAATACAATTTTGCTTCTTTAAAGAAGATCCTTAACAATGTATTGTACACAGTACTTGAAAATTGCTAAGAGAGTAGATTTTAAATGTCTCACCACAAAAAAATAAGGTGAGATAATGCATATGCTAATTAGTTTGATATAGTCATGCCACAATATATACAAATATCAAAATATCACATTGTACACCATAAGTATATATAATGATTGCCAATAAAAATAATTAATTTCTTAAAAAAGGAGAGTCTTGGCTAGTCTACTGCATTTCAACCTAATTCTTAGGAACTAAAATCATAGCAGTGACTTGTGCATGTGTAGACCGTTCTGGCTTGAGTTGGCCAAATATTATCTCTCACTAGCATTAAGGAATTTCTTCCTCCTGTAATTCTGAAAGAACAGAAAACCATCTGAGAAAATTATATCCATCCTATTCCCAGAGAGTAGTGCCACTTTAGCAAAGTATCTTAACAAAGGGTTTTTAAAAATTAACTTAATAATTCCATTTAAAAATGTTTGTCTTAGTAAGTTAAAAGGTTATTCAGGACGTGGATGATTCAGGGTGGTTGTGTTTTATAAAGTGCTTTCCAAAGCAAACATCTATGACATTTTGAACATATCTTTTTTTTAGAGATGGATCTTTTTTCTCGCTCTGTCACCCAGGCTAGGAGTGCAGTGGCATAATCTCAGCTCACTGCAACCTCCACCTCCCAGGTTCAAGCAATTTTCCTACCTCAGCCTCCCAAGTAGCTGGGATTACAGGCGCCTGCCACCACACCCTGCTAATTTTTGTATTTTTAGTAGAGATGGGAGTTTCACCATGTTGGCCAGGCTGGTATTGAACTCTCAACCTCAGGTGATCTGCCCACCTTGTCCTACCGAACTGCTGGGAGCCACCGCACCCGGCTGCATTTAGAACATATCTACTTATTAAAGGAGAAGCCAAGCAGTAGCGAAATACACTAACTTATTCACAGTACACAGCTCGTCCCAACTGGAACTGCATAGTTGGGACTCAAAACCAGGCATTAGACTTCAAACCTCATTTTTTTCCTCAACATAACTACGCCTGCCACATCCAGAGCCAAGAGCCATTTCTAAGGGAAACTGTTCCATCTGGAGCCCCAAGAGCAGCCTTAGCCGACCATGGTGGTTTTGTTTTACCCCTCTCTGGTCTCCACGGATTGAACAGGATTGGGTAACTGACCCCAAAAAAAAGCCAATCCACAGATTGGTCAGCAGCCTGTAGGATGGCCTGGCACAAAAACTTTTGACTCAACAGAGGTGATCTGAGTCAACCAGATTCTAGCTGACTCTTGTTGCTTCTAATCAAGAGACTCCAGTTGACTCAATCTTTCTGGAGATAATTGTATACATTATTCTGATTAACTGATTGCGTAGAATAACCTTGTTCAACTTTCTATTTCACCACTCTTAGGAAAACATGTCCTAACAGAACAAGATATTACATGTTTGGAAGTTCCCAATCTTCTTAACTTCTGATAAACAGTTTTTCTTTTAGAAATACTTGCTCCTTTGATTCCTTGGCTCCACACAGTCTTGGTCCTCTATTTTTTGGTGCCTCCTTCCTCTATGTTCTAGATAATATGCTGAGTGTTTTACATAAATTATTTTATTGAAGGCTCATGACAATCCCATAAAGTAAACACTATCCCCATTTTACAGATGGAGAAAGCGAGGCACAGGGAGATACTGTTGGTCTGGATCAGGGTTGTGGTAGAGAAGGGAAGAGGACAGATTACAGATATATTTTGAAAGCAGAACCAACAAGGCCCGGTTGCTGAATTAGATGTGGAAGTGAGGGAAAGGACGAATCAAGGATGATGCTTAAGTAACAGGGTGAATTGTGTTGCCATTTGTCCAGCCAACGGCTCATCTCTAATTGGATATTCCAGAAGTATCTCAAGGTCAACATGTCTAAAACTGAATTCATCATTTTTTTTCCACAAGACCTTCTCTTTTTCAAATATTTTCTTCTTCAAAGAATTTCATCATCACTGTTATTAGTGGCAAGTGCTTTATAGAAAGGGATACAAATGAGAGAAACAATAAAAACTATAATAAACATTTTTCTAGAATTTCAAATTGTTTCCTCCCAACTTTTTCATTTGTTTACTAGGCTTTTAGCTCCCTCATTTAACCATAAGCTTCTCAGGAACAGAGCTTGTGTCTGTAATTAGACCTAACATTGATTGAGTATTTTCTAAATGTCATGGCTTGTGCTAAGCCGTGGCTGCATCACCCACGTAACTCTCCTTACAACCACGCCTCATGAGGCTGTTAAGAATAAGGTTAGACTGCCTGAGTTCAAATCCTGTCTCCGTCGTGTGATTTGGGACAAGTTATTCAACTTTTCTGTGCCTTGGTTATCACATGGTACTCTGAGAGTATAGAGGAAAGACATGTAACCCAGATAGATGAGATCAAAGAAGGCTTTCTAGAATGGAATGAAATGCCAAGTTAAATCTTCATTCGCAGAGCTATTAGGGGAAAGGTGTTGCAGGCAGAGAGAGCAGCTGATGTGAAGGCCAGGAAGTAAAGTGAAACATGGAGGTTTGATAACTGCCAGTGCCATTTATCAAGAGCAGGAAAGGGACATGAACGTAAATGTTTACAAGCACCAGGCAAGTAAGGAAAATAAGTGAGGCTGGCTGGGGGTAAGACAATGGGAAGATGTGGGTTCCTGAGGCAAACTGCTGAGCCCAGGACTCACCTGAAGGGGCCACCTCTACTGAGGTCACACTCCCCTCCCTCACCAAGTTCCAATACACTGCTTATACTGTCTGGAGGCTCCTTCACTTGCTATATGCTCCACCTGCAAATTGCTTTGCAAGGCTGGCTCCTGAACATCATTTCAGCTCAAATGGCATTTGAAAGATGCCTCCTCTGATTACCACCCACATGCCAGCTCCAGACCTGTCAGTACTCCACTCTAGTTTATTTCTTCTGAGCACTTACTATTACGTGAAATTATTTTGTTCATTTGTTTATGTGTACATTTTGTGTCTTTAATTGTATGTTGGGTATATAATATAAACTGTATTGGAGCAGGAAACTTTTCCAACACCTACAACAATAGCTGACACACAGTAGAAGCTCAACAAAGCCCATTTATTAATTTTGAATAATCAAGTGATGGTTTTATTGTACACTTACTCCGTGCCAGGTACAATGGACTACAGTGATAGATTTGACAATCATCAGAACATAGGTAGTAGCTAAAAACACAGGAATGTGTGAGAAAAGCCAGGGCATGTGGGTGGAGCCAAAAGATAACAGATCAAGAGAAATTCATTGTAGGCCTCAACATACAAAGAAAAACCCCAAAGAGACTGATCAGGATAGCAAGGGGAGGATCCAGGAAAGAAGTGGTATCACAGAAGCCAAAGGAAAACAGAATCCACAGTGTAAGTCATGACTTTATGAGATATTCTGCTTCTGGCTGATTACAATGTACAACAGATTCCTAGATATCTAAAGACTTCACTCATTGCTGTTTCTCACTGTGCCCATTTAGAGATCTCTCTGCAGAAAGTCTCACCTGTATATTTACCATCTGTCTGCATTTCCTGTGATATATCCCAATAGTGATGCCATGTCTGTTCTCTTTTTACCTTATTCAAATAAACTTTCCTACATTTTCACCTTTGGCAAACAAATTTCCATTCATATACCATACCACTACTCTGCCTCTCCTATAAAATTATTTATTTATTAACAAGACAGAATCTACCATACTTATATTCTGATCCTGATCTGCTCCCCAGCCATCAAAATCTTGATAGTATCATAAGTCTACAGTTTTCAGCCTGTGTTAAGTGAAGGTTGAAGCCATAAGCATCCTATCTGGCCCCCTTCTCAGCAAATATATATGTGTATGTATATATATATATGTGTGTATATATATGTATATATGTGTATATATATGTATGTGTATATATATGTGTGTGTGTGTGTATATATATATATATATGTGTGTGTATATAGGCACTTACAATCACCTAATATATGTGATTAAAAAAAACTGAGTTCAGGAGATGGGTAGTGACCAGAATGCAGATAGAGGAAAGATACGTGGTGATATTCTGATAGGTTGTGAGGGAAAGTTTCTCTAATAAGGTGACATTTGAGCAGAAATCCAAAGGACGTTAGAGAATAAGCCTTGTAGATTTCTGGGGAGGTGGGGGGGATGCTCCAGAGAGAGAGACAAAAAGAACAATAAGGTCAGTGTTTCTAGTGGAGAATAAGCAAAGGAGAGAGCCATAAAAGATGAGGGGTTGGCAGGATACACTGAAGAAAGCAGCACCTGCCTTCAACTTAGGAATTCTCCAAGTCTGACTTAGGAAGTAGTAGTGCATCCAAATAGTGCCCAGAACACAGCAGGTGCTCAGTAAACATGCATTCAATGAAAAAATCCACAAAATGGACAGAGAATTATTTTGAGAACAAGCCCTCGGGATACCAGGTGACTGAGTTATTAAATTTATTTGAGATATGGGCCATGTCCTTTATTTTTATGATTCTGAGTCCAGTGCCAGCACTCAACAAACAGTTGGTTGATTGAATAAAATAAAAAAAATAGTAGAATATAGGCATAGCATGAAGACAATGAAAGAAGAGGTGGTTGGTTATCTCTGGGTGATGGCATTAGAGATCATTTACATTTTTGAAACTTTACGTTCCTTAAAAAATTTCTATAATGAGCATGTTTTTCTGCTACAATTTAAAATAATATATTGAAATACTAAAATGAACCAGATGTTAAAGGCAGTAAAATCCATCTCCATTAACACTTCTTCAAGGTCCATACAGATGAAGCATTTGAGCCTCAATTTAACTGTTGGTTGGCTATATATATAAAAAAGTCTTAAAAAAAGCCAGCTCCCGTTTCTGTACATAGAGAACTGACCATTAAGATAATACAAGTAATTATATAGACACTATCCTACCAACACTCTAAAATGCTCTTGCAAACATATGTTTTAGCAAAGTAAGCCACAAAAAGCAGTGGTAGTACATTTCATCAGAACAGTGTCTTCTCGTAAACAAGTTGTCCTTGCCAAAGCTTACTGAACATTTAACTGCCTCTTGTAGTTATCCAAAATAAAATGACAAGTTTCTGTATTTCTCTAGCAAAATCTCCATTAGAAAGTAGGGACTGCCAAAGACAGACAATGCTCACTTTTAAAAACAGATGCTTGTAAGAATGAATCAGAAGGCCTAGCCCTTCTCAATGTATCTTCAGAGGTCTGTGTATAAGACTCAAACACTAGAGGAAGTCACATGACCAGTGAAGAGCTGGAGAAACATTTCAGGGGACTACTGATACTGTTTCAAATAAGGTAAGCCTTTTAACTAAAATGAAGGACCATGAGACACAGGAATAGGTGAATGGCTCTAATGTATCCCAAAGTATAGCCAGACTTACCTCTGTCTGTAAGTTTAAACCTGTGTGCTCTAGAGTGACCACAGAACAGAATGGGCAGAAGACAAATCACTCCTCTAAGGTCAGAGCTCACCTCCACCAAATCCCTGAATGTGATCTGTGACCCACCGAAACCATTAAAAACTGTTGGATGGCTCTAGCCTATTTATCTCTCTGGCCTTAATCGCTGCCCACCAAGACCAATGGCATTTGCTTGTAGGACTCATAGAGATGTGCTTAACATTTCCTTTCTGGCTAGATTCCCTATTTCTGACTCCTTCTGGATATTCTTGGGCTGAAAATCTCCTAGAATTCGGTGTTCAATCAAAATTGCTGTAAGTATACATTTTCCGTTGACTTCCACCCTAAGTTGAAAGTGAGTACCTGGGACTAGATTGCTTGTTTCCCCTCTATGCCTCTGTCCTTAGTCACTAAGCTCACTTACCTGCCCCCATCCTAGACTCTGAAGACGATATAGACCCTAAGTCAAGTGACCTAATCTATCCCAATTACTCAAGTCTCCGGTGGTTCAGTGACTTAGCAGCAAGCCTGCCCTGCTGATAATCCTGCTGTTCCTGTAAACTGCAGCCCTAATTATGGACTCTCTCTCCTATTTTATCACTGTGCTAGTTGCTGTTTGTTTGGAGAATTGTTTTGTTTTAATATGTTTGCTGGTCAGTTGCTCATCTTTTTTTTTCTTTTTTAACCGAATCCCTGCCTTCTTCTGCTAGTTCAGTAGTTGGCTCCTTCCTTGTTCCCTCATGCTTGAATATTTTTGTAATTCCCCAGTTCCTCTGAGATTTGAATCCTAACTTTCAGAGACTGGAGTCCAGAATCCTAGTTCCCATAGCCATGTCTTTACTACCTTCTAACAAATTAATGCTTAAACAAGCAGCCACGGGTTGGAGAGTCATCAGGGTTCCCACTGTCCATCGCCAACCTGCATGTCTTCCACATGCCAGGCACAGAAAAACTAAGGGCACCACAAGGAGCAAGACAGACAGAGCTCCTGGCTTCAGGGAGCTTACATTCTCATGTGGGAAGACCAATAATATATCAAATAAGCAAATACAATTCTAAGTGATGAGTGTTATGAACAAACATGCATGCTCCCTTGACCCTATGCCTACAGCTGATCCACTGTGATACCTCCAGCTTCTGTGCACTTCCTCCTGTGTCTGCCCACAAGAACATCCCTGGATATTCCCCTTGGGTAAAGCAGTTCCCAACAAAAATCTTCATATAATCTGGGTTTAGAGCTTTTGACAATTAAATTGTAAAAACAATGACTAACACCGTTTAATGCCGGCTGGGAATCCTTGAGCAATAATGGGATCTCCCCTTTCATATGATCATAGGAATCTTTCCCTTGCCTGGGAAGCCCCAGCCTTCACACGTGCAACTCACAGGACTCCTATAACTTCCTCTTCCTTGTGACTGGGCTACTATTTGAAAAAAACAGTGGCTGCTTATTCACAGAATGCAAAAGAAAGGCATGGACAGAGCACACATCACCAATAAAAGCCTTTTAAAAAATATTTTTGATAGCGAATTCAAGTACCCAATTTAAAATTCAAAAGCTATGAAAGGGTATAGAGTAAAAAGTGAGACTCTTCTCCACCCTTTCTTCCCAATTATCCAGTTCTTCTACTCAGAGACAACCAGCTTTACCAGTTTCTTGTGTGTTCATCAGAGATATTATATGCATATATAAGCAAACACAGAGTTTTTTTACACAAATGGTAGTAGACATTGGTCTTTACCTTCCCTTTTCACCAAACAATGTATCTTAAAGTTTATTCCATACACATAAAGCCACACCACCCTCTTTTAACAGGTGAATGGTATTTCAATGTATGGAGATACTGCAGTTTATTTAAAGTCTCCTATTAATGGACATCTAGACTGATTCTAATACTTTTTGCCTTTGCAAATAATGTTACAATTAACATTTCTGCAATACAGTCTTCTAAGAAGATGTACTCTAACCTGCAAATTCTATAACTCTGTTTTTAACTATCTAAATTTTGTACATTTGTAATTCTACTTACCAGTTTCCTTTTAAAACAACAGACGCTTGTATAGGTGAAGAGGATGCTGTAGTACACTTGAAATCCCAGGCTGAAAGAAAAATTTTAAAACTTCTGGGCAAGGCGAACTACAATGGAATGGCAGGTATGGTCCTTGTCGGGGTGGCAAAATGCCATCTGAGTATTAAGTGTTCACTGTTCTCAAAATTCCTACACTGGCCAAACATGGCTATAGCAGGGCAGTCACACTATCTGTTTCAGGTAGGAAATCCATGACCTCATGACACTAGCATATTTAAAACCTTGCAATCCTGTCTCTCTGGTGGCCTCCTACAAATACTGGGGAAAAAACAGTCATACTGCTGGTAAGGAATCTTGTGGTTACCCACCAAAAGAAAGAAGCCCTGAGATTGGTCAGCAGCACATTTCTTGTGTCCTCTAGTTTCCTTTCCCTAAGAACTCAGTACTAAAAAGGAACTCTAGCCAGTCACTGAAGCTTATAAGCAAGGATATATTTCAGCCCTCAGTGTCTGCCTTGTACACAGCAGGTGCTTAGTAAATGGTTGTAATGTGGTAATGCTTGACGTTTCATGGGTTGTTGGAATTAACCAGAACTTCTCTAAAAGACATAAAAGAAACTGTGAATGAAACATCAGAATAGTCACCTGGTTATGCGTGTGAAGCTCTTCAACTAGAGGAAATCAGGTGCTGGCCAAAGAGACAGAGGCGAAGGTGCCTCCGGGGAACTGCTGATATTGCTTCAACTAAGGTAAGTGTTTTGGCAGAAATGGCAGAAGCCTGAGACATGAAAGCAGGAGACAGAACTCTCCTGCAACACCAAGTGTAGCCATGGGGTCCACACGTTTTCAATGAGAAAACTCCTAAGGACACCACCGGAAAACCTCTAAATAGAACTAAAAGCAGTTGCCAGGAGGTGTGCCACCTGAGGGTGACCACCTGAAGCCCTGGGAGGTCTTAGATAAGGTGACAAGGTAATTGGAAGTTCTGGACTAAGGCAGCCAAGGTGAGATGTGAGGAGGATCTGAAACTCTACCTTTTAAGGCTCAAATGTGAATCTAGGTGTGTGGAAGTCTACCTAAGCGCCATATTTTGGAAGGTAGGACTCCTGCCTTTGTGACCATCCTCCCTCTAGCTGCTCTTTCCAAAGCATTTGCTTTTTACTAGTGAGTCTATTCCAAGATTTTGCCTACTCTGAAGCCACAGCCACTAGAGCTTTTTAATTATGTGCAATTCCAAGTCTCAATCCAAGGTCCAGACTTAACTTTGTAACCAAAAAAGATTTGGCTATCCAGAATCAATAATAGCTAAAGTGCCATATTTGCCTAATGCCTGTTTTGAAGTCTACTATCAGATGTTCAGAATTTGATCCTCAATTTTGCAATGATCTCTAAGTTTCTTTTCATTATCCTAACATCCTCTGAACCCATGAAAATTCTTCCCAATATATTCATTATCTCTCTCTCTCTCTGTCTCTTTCTCTCTAAGTAAATATAATTTGGGGGTAAAAAGAGAATATGAGTGGAATTCCCTAATGCCTATTTAATACTGAGTCATATAAACATTTTATGTTTATTTGAAATTTTCTTTCCACTCTGGTTTATTAAAGATGAACAGCCATGCCTGGTTGTTGTTATCATAGTGAAAATTTTAAATTTTCATACTGACGCTCTCAATAGTAGATAATGAATACTCTCATTTACTGAACTATCTGCCTTTTTGAGATAGGACTATAAAATATTTCCACATGCATATCCTGCTGTTAACTCAAATACATGCCTAAAACCAAACTATTCTGAACGTTTTTAAAAGTAGTTTCTGTACTCATACACTGCCCCTTTTTTCCATTAGTAATGCTACAGGTTTCACATTCGCACCCATGAAGTCATTTTAGACTTCTTCCTTTTCTTAAGTCCATCTCCACTAAGTGCACTCAATCATTCACAAAGCCTCTATGATTTGTATACCACAGTGTCTCACTAGCCCATTTCTTCTTTTCCCTCTCTCACTGTCCACTTCGTGATTTCAGGTCAATTCTCCCATATTAGCCTGCAAACTTGTTTCCCTCCATTTTCCAAACCATCCGGTGACCATCACAATATTGGTATTCCTCTAATGGGACATTATCACTTTCTGACCAAAATCCTTCCAGATTCCCTACTAGTACACAGACTACATGGAGCCAAATTCTCTCTTTCTCTCTCTTGCTCTCTCACTCTGTGCATGAGTGAGAGTGTATTCCTTGCTTGTTTTGCAAATCTCTGTAATTTTGTCCTACTTTTCCTTTCCAGCTGTTTGTTATCCTGTTCCCCAAATTTCCCTGGCACTCTTCGTATATGTTATCAATTCTATGAATATGTTCTTCCTTATCCTCTCCACTTATCAAAATACTACTCATTCATCACAATCCAGCTCAAATCTCCCCTTTTTGAAACCCCGACTCATCTTCTATGTAAGTGTTCCTAACCACCCCAACCTAAAGTGATTTCTCTGTCTTCTGATACCTCATGGCATTTATTACCTATACTCACATTTGACACCTATAAATTATCTTCTCTTCTTAGTTTTCTTTTAATTTTTCATGTGTTTTTATTTCTCCAAATAAATAGTAAAGTAATAAGGGCAGTTACTGTATCTTATTCACATAATGGGTCCTGATTCTAGAGTCAAATTGACTGCATTTTAGCCCCTGCACTGTTATTTACTGACTATAATCTTGGTCTTAGTTGTCTCGTCTGTGAAATGGAAATAGTGATAGGTGTTTCCTTATAGGGGTTTTGTGGGCATTATATGAGACAACGCATGCAAAGTGCTTAGAATAGTATCTGGAACATGGTAAGCATTCATTAAATGTTAGTTATTATAACTATTACTCATCTCTTTTACCTTGATTTTTAACCAAGCTTAATCAATGGAGTTCAGCTGAGTCAACTGTGGGATACAAGGTAAGAGGTAGACTGTGTGGGCAGTATACTGCGGAGTGGAGGAACTTCCTGGCATCACTAAAGCCGTGCCATAGATGCTGTCACTTATCGTCAAACAGCCAGTCTCGTTCTAAGTCCCTGCTAAGTCCCTTAGAGATCCTAAGATTGAGGGCCTCTAACTCTGCTCCAGAGACCTCCAAGGTTTTGGCACAGTGTAAAGGGGCTGCTTTCCCAGCCCCTACTTTCCTGCCAATAAAAATCTGACCCGGCTGCAGACAGCAGGCTACCAATCTTCCTAAGGGTCTTCAGGGTGGTATGAAAAAATGTGGACCTGGCCGGGCACAGTGGCTCACGCCTGTAATCCCAGCACTTTGAGAGGCCAAGGAAGATGGATCACTTGAGGCCAGGAGTTTGAGACCAGCCTGGGCACATGGGGAAAACTTGTCTCTACTAAAAATACAAAAACTAGCCAGATGTGGTGACACACACCTGTAATCCCAGCTACTGGGGAGGCTGAGGCAGGAGAATCGCTTGAACCCAGGAGGCGGAGGTTGCAGTGAGCTGAGGTCGCACCACTGCACTCCAGCCTGGGCGACAGGGTCAGACTCTATATAAAAAAAAAGTGTGCACCACAGAACCAGAGAAGGCAGCCTACCTGCCTACCTGCAATTTTATTTAATCGGCTTCATGACTGGCCTACTGACGTGGAAAACAGGCTCAGTAAGACACTCTCCTTTCATCTCACAGGCAGAGTCAGGATGCTCATGTGCACCAGCCAGTAGGATACTCTCAGCTGGGACCCCAACATCAACAGCTAAAGAGCAACTGATGCTGGCCAAAAAGATGGGGACATCTGTGCTGCTCAACTGAGCCATAAAGGCCTACATTTGGTAGAGAATATTAAACTGAAAATTATCAAGTTTGAACCCCAATAAGCATCATGAATATCACTACCATTAGGCAGTCCAAGCAAATTCAACAGATCCAGGCTTAAACCATATATATGCCCTACTGAAAACAACTCAGAGGCAAAACTAATTTTATGAAAGGTAAAAAGTTGATCAAAGGCATGAATCGTGGTCCAGTGAAACAAATGCGTCCTTTAGATGTAACAGACCTGAATACCTCACATTCAAGCTGTGTAACTGCAGGTAAATTTTCTAACCTCGATTTTCTGATGGATAAAGGGGTTTCTAATACCCAGCTCACATGGCTGTGGTGACAAACGGGACAGTGGATTTAAAGCAGGCTATTTGGCCCGTGGCATATGGTAGGGGCACAACCCATTCAGTGTCCCTCCCTCTCACTCCAGAAGCAGACTCATCCTGCCCTAGGCTGCTCGTAATGATTCCAAGGACAGGCGAATAAGGTTATTTGAACATTTCTGAAACATTGACTTAGTTTGTGCTGGGTGTTGTACGATTCACAGAAGTAGAAAGGCTCTCTGCTCCCGGTGCTTTTCAGCCTGCGATTCAGGCGCCCACCTCTGTGCAAAGGGCTGTTTCCTTCCGATCTCCTGAAAGAGATCTGGATGTATCTTGGGTTCAACCTCGATTTTGACACGATTGCCATTTCCATCAAAGCCAATTTCCTTGCTGAAAGAAGTCCTATCCCTGGGTGAAATCCCAACAGCTTCATTTGTTTAAATTCTTTTATTGGCCTTGCTAATGCAGGGTGTGGTTTTTCCTCATCACGGAATATTGATAAGTAAACAACTACGGGGAACCTGCCCTAAGAAGGCGGCCCGTCGATCTCCTTGACTGCCCGGGACATGATCAGTGTTACTGCTGGGTGGAGAAGGTGTCGCCGAGCGGAAAGGCGCCGTCCTGCACCAGGTCGGGGGAGAGGCGCGGGGAGGTCGGGACCGCTGGGTTGGGCCGGGGCAGGGAATAGGCGCGAGGGGAGGCGGCGCGGGAACCTCGGGCAGCCCCAGCGGCTGGGTCGAGCCCGACAGGTTCCAGCAGCTCCCCTCACCCCTCTCCACGCCTCTCGGGTTTTCCCCTTGGCTCAGGGTTTCCTGTTTCAGTTCTCGGCGTTCTCCAGCAGCAGGTGCTGGTTTGCCAACCTCGGCTCCAGAGGCGGCGACGGAGGAGAAGGAAAAGAGGGAAGGGGAGGAGGAAGCGGCGCGGCTGCGGTGGCTGCGGGCGGGCGGGCGGGCGAGGAGCGCGGAGCGAGGTGGCGGAGCCGGGTTCGCTCTCGCCCGCGGAGCAGCGGCACGGACGAAGGGCAGGGCCGAGCCGAGCCCAGCGCTCGGGCGCGCCCGAGCCGGGGCCCTGGCGTGCGGCCAGCTGTCCGGGCGGGAGGCATGAGGGAGCCTCGCGCTCGCCCCGCGCCCTAGCGGCGGCCGCGGCAGCCCAGGGCTGAGGCGAGAGGCGGCCGCCTGCCGGAGGGCCCCGGGGCTGCCCCAGCTCCAGGGCATGTAGTGATGGCTGCGGAGAAGAGAATGCAAGTAGGTTGAGCAACAGATTCGAGTGCGCGCGCGTTGGGGCTGTGAGTTGTGCAACCCAGGGAGGGGGCGCCGGGGCTGCGGCCCGCGGAGAGGGCGCGCGGGCGGGCGCGGCTTGGCGCGGGAGGGCCGCGGTGGCCGCTTCTCCGCGGGCCCCGCCGCCCGCTCGCCGCTTTCTCGCGGGGCTGGCTATGCCGGGTGGCGGCTCCCAGGTTTGTCCTCGGGAAGGGGGTGGGGGACGCGGACCGCGGCGAGAGTGGTCCTGGGGTAGCCGGTCGTGGGGAGGGCCGCGGGGCCGCGCCCGGGCGCCAGGCGGAGGGCGCCGGGGCCGCAGCGACCTCGCCGTGTGATCTCCAGGCCCAGGCGGGTCGGGCTCCGGAGGTCGAGTCACCGAGCTCCGGTCGCTCAGGTGGGGCCGAGCGGAAAGCCCAGCGCATCCTCCCCTCGGGCAACGCCGTCCCCGCCGGGATTTCGGGCGAGGTGAGGCCGGGCTTCCCGGCCCCGCGGCCTAAGGCACCGGTCCCCGCCCGCCCGGGGGCATAGATCGCGAACATGGAGGCGGGCTCGGGCGCCGCGGATGGAAACGGACACACTGCGCTGCCCCAGCGGCTCAGACTCGCGCGCGCTCGTGGGGCGAGACATCTCTTGGCATCTCGGATCCAGCCCTGGCCATTCGCTTAACTATCCATCCCTCCATCCAGATCGCCAGCAACCCCAGGCCGAGCGTCACGAAAGCCCCTCACTCCCCCCTCGTCCCTCCTTCACCCCCAGGCTCCAGTCCAGATCCCTTTTACACGCTGCGTTCATTTTAGCTCGGCTGTTCACATTTTTAACTCCGTATTAAGAAGTGTTACAAATATAACTTGGAGAAATGAATCCCGCATTTCTTCCCTAAGCTGTCTCATTTCAAGTCCTTAAAAACAGCCCTAACATCCAAGTACTGATTACTCTGTCTGGGGTTCTTGCCATTTGGTTATCCGTTAACAATCTCGGTTTGTGTTCGGTGTTTTGTGATAAAGAGATGAAAGACGAATCCAGATTTAGGAAAAGTTTTCCTATTGGTTGACAAGACTGTATTGGAGTATCCCAGGCCCATCAGGCGCTTATTGATTCAGACTTTTTTTAAACCATTTTAGAATAGATGCAGAGATAATTGGAGCTAAGTATTGTATGTTTAGGAATTTGGCAACGTTGTTCAGTTTTTCACTTGTTACGTGCTTGAGTTTTTCCACTTTTAAAATGCATATTATAAACGGAAAACGAGATAAACCTCAAACACAATTTTTGACTTTTCAAGAACCACAAGAAGTCATAAATACAGTGTGTTATAAATGTTTTTGTCTTAATGGACTTAGGATTTAGAGGGTATGACTTCCATTCATTTAATCACATGTACAATTAATTTTAGTAGCAGTTTCTTAAGTTTAGGGTTCTCTGTGTTTGACTACATGATAGCTTCATCAAACATTGGTAAAATTAATCTTAGTGTGATAAGCCCAGGAAGATGCCTATTTCGGACTTGACCCCCTGTTCACCTGTTTTCTTCAACAATTTGGCATGCTTATTTCCAGTTACCTAAATCTGTCTACTGGATGGTACCATAAAAATAGAATGGCCTGTTGACTATGTACCCATAGTTCAAAATGTTTTAATATTTTTACATGAAAGAGTCTATCTTACTTTCAAAGTAAGTTACAAGATTCTACTTCTAGTATTTGGTCACCATAAAAGTACTTAAACATTATAACCAAAGTAAAATGAACTTTTAAATAAACAACAACAAAGTGACTGGCATTTTTTAGCCTTTATTTAATAAGGGAAGTCTAACGGAACTATTTTAGTATAATGGGAAATATTAAAGGATAGGAAACAGAAACTTGGAATGTTTCTATACTGATGAGAGTTTTTATTAGTCACTTCCTTTTACTAAATTTTTGTTTTAATGACCAGACTATATAAAAATACCCTATTTTATATTATGGGCTTCTCTGGAGCTAGGTTTTCATGGGTTACCAACGTCTGCAAAATCGGATCCCAAGTTGTTAATAGAAATTTTATGTTTAAAACATTTTTCTCATTCTACAACTAGGTCTTCATTCTAGCAGACCACAGTGGTTGCTACATTAATTTTAATTACTATCACAGACGTAAAAATGTTGCTGTTATAACTTCTTAGTGTGTTTCATTGTTTTTGTACATAAATTTAGAATTCTTTAATTCTGATTTGATAGCATTTTTAAAGAAACAAACAAGGTATTAAGTAGGGAATGTTTTTATCTTTTTACTGTTGGAACGTAGAATAACACTAATCTGCAGTTATTGCTCATTTGAAACTGGTATGCTTCTGTTCTCTCTGCAAATAATTACTTATTATCACTCTAGCTGCTGTGTAAGGCCCCCGACCTCTAAAAGGATAGATTATGAACGAACATAATGCTATGTGGAAAGTACTAAGTTCCGTGAAAAAAGAAGTGAGAAATTCAGGTACTGGGGAGTGCCTCAAAGGTAGGATTTGAGTAGGTAGAGCTGGTTGGGAGTCATTTCCAAATGAGTCAGTGAACCCTGGAAGGAAAGCAGGGAGTGGGCGGTCCAGTATGTGGCGCATGGGGCAGATGATAGGAGTAGTGAGTGGGTAAGTTGGCAAATAGAGTTTTGGAGTATAGTTTTTATTAGAGCAATATTAAGTAAATAAGATGGTCAGTGAATAATGAAAATTAATTCAATCAGGATTCCAAATTTAAGCCTAAAATATTGAGATTCCGGAGTTTGATCGTAAATCTACCAAATGTTCTAAAAAAGCTTCTTGTGTTTTAAGTGCTAATATGCCTCATGGACCTGCAGCATATGAAATCTCATGACTTTACAAAGTGAAAATGTGTGAAGATTCAACAAAACACATGTTATAATCTCTGCTGCTGTTTTGCAATTAATAGTTCAGAGAAAGGATGATCAATCAAGAATGTGATTTTTTAAGAAAGATCTATTTCACCCCAGAATAGATCTCTAATTTCTTGGTGATTCAAGATTTGTTTAAAATTTTTGTAGGATTAGTGTGTAAATTAAATATCTGACACATAGTAATTTTTGGCATCTGATAGTATAAAGATAACTGCAGATATGTGTTGTGGCGGCATCAATTCTCTACTGTTGTTTTGGTTTTTATAGGTGACATAGTAATAGTCACGTTTGTACACTGATGTGCCAGACAACATGCTAAGTCTACATGCATTATCTCATTTAACCCTTGAACACCTTTATGCATTGCTTCTATTATCCCCAGTCTATAGATGCGGAAGCAGAGACACTGAGTTTGAGTAACTTGCCCAAAGTCATATAGCTAGTAAGTTGCAGAAAGGAGTTCAGACCCAGGCAGTCTGACTTTATAACCCATGATCTTAACCACTGTGCAAGTTCTGCCTCGATAGGATTCTGTTTTTAGTTTGTTCTCTAAAAAGTGTGTCATCATGTATGTTGTTTTGTTGACATACACCATTTGAAAATTAAGTGATGCATAGTGAGTATGTAAGACGAGAAGCCTTTCCTCTGCATAGTACGACAGTAGTAGGACAATACAGAAATCCTGTCTGGCCAGGTAAGTTGAAGGCAAGGACCGTGTCTTTTTGCCAGGCTGCTTGAGTTCACTACAGAGACAAATCAAAAGACTCCAGTTTCAGTCCAGCATGGCAAATGATGTAACAGCAGTGTAGTTCACAAAAAGGAGCACTTTTCAGTGAAAGCAACAAACATTCTTAATGAATAATATTTTTTATTGATTTTTATAACTTTTCTCAGACTATAGAAATGTAATGTGCTTACTGTGGAATAAATTAGAAAATATAGAGAGGTATAAAGAATTTTTAAAACACCTGTAATCCCATAATCCAGAGAGAACTCATTTAACATTATGGCAAATTTCTCTCTGTTTAATTATTCTTAGCATCATCAGAGGATTGTTTTACTTTCTTAAGGAAAAATGGAAACTAATTGCACCTAAAGTATAATGTACACGGTTTTACATTACAACACTGACAATAATTCTTATGCCCAGTAATGTAGCCTGAAGCAGAGCTCATAAGCAGATACCTGAACATTCAAAGCATTCTGCCTTTAAGATAAGTATCACATATCTTAGGGTGGATATGGAATAAGTAGAAAATCCCATGGTCTTCCTGCTTACCTGGAACATTTTAAACTATCTTCCCTCACCTTTTGCCTGGGTCACACCTTATTCAGCCCTCAGCTTAGATATCACTTGGTTTACTGCATTGTGGTTTAAGTTTGAGAACGCTATGAAACATTTATTGTGCCAAGTATTGTTCTAAGTGCTGTACATGTATTAATGCATTTAATGCTTACTACCTGCTTATGAAGAGGTATTTCAGTACCTCTTTTTTCAGATGAGAATACCGAACCACAATGTGGTCAAATAACTTACCCGAGTTCCCACAATTAATAATAGCAGAATGAGGGTTCCAATTAATTTAGCCAGGCTAAGTCCCTGTTAAAACAAATACAGTCATGCACTGCATAATCATGTTTTAGTTAAAAACAGACTGCATATATGACAGTGGTGCATAAGATTATAATAGAGCTGAAAAGTTCCTGTCGCCTAGTGATGTCATAGCCATCTCCTGATGTCATAGCACAAGGCATTACTCATATGTTTGTGGTGGTGCTGGTGTAAACAAACCTACAGTGCTGCTGATGGTAGAAGGATAATGAACGATTATGTTACTGGGTTATTTATTTACTATACTATACTTTTTATTGTTATTTTAGAGTGTACTCCTTCTACTTATACAAAAAAAAGTTAACTGTAAAACAGCTTCAGGCAGGTCTATCAGGAGGTATTTCAGAAGGCGGCATTATCATAGGAGGTGACAGTGCCGTGCCTGTTACCGCCCCTGAAGACCTTCCAGTGGGACAAAATGTAGAGGTGAAAAGCAGTGATCTTGGTGATCCTGACCCTGTGTAGACCTAGGCTAATGTATGTGTTTGTGTCTTCATTTTAAATGAAGTTTAAAAAGTAAAAAATTTTCTAGATAGACAAAAGCTTATAGAATAAGGATATAAAGAAAGAAGATATTTTTGTATAGCTGTACAATGTGTTTCTGTCTTAAGCCAAGTGTTATTATAAAACAGTCCAAAAGTTAAAAAATGAAAAAGTTTATAAAGTAAAAAAGTTACAGTAAGAGTAATTTATTGAAGAAAGAAAAATTTTTCGATAAACTTAGGGTAGCCTAAGTGTAGAGTGTTTATGAAATCTACAGTAATGTACACTAATATCCTAGGCCTTCACATTCACTCACCACTCACTCACTGACTTATCCAGAGCAACTTCTAGTCTTACAAGCTTCATTCATGGTAAGTGCCCTATATAGGTGTACCATTTTTATCTTATAGACTGCATTTTTACTCTACCTTTTCTATGCTTAGATACACAAAGACTTATTGTGTTACAGTTGCCTACAGTGTTTAGTACAGTAATATGCTGTACAGGTTGGTAGCCCCAGAGCCATAGGCTATACCATATAGCCTAGGAGTGTAGTAGGCTGTATAGCCATCTAGAGGTTTGTGTAAGTATACTCTGTGATGTTTGCACAAAGAGGAAATAGCCTAAGGATGCATTTCTCAGAACATAACTTTGTCAAGTGACACATGACTGTATTAAAGTCTGTGTAACCTAATACGTGTCAATAGATTTGTCTAGTATTGTGAGGTTTAAGCAAAATAATGAAGTCATCTTTCTTAGGAGTTTGGTTCTAAAAGGATACATCTTTTTCCTGTATAATTGGAATTATATTACTTGTAGAACTTGATATCCTACATTCGCTCTCTCATTTAACGTACACTAAGGATTTTCTCATGACATCTAAAAATATTTCTAACGTTGTGTTATTTAATCATTCTACTATTTCAGTTAGACATGTATTTTTTCCCAGTATTTTAATATTATAATGCTTTAGTTGACTAGCCCAGTGAAATTCCTTTTTCTGCATCTGTGTTCTTAGGATGGAGTCCTAGAAATAGTGATAAAACAGAATAAACTTGAAGGTTTTTTAATGCCAAAAAGCTTTTCAGAAAAGTTATATTGATATGTATAACCATTAACATAGAGTCAGAGTACTGATTTCATCCCACGTTTGAGCCACTAAGTATTAACTTTGAAAGTGCTTGATTTCAAAGTTTGATGATGAGCATTAATATCTCATTTTAATGCTGACTTTTCTACTTATATTTTAAATTATTAAGGGAGTACAAGCTGGTTAAGAAAAGCAAAGTACCGAGAAAATGAAAGCCACCTAAAATCTCCTTACTGAGAAATAACTTCAGGTTAATATTTTGATATATATTTACCCAATTATTTTTTTTATTCCTGTAGTTATACTTTACAGAATTTGTACATGAATTTTTAAGTAAAAACATTTCACAATTACAAAAATCAGCTGGGTGTGGTGGCATGTGCCTGTAAAACCAACTACTCGGGAGGCTGTGGCAGGAGAACTGCTTGAACCCAGGAGGCAGAGGTTGCAATGAGCTGAGATTGTGCCACTGCACTCCAGCCTGGGTGACAAAGCAAGACTCCATCTCAAAAAAAAAAAAAAATCACAAACATTTCCTAATCCCCCAGTCCTACACAAAGTAATTGGTAATTGCTTACTTCCCTGTGTTTCCAAAATACTTTTTTTCCCATAACACTTGCATATTAGATGATAGTTAACTCTTCTTCATTTCTTTTCTGCTTTCTGTCTCTGCTATTCATCTGTCAATAGAGAAAATACTACCTATAGATTAGTCATAAGAATTGATAGTACAAAATGATAATGATAGTACACCATACTGTACCTAGGATTTTTACCTTGTTAGTAGTCTTTAGGCTCCCTGAGGGCAAGGACTCTGAGCCACATTATTTTATCCTGATTATTCTACAGAGTTTGGCATATAGTAAATACTTAATGAATGTGTTTTTATTATTAAAAGCTATATGGTACTTTTTTTTTTTTTTTTGATACAGGGTCTCTCTATGTTGCCCAGGCCAGTCTCGAACTCCTGGGCTCAAGTGATCACCCGCCTCCACTTCCCAAAGTGCTGGGATTACAGGCGTGAGCCACTATGCCCAGCAAAAAGCAATGTAGTACTTTAAATGAATCTGCTGGTAAGTGGGTATGATAAACAAAAGGAAGTACAGGCATACCTCATTTTATTGCACTTCACAGACATTGCTTTTTGGTTCTTTTTTTGTTTTGTTTTGTTTTTACAAATGAAGATTTGTGGCAACCGTAAGTCAAGCAAGTCTGTCTGCGCCATTTTTCCAATAGCATTTGCTCCCTTTGTGTTGCTGGGTCACGTCGTGGTAGTTCTTGCAATATTTCAAACTTTTTCATTTTTATTTTATCTGTTATGGTGATCTATGTTCTGTAATCTGTGATGTCACTACTGTAATTTTGGGGGGGTGCCAATAGAAGATGGTAAACAATCAAGCAGTGTTGTGTGTGTTCTGAGTGCTCCATCGACCAGCCGTTGCCCTGTTTTTCTTCCTCTTCTCAGCCCCACTATTCTCTGAGACACAATAATATTGAAATTAGGCCAATGAATAACTCTGTAATGGCCTTAAGTGTTCAAGTGAAAGGAAGATTCAGGTTCTCTCACTTTACTTCAAAAGCTGGAAATGATTTAGCTTGGGGAGAAAGGCATGTGAAAGCCAAGCTAGGCCAAGAGGTAGGCCTCTTGCAACAAACAGCCAAGTTGTGAATGCAAAGGAAAAGTTTGAGGAGATTAAAAGTGCTACTCCAGTGAACACACAAATGAAAAGAAAGGGAAACAGCCTTATTGTTGATACGGAGAAAGTATCAGCTGTACTTTCTCTGTATTGCTGGTGATGGTCTGGATAGACAATCAAGCCAGCCACAACATTCCCTTAAGCCAAAGCCTATTCCAGAGAAAGGCATTAACTCTCCCTAGTTCTATGAAGGCTAAGAGAGGTGAGGAAGCTGCAGAAAAAAAGTTCAAAGCTAGCAGAGGCTGGTTCGTGAAGTTTAAGGAAAAAAGCAAGAGTGTTAGGTGAAGCAGCAAGTTATCCAGCTCTAGCCAAGATAATTGATGAAGGTGACTACACTAAACAGATTTTTCTATAGACTAAACAGCTTTATATTGGAAGAAAATGCCATCTAAGACTTTTATAGCTAGAGAGGAGAGGACAATGTCTGACTGCAAGGACAGGCTGAAGGACAAGCTGACTCTCTAAAGGACAAATGCAGCTGGTGACTTTGAGTTCAGTGTTCGTCTACCATTTCGAAAAATCGTAAGGCCCTTGGGAATCAATGCTATTTTTTTTTTTTTTTTTTGAGACACAGTCTTGCTCTGTCGCCCAGGCTGGAATGCAGTGGTGCGATCTCAGCTCACTGCAACCTCTGCCTCCCGGGTTCAAGCGATTCTCCTGCTTCAGCCTCCCGAGCAGCTGGGACTACAGGCCCGCGCCACCACGTCCAGCTAATTTTTGTATTTTTTTAGTAGAGACGGGGTTTCACCATATTGGCCAGGCTAGCCTTGAACTCCTGACCTCATGTTCCACCCACTTTGGCCTCCCAAAGTGCTGGAGGACTAAAAGCGTGAGCCACCTCACCCAGCCCAATGCTATTAATTAAATCTACTATGTCTGTGCTCTATAAGTGGAACAACAAAGCTTGGATCAGTTTACATCAGTTTACAGCATGCTTTACTGAACATTTTAAGCCCACTGTTGAGACTTACTGCTCAGAAAAAAAGATTCCCTTCAAAATATGTAATATTACTATTCATTGACAGGGTACCACCAAGAACTCTGATGGAGATTTACAAGGAGATTAATGTTGTTTTCATGCCTACTAACAAAATATCCATTCTGGCAGTCCAGGGATCAAGGAATAATTTTGACTTGCAAGTCTTATTATTTAAGAAATATATTTTGTTAAGGTTACAGCTGCCGTAGATAGTGATTGATTCCTCTGATGGATCTGGGCAAAATACACTGAAGACCTTCTGGAAAGGATTTACCATACTAGATGCCATCAGGAATATTTGTGATTCATGGGAAGAGGTCAAAATAGCATCAATAATAGGAATTTGGAAGAAGTTGACTCTAACCCTCATGGATGACTTTGAGGGCTTCAAGACTTCAATGGAGGAAATCACTGCAAATGTGGAACAGATAGCAAGAGAACTAGAATTAGAAGTGGAGCCTAAAGATGTGACTGAACTGCTGCAATCTCATGATAAAACTTGAACAGATGAGGAGTTGTGTCTTCTGGATAAGCAAAGACAGTGGTTTCTTAATTTGGAATCTGCTGGTGAAGATGCCGTGAACCATTGTGGAAATGACAACAAAGAGGATTTCAAAAATTCAACCTAGTTGACAAAGCAGTGGCAAGGTTTGAGAGCATTGACTCCAACCTTGTAAGAAGTTCTGTGGGTAAAATGCTATCAAACAGCGTTGCATGCTACAGAGAAATCTTTCATGGAAGGAAGGGGAAATCAATACAGCAAATTTCATTATCATCTTATATTGAGAAATTGCCACAGCCACCCCATCCTTCAGCAACCACCACCCTGATAAGTCAGCAGCCATCAACATTGAGGCAAGACCTTTCACCAGCAAAAGGAATATGACTCACTGAAGGCTCAGATAATCATTAGAATTTTGTGGCAATAAACTGATTTTAATTAAGGCATGTACATTTTTTTAGACATAATGCTATTACACATTTAAGAGACTATAGAATAGTGCAAACATAACTTTTATATTCACTGGGAAACCAGAAAATTTGCATCACTTGCCCTATTGTGATATTCACTTTACTATTACATTCACTTTATTACAGCAGTCTGGAACCAAAACCACAATATTTCCAAGGTATGCCTATGGATGAGTAAGAGATGGTTACAATAATACATGCCAAGCAGATAGAATTGATACCCAAACATTTAAAATTTAACTTGGAATGCGTTGTGTGATTTCTTGAGGGGCAATACACATTTGTCTTTGAAGAATATAATTAACCTTATTTACTTCTCTTAGTAAAATATTATAAAAGTGAATCTTCCAAAAAGGTAGTCTTTAAAGTTTTCAAGAGCAAAACATTTTAACTATTTTAAATGGAAGAATTTATACACATGTATATTTTTCTTCTTTCAAATAATATGTAGCCTATGATTTCACTTATTATGAAAGATAATAGTAGCTAACATTTATTGGTACTAACTTTATGCCAGGTCCAATATTGAGAGCTTTGCTTAAATTATTTAATTTAGTTTTGCAACTGTATTGGGTATGTACTGTTTTGCTTATCTTCCAGGTAATGGAATTGATGCCTGGAGATGTTAAGTAGCTTGGCCCAAGTTATTGAGTTTTTTTTTGTTTTTTTTTTGAGACAGAGTCTCGCTCTGTTGCCCAGGCTGGAGTGCAGTGGTGCGAACTCGGCTCACTGCAAGCTCCGCCTCTCGGGTTCATGCCACTCTCCTGACTCAGCCTCCCCAGTAGCTGGGACTACAGGCGCCCGCCACCACACCCAGCTAATTTTTGTATTTTATTAGAGATGGGGTTTCACCGTGTTAGCCAGCATGGTCTCCATCTCCTGACCTCGTGATCCGCCCGCCTTGGCCTCCCAAAGTGCTGGGATTACAGGCGTGAGCCACCGCGCCTGGCAGTTACTGAGATTTCTAATTTATCCTAAGTGGCATAGCAATACTTGTTATGCTTTTTGTTTGCTTTAGATGTTAGGGGGCAACAGGAAACAATTCTTTTTTTTTTTTTTTTGAGAATATCATAAGATTGCAGCAATTCAGTCATATCTTTAGGCTCCACTTCTAATCTGTTACCCAGGCTGGAGTGCAGTGGTGCAATCTTGGGTCACTGCAACATCTGCCTCCCGGGGCAGATGTTCCCAGCACAATTTTCGTGCCTCAACCTCTCGGGTAGCTGGGTTATGGACCAGCTACCCGACAGGCATGCACCACCACACCCAAGTAATTTTTGTATTTTTAGTAGAGACGAGGTTTTGCCTTGTTGGCCAGGCTGGTCTTGAACTCCTGACCTCACATAATCCACTTTGGGATCATTTCAGCCTCCAAAGTGCTGGGATTAAGGAGTGAGCCACCGCACCTGGCCGGAACCAATTTATATGGATTCATGTTAGTGATTTGGGGTCTTGTCTCCTTGATGTTAGCTGTTCCTTGCTGACATGATCGTTCCCTCCCTGTAATTTGCAGGAGAGACTTACGCTGTGGATTGTGAACCTGGATGACAACATGCTAACATTATATATTAAATTAAAAAATGTTCAGGCAGTAATTAAAAGCTGTAGGATACTCAGATAATCTAGGTTGAAGACCTGAAAGGCTACACAGTGTGGAGAGAGCAGGTGGGGCCTCTGAAATCAGGTAGACCTGGATTTAAATCCCAGCTCTGCCATTTACTGGTTGTGACCTTCAGCGAGAATCTCAATTTATCTTTGATTTGTTATCCATCAAACATGATCTACTTTGAAGAGTTGTTTTCAGTGATTCAAGATAATGAGTATAAAAGTGCTTGACACATAGAAGGCACTCAATATTCTGAAATGATTTAGCAGTGTCGTTGATTTGATTGAACAGAGATTTTGTTTTGCTTTTCTACTTACTCATTGGCTCTTAGTTGTGTTCTGAGTAATTGAAATAATCAGATACAAAATCAAGGTCACTTTTATTGCTTTTAATATGTCAGTTTATATTTTGGGTTTTTCAAAGAGATTTCAAATCTATTACTTTATGTCTTATAGGGTAAAGCTAAAATTAGTTTTTGTTCTTTGTTCTTAGTCATCTGTACTCATTTCCTATTCAAAATTATGTGGGCTTAATTTTATCCTTATTCCGTGATTTAATCTGTTTCAAATCTTGGCTTTTATTTTATAATTTATTTTTATTATGCACTCACAGGGAACAGTTTTCCCATATAGTTGAGGCTGTCTCCTCATTGTTGACTTACACTTTTAAAAAATCTTTGGCATCATTTTCTTTGATGGCCTCATTGAGTTGATGATCTTATGTACTGGATACTTTATGCAATTTTGATGTAATTTTAAATGACTAGAACAGATATTAAATGAGCAAAAAATGTCTGTTTTAGGTTAAAATACATTATTTCTAGTTTTGCTAAGATAGAAAAGTGCCTTAAGTAACAAAAAAATGGGCATAAAGTATGTTAAATCATGCATATGAAAAAATAGTTTCAAATGGGGGAAGTGTTTTCTAAACTACATTTCTATTACTTTGACTATTTCAGCTTATCTTTTAAGGTTAAATTTTGAGTTGTTTTAGCATTTTATTACATATGTGAAATATAGAAAATATAAAATGATAGTGAAAATCACCTATAATTCTTACCTAGAGATGACTTAAAATTTATAATTCTTTTTTTCATCTTTTAAAAAATCTATTAATCTTTATAAACACATTCTTTTTTAAAAGTGTATGCATATATAGTTTTGTTTGGTTCTTGCTTTTCATTCAGTATATCATAAGAGTCTTCCTGTGTCATAAACATCCTTTTAAGAGATTATTTTTATTAGCTGAATGGCATTCAACATATTTAAGTGCTGTAATTTAATTATGATATTTATTAAAATGTCACCAGTTTTTTAATTGTAATAACAGTGTGATAAATGTATATATAGGTCTGTTTAACATTATTGAATATATTTTTAACAAATTCCTAGATGTGGCCATGCAAACTGCCATCTAGAAAAGTTATACCAGCCGGGCGCGGTGGCTCACGCCTGTAATCCCAGCACTTTGGGAGGCCGAGGCGGGCGGATCACGAGGTCAGGAGATCGAGACCATCCTGACTAACACGGTGAAACCCCGTCTCTACTAAAAATACAAAAAATTAGCCGGGCGTGGTAGCAGGCGCCTGTAGTCCCAGCTACTCGGGAGGCTGAGGCAGGAGAATGGCGTGAACCCGGGAGGCGGAGCTTGCAGTGAGCCGAGATCGCGCCACTGCACTCCAGCCTGGGCGACAGAGCGAGACTCCGTCTCAAAAAAAATAAATAAATAAATAAATAAATAAATAAAAGTTATACCAATTTGTATTTCTGTCAGCAATGTATGTGTCCATTTCTCTGCACCCATCACTGTTTCCCCACACAGCCTATTTACGTTCATTTGATAGATAAGAATGGGCATAACAGTGCTAAGAAGCTCATTTTGTACAGTCAGAGAGATGGAGATTGAGTTCCTGCTGTGACACTTGGGGGTTATGTATGTGATCTTGGGTAGGTTTCTTATAAAATGTCCCTAAGCTTCAGTTTCTTTCTTTGTAAAATGGTGATAATAATACATATCGTGGTAATGTCATGGTAATGGTTGTAGAGATTATTTGATGGTATATATCGAAGCACTTAAATTCTTGAGAAATGTTAGCTATCATTTATTATGAATGTGATTCTCCTCATCATATGCTATATTTTATACTTGGTAGTGGCTGATATAAAAGAAAGTTATTTGTTTTTATGTAATCATCTGGCTACCTTACTGAATAACCCTTTAATGTACTGTTAGATCAATTGCAGGACCTAGTTCCAACACTTTTCAGTTGAGTCTCGTGATTTTCAGGTTCTATAATAATGACCCAATACTATCAGGGTTTTTTCAGTATTTCAATTCATACCTTTTTTCTTCTTGTCTTATTGCATTGGCTGAAATCAGAGAACAGTGCTGGTTAGTAGTAGGCATTCAGCCTTTTCTTTTCCAATTTTAATAGGACTTCTTGTTTTCTAACACAGGTATCTCCTGCTTATATACACATGTTCTGAAAATACCTGTAATGGTCAAATGTGATAAACTTAAAAATAGACTTACATGCCCTAGAGGGATTCCCTTAAATTATTAAATCCCTAAGTATCTTTTGTGAAACATCTTCAACAATATATTTTCAGTATTTAAGACGTGGTCTGTTTTTGAATTGAACATATTGTTAATCAGTTTAAATCCAGGAAGGCTGAAATTTTAATGATTCTATCCTTGTGTCAGTGGTATAAATTTTGAGACCTATTTTTATCACTGTTGTTCGTTTTTTATGTCATATCTATAAAATATGAGTAAAGGTAAATGATACAGTGTGTACAAAACCATTTATTCAAATGAAGTCTTTTTTTTGTTTGTTTTTTTCTGAGACAGGATCTCACTCTGTCACTCAGGCTGGAGTACAATGGCATGATCTCAGCTCACGGAAGCTCTGTCTCCCAAATAGCTGGGACCACAGGCACACACCACTATACCCAGCTAATTTTTCCTTTTTTTTTGTTTTTTTTTAAGACGGAGTTTTGCTCTTGTTGCCTAGGCTGGAGTGCAATGGTGCAATCTTGGCTCACTGCAACCTCCACCTCCCGGGTTTAAGCAAATCTCCTGCCTCAGCCTCCTGAGTAGCTGGGATTACAGGCGCCCGCCACCATACCTGGCTAATTTTTGTATTTTTAGTAGAGACAGAGTTTCACCATGTTGGCTGGACTGGTCTCAAACTCCTGACCTCAAGTGATCCGCCCACCTTGGCCTCTCAATAAGTGCTGGGATTACAGGTGTGAGCCACTGCACCTGGCCAATTTTTCCATTTTTTGTAGAGACAAGGTTTTGCCATGTTGCCCAGGCTGGTCTTGAACTCCTGAGCTAAAGCAATCTGCCTGCCTTGGCCTCCTAAAGTGCTGGGATTACAGGTGTGAGCCACCATACCCAGCCTTTCAGAGACAGTGTCTCTCTGTCACCCTGGCTAGAGCACAGTGGCACAATAATGGCTCACTGCAGCCTCAACTTCCCGGGCTCAAGCTATCCTCTCACCTCAGCCTCCCGAGTAGCTGGGCCCACAGATGCGTGCCAACACACCTGGCTTTTTTTTGTTTTGTTTTGTTTTTGGTAGAGATGAGGTCTCAGTGTGTTACCAAAGCTGCTCTTGAACTCCTGGGCTCAAGCAATCCTCCTGCCTCGGCCTCCTAAAGTGTTGTGATTACTGGCATGAGCCACCATGCCTGGCCTTAATGGAGTCTTAAGATCATGATCTTCATGCCCTCTTTACCTGGCTCCTTAGATATCTTTGCAAGAGCACTGTTTGAAAGCTCCTGCTCTCTCAAAAAAGGTTCAGATAATTTACAAACACCAAAAATGACAGTGCTATTGAAATGGAGCTTTTCAGAGGCTGGCAGACAAACCACATATGTGATATCATGATAGCATGAGGTTTTTATTAAATAGTTTTTGTACTGAAGTCCTAATTTAGCATGTAAAAAACGATTAAGTTTAGTGGCATATATACTACATGAAAATAAGGTATTCACAAATTTAGGTAATGTCTTCCTATTCTTAAGTTACTAAAATTTTGCTCCTGGACTCTTTTTCTACACTCTTCCAAAATAGTCCATCCAATACTGTATTTTAAAATACCATCCATGTGCTGATGACTACCATATTTATATCTCCGATCCTGACTTCTCTCTTGTACACTGCTGTCTTGTGGACAGCTCCACTTGGATAGCTATTGGTATCTGAAACTAAAATTATCTAAAACAGAATTTTTATCCCTCTAAATCTGTTCCTTTCTAAGTCTAAATGTTACTACCTTCTTCTCAGCCACTCAAATCAAATATCTAGAAGTTCTTGATACTTCCTTCATCTTCCACACTGAATCCAGTTTAAGAGCTGTTAACCAATACATGCAACAAGTTGAATTAACAAAGTTGTTCAATATTAGGAAATCTGTTATCATAGAATAAAACCTACCTGGTTAATGTATATTATTATAATTTGAATATACCGTATAATTTCTTTCTTACATTTAGAACTTTTGCATATAAGATTAATCTATTCATATATTTGGTTAGTTTGGGTGCCATCTTTGTTGGGCTTTGTCAGCAGTTAGGCTAGCCTCATAGACCAGTTGGGATGCCTTCAATCTTCAGTGTTGTAGGATAATCTAAGAAACATAGGAATTGTTAGATGCTTTGAGTTTTGTTATAGCATGTCTGTAGAATCTGTGGGTAAAGGATTCTTTGTTAGGAATGGAATCAAGTATATAAATCCTTAATAAAGCTCTCATTCCTTCCATGGTTATTCATATTTATAACCTCTTCCCAAGTCAGCTTTGATTATAGGTTCTTAATTTATTGGCATAAAGATTTATGCAGAAATGGCACACTTTAAGCATCCCTTTCATCTCATTGAATATTACAATGGTAATGTTATATATTTGTGGAGTTCCCTGACCTCCTGGTCATACTTTTTGGAGGTTATTCACTCATTCATTCCTTCATCATTCATTACCAGCTTTCCATTTTGTTAATGGGTTTTACTTTTTAATTTTGCTTCCTAATTTATTTATTTCTGCTTTTAATTTTATGCCTTTGTTCACCTTTATTTGGTTTGTCTGCTCATTTTAACACTTCCAACTTAAATATTTTATTTAGTTTGTTTCTTGTTTTCTATTAGATGCATTTACAACATAAATTTTTCTTTGACTGTCAGTTTGGCCATATCCTGTAGGCTATAATTTTATTGTCATTCATTTCTAAATAGTCTGTAATTTTTATTTCTTTTTACTACAGTTATTTGGAAGAGCATTTTAATTTGCAGATAGTGGGATTTTTAGATGGTTGGCTGGTTTGTTTTTGGCTTTCTATCTGCCTCTAACTTCTCATTTTTATGCATCATGATGAGAGTATATTTCTATTTTCCAGGTTTGAGTTTTTCCTCAATGCCTTGAAAAAGTTATTTTTCAAAAGTTACAGGCACAAATGTTTGCCTGAATCTCAACTTTGAAGTCAAGCAGCCCACAGTAAATTATTACGTGAATACCTGAGATACAGGGGTTGCTTTTGTTGTTGTTGTTTAAACACCTAAACCCTGGAGTTTAATGCCATCTCATTATTTAAGGCCTGTGGATAGGAGAAATAAAACTTCTGCTTGTCAGGGCTTTTTGTCCTTTTTGTGTAAGGATAGGGATGGTGTAACTTTCAAAATAAACGTATTTTTCCTAGTTTGTTTTAAAAATATTTGAGTTCCTTAAATGGAGTTTCCCTATGATATTAATAGTTCTCCACACTGATTGGCCCTAGTATGCTCCTTTCTATGGGTTTTATAGGATTTCTTGGGGATTGGAAGTTGAGCCAGCACCTATGGCTTTTCTTTGGCCCCCACTGTACTCTTTTTTACCAGTTTAATAGTATTTCCAGGAGCACTTCTGAATACTCTCCACCCTCACACTCAAGATTTTAAAGCTTAGGAAATAATAATTAACTCCTCTTTCCTGTCCTGCTTATGGATGGAATGAATAAACTGCCATAGGAATAGTAGAATTATAGAGATTATTCCACATTCTTGAGAATGGAGAAGGGTGGCAATTCTAGTGATTCCTGTAAGACAATGAACAGACAACTAATGCATCAAATCACTGCCCTTTTATTTCCCATTAAGTTTCCTACTCTTTAGTGTTCTGTCACTTCTGAGTACATTGAGAGAGCCTCTGACTGGTCCTAAGGTCTTTCAGACCCCTCTTTGGAATAGAACATAAGTAGGGAACAAGAAGCAGCTAATCTTTGAAGGCAAATTTGGATTCTACAAATTAGAAAGATATTCTGTACTAAAAGAAAGACTAGCTTCAGAGTGTAAGTAGTATAATTTAAAGTATGATTTTTAAAGAAAAATCAGGAATCAGCTTATAAGAAAAAACTTCACAAAATTAATTTTGTGGATTTGGTTGAGGTGGGAAATTGTACTGCTGGCGTGGATGTCTGGGAAGCACATACCAGGTTGGCAGCTGCAGCTTAGCTTCGAGATCATCCCGTGCTGTGATAGCACCTGAGTGAAGATGTGGCAGGTGGAGAAGGCACTTTGGAACTCCTGAGTGACAGCCAGAAGCCAGAGTGTTACTTTGGCAAGTGTGCTACCAGGTGCTGAGTCTTGGGCCTGAGCATTCCTCACGATAACAGGTAGATCATAACTGTTTATTTCCTACTTTGATAGCAAATGAATGTGCATTTTACTAGATTGGATACTTACTTGATGGTATACACCTAATGTGAGCAGGACAGTTAAACATGGATTTACATATGATCAAAATCCTGAAATAATTTATAAACCTACATACAGTGTATAGAATTCTCATATCCTTCAATATGTGATAGATTCTTACTCAACTTTTTTTGTTATCTCAAAAAAAAAAATCAGAATTAGAAGGTAAAATAAAAGTCAGTAACTTATTTTAGAAACACCAGTTCCGAAGACTTGACTCATTTGTCTAATTGCCCGATCTTTGCTTCCCCAGTAGCTTTTTTTTTTTTCTGAGACAAGTCTTGGTCACCCCAGCTGGAGTGCAGTGGCACGATCACGGCTCACTGCAGCCTGAATCTCCCTGGCTCAAGGATTCTCCCACCTCAGCTTCCCAAGTAGCTGGGAGTATAGGCACACACCACCAGGCCTGACTGATTTTTTTTTTTTTTTTTTTAGTTTTTGTGGAGACAGAGTCTTTCTGTGTTGCCCAGGCTGGTCTCAAATTCCTGGGCTCAAGCCACCCTCTCACCTCAGCATCCCAAGGTGCTGAGATTACAGGCGTGAACCACTGTACCTGGCCCCCAGTAGCTTTTTGATTACCAAATCCAATGGAGTAAAAGTTTTTTCCACAAATGAGAAATAGGGTAAGCTGCTCTTATCCTCCCCACATCCCCATCTTTCAGTGCATGTGCATGGTCATGCACACGTGCACACATGTACACATGAACACTCATGCATGTGAACATACACAAGCATAGAGGAGGAAAGGTGCAGGGATAAGGAAGGAGGTCCACAGACCAGGAACATACTAGGACTGCTGTCCTTATAATATCCATTGTATTTACATCCCCTCCTCAAAAATCCTTCACATATGTAGATGTTTAATTACCTTAGTCATGTAAGCATCGGAACACCTTCACTGATCTTCCTTTTGGAACATATACATATATTTTTGAGACAGGGTCTGGCTTTGTTGCCCAGGATGGAGTGCCGTGGCACTATCTTGGCTCACTGCAGCCTTGACTTCCCGGGCTCAAGCAATCTTCCCACCTCAGCCTCTCAAATAACTGGAATTACAGATGTGCACCATCACACCTGGCTAATTTTTTGTAGAGATGGGATTTTGCCTTGTTGCCCAGGCTGGTCTGGAACTCCTGGGCTCAAGCAGTCTTCCTGCCTCCGCCTCCCAAAGTGCTGGGATTATAGGTGTGAGCCACCACACCCGATCCCTTTTGGAATTTTGATTTTTGGTGGAAGAGATAATGGAAGGAGCAACTAGGAATAAAGTATTTAGATTGCCAAATGGCAGCACTAAGCGCTGAGAAGGGTTAAAGAAGGACTAGAAAAGGAGGTAGAAGAGCCACAGAAGTTAACCTCCTGCTTCCTTCTGATAACTGTCAGTTGCCTGCCAGAGGCCCTTTTCCTTGCCTTTCACTCTCCACTCCCAGTCAGTCCTGGCTCACTGGGTGTTGTAGAGGCCAAGAAGGACTGCAGAGTTGAGAGTGGTTGGTTTTGGCAGAGAATTATGGGATGGAAAGCCAATGGTTGCCTGACTGAACCAAGTCTGTTGTTTTTCCCCATTTCACTGCTATTCCTTCTTTTTTCTGTAAGTTATTCTTTCTGTTGTTCTAATTGATTCATTAATTCATTCATACACAGATGTGCATGCATATACCCGTCATCTCTCCTGCCCCACTGAATCCAGTCTCCTGGTTTAAAGTTCTTATCGCCCCCCCCTACCAAAAAAAAAGATTTAAAAAAAAGTCTTCTTTTGAAACCGTTCCTATCCCTCCCTGCCATCCCCAAAATAATCCTTCTATATCTTATTCTTTTCCTGCCAAACATATGCTGTCATCTCTCTCTAGCACATACTTATTTCTTAGCTAGGAGTTTTTAACCTGTGTTCCATGCTTCTCCAAAGAGTCGATAGATAGAATTTGGAGATTGTATGATGTTGAGTATGGGAAAAAATTTTCATCTTTTTTTTCTACAACCTCTAATTGAAATTTAGCATTTCCCTTAATTATGAATGTAAGCAACAAACCCAATGTTAATAGCAGTATTCACCCATAGAAATGATGTTTCCCTACATATTACAGTTGAAACAAATATCCTGAAATATTTACACTTTATGTCAAAATCATGTGAATAGATTTGCTGCTACATCTTGTTATTTTAATGTGTTAGTAAAAAGCACATATTTTACTGTACCACAATTTTTAATATTTTGAGGACTATAATATAATTGGCTTCTTTTGCAATTCAATCCTATGTTTTTGTTTTATGTATTGAAAAGCCTTACTTTGAAAAGAAGTCTGTAGACTTCATTAGACTGAGAAAGGGGTCTATGTTACAAAAATATGCCTGTTTATCCCATCTCTCTTCCTTTTGCAGAAATAGCTCTCTCAGGGACCATTAGTAACCTTGACCCACATCCTCTTCTCTGTGCCATCAGTTATTTTATAACTCCTTCCTCTTTTGTCTTTAGTATCAAATCCTGACTCAACTCATTGGCTCTATCTTAGAAAATATATCATGTTTGTTTCTCTTTTTTTCTGCATAACTTTAGGTAACTTAGTCAGCTTTTACTTAGACTATTATAAGACCTTCCTAAATTGTCATCTTTGAGTTTCTTGCCTCCCCAAAACTAATACAGCTGGAGTTGTCATCCTAAAATAGAAATATGTACTCAGAAACCTTCAGTGTTTCCCATTACCTTGCTAAAATGTGGGTAGAAGAACACTATTCCCTTTTTCAGAAACCTTCAGTAGTTCCCCACTACCAAAGGTGAAACTCCGTATAGCATTATAGACTTTCCATGAACCAGCCACATCCTGACTGACTAGCCGCTTCTCCGGGAGTATTCATCACACAGTTTTCTGTATGTTGTATCATCTCTCACGCCTCTGGACCTTTGATCCTGTTGTTCTCTGGGCAACAATCCTTTTTTTTCTTTGCCTCACCTTACTCCCCCTCCTTCTACCTAACACAGACACATATACCATAGGGAATATAGGAATAGTTTGTCACTGTCATTGTATACTCAGTTTATATGTCACCTCTCAGAGGCTTCCCAAATCTGAAGCAAAGTCTTTGTCTCTTGTACTCTATGACATATCCCTATATGCAGGCATCCCCTGTGTTTTACAGATATTCATTTATCTGGTTTCCTTAATACATTTTATAGTTCTTAAGAATAGCAACTTGTATTCATGTTTGTAACCTCCGTCTTTAACTAAGCATCATCTCTTTCTCATAGTAGGCATTCAGATAAATGTTTCTTCCGTGAGTAAATTAATTCATTGGATACTGGCTTAACCTTTCATTTAGTTTGACTGGATAATCGTGGACCATGCTGCTATTTTTCTGCTACTCATGAAAGTATTACTTTAAAAATGTATTATTTGTATAGAATTTTGAAGTAAAATTTGATCAGCTAGCTCATGTCTCTAAAATGCCCCAAGAACTAAGGTATTTTATATTTAAGTTATATGTCTAAATTATACCACTGTCAATAAAATAAACTCCTCATTCACAAGTATCATTTTTTTACACAAACGATTTTTAGTTAACAGTTATTTTAGGGGGAAAAATATTATGGCTTTAACTTTTCAATAATTTATAGATCTTTGGAGAAAGCTAACTGAAAAGTGTAGCAGTTTATGACTTTAGGGGAATTCTGTGGCTAGAAATTTAAATGTTAATGAAATTATAGGAGAGGTGGGAGAGTACTGCTGCTCTAAATTTGTCTATAGCCATTTATTTTATAATAATTTTTCACTATCCACCATCTATATTGTTAAACTGAAATGAAGGTTTCACTTCTCATTTTCTTTATTTTTATGTATTTATTTATTTTTTAGAGACAGGGTCTCACACTGTCATCCAGGCTGGAGTACAGTGGCACGATGATGGCTCACTGCAGCCTCGCACTCCTGGGCTCAAGCGATCCTCCTGCCTCAGTTTCTTCAGTAGTGGAACTACAGGCATGCACCACCACACCCAGCTAGTTTATTTATTTTTATTTTATTTTTTCATTTATTTATTTATTTATTATTGAGACAGAGTCTCGCTCTATCACCCAGGCTAGAGTGCAGTGGCGTGATCTTGGCTCACTGCAGCCTCTGCCTCCCAGGTTCAAGCAGTTCTCCTGTCTCAGCCTCCTGAGTAGCTGGGTTTACAGGCTCACATCACCACACTTGGGTAAGTTTTATATTTTTAGTAGAGATGGGGTTTTGACACATTGGCCAGGCTGATCTTGAACTCCTGACCTCAAGTGATGCACACGTCTTGGCCTCCCAAAGTGTTGGGATTACAGGCGTGAGCCTCCACACCTGGCCTATTTTGTTTTTTCATAGGATGGGGTCTTGCTATGTTGCCTAGGCTGGTCTTGAACTTCTGGCCCCAAGTGATCCTTCCACCCCTGCATCCCAGAGTATTAGAATTATGGGCATGAGCTACTACACTTAACTGTTTTCTCATTTTCTTTTTTTTTTTTTTTTTTTCTTTTTTGAGATGGAGTCTCACTCACTCTGTCTCCGAGGCTGGGGTGCAATAGCCTGGTCTTGGCTCACTGCAACCTTCGCCTCCTGGGTTCAAGCGATTCTCCTGCCTCAGCCTCACAAGTAGCTAGGATTACAGCATCTGCCACAATGCTCAGCTAATTTTTGTATTTTTAGTAGAGACAGGGTTTCACCATGTTGGCCAAGCTGGTCTTGAACTCCTGACCTCAGGTGATCCATCTGCCTCAGCCTCCCAAAGTGCTGGGATTACAGGCGTGAGCCACCACGCCCGGCCTGTTTTCTCATTTTCTGGAAGAAAATCTTTGTTTCCTTTCAGGTGCCTGCTATATTTTCTTCTAATTAAACTTCAGTTTTCTCCCTCTTGCCTTCACTCCTGCCCACCATTAAATCAATGTATTTCTTCTAAATCACTCATTTCCAAGCGTTCTTACACTTATGTTCCTTACCAATTTCTAACATTGTTTTCTAATTATTTGCACTAGCCAAAGTGTTAATCCCAGCACTTTAATCTTCAATAATTTTTTTAATAAAGAGGATAGGTATGTTTGGCTTTTCCAAACTAAATGTTATTTCCCTTTCCCTTTGAGAAACATTATTCTAAATTATTTTCTTTATTTTCCAAAATTCAAATGTTGAGATATCATGCACAAAGGAATAGAGTCGGGCATTTTAACTCTAGGGCATTTTAACTCTAATGCATTTGATTTCTTGGTTCTATAAATATGTGGTAAGAACTAATGGGACACAGTTAAAGCTTTTGCCTGCATAATATTCTTCTGTGTTACTAAGGAGAGACGTTTTAGAATTACAGTAATGAGAATATGGAATAAATAATGACAATCAGGTTTTCTATTTTTCTGTACTGCAATTTCATTTTTACACTAAACTTTTTTAAAGACACACCTCACCATTTACTATGTGACAATCACTGTTATAAGTTATTATGTATATTAACTCATTTAATCTTCATAACAACCCTATGCTGTTAGTGGTATTATCATCTCCATTTTATATTTGAGGAAAATGAGACACAGAGAGGTTAAGTAACTTGTGCAGGTTGCTTGGTTAGTTTCAGGGAGAAGGCATGGTATGGATTGGTTCTTATATCCATAAATTATAAAATCACCCTGTAGTTCATCCTCTTTTCTTTGTACTTTATACTAGAATAAATTGTACCCTGGAGTTTATTAGTAAGTATTCAGAGACAAGTTTCAGAATACCAGTAAGCCAGATCTCTGGAAATAGTAGTCCCTTTATAGGAACAAGTGGTCCAGTCTAGCCTAGCTTCCTTTGGCACTGGCCAGTTGGTTTGCCATTGAGAGCAAGTTCTGAATGGAATACCATACCACTTTTAAATCAACAAAATAGTGGTGGCTAATTGGTGGCAAAGCAAATAGGTTTAAAGAAAGTGACAAGCCATTCTTATGATTATTGATGTAAAAATTCTTAGTGAAATATCAGCATATGTAATCCTCCTCAAAGTAATCATATTTCTCTATTGGCTAATCTATTAGTATAATTCACAATATAAGTTAAAAATTTGTGATTGTCTAATAGATCATTTTAATGTAATCCACATTTCTAAATTTTTTCTCTAAATCTTTTATGTAGGAGAAAAATGTATTTCTGTAAATGATTTTTCAAAGGCTGTATGTAGTGTGGTATGTATATGTATAGATGTATATAAAGTTATAATTACATATAGCTAACATATGAATGCTTGCTATATGCCTTGCACTGTTCTGAGAGTTTTATATTTATTAGCTCATTAAATTTCAAACAACCATATTTTATCCTTTTTTCAACAATTGAGGAAACTAAGGCATGGGGAGGTTAATTTGTCCCACATGAGATATATATATATATACACACACACACACATATATATATATTATATATATACACACACACATATATATTATATATATACACACACACATATATATATACACACACATATATATATTATATATACACACACACATATATATACACACACACATATATATATTATATATACACACATATATATACACACACACATATAATATATATATACACACACACATATATATAATATATATACACACACATATATATATTATATATATACACACACACATATATATTATATATATACACACACACATATATATATTATATATACACACACATATATACACACACATATATATTATATATATACACACATATATATTATATATATACACACACACATATATATTATATATATATACACATATATATTATATATATACACACACACATATATATTATATATATACACATACACACACATATACACACATACTTTATACACACATATATATATATGTTGTATTAAAACACTAGAGTCATTCCCATTAATATCAGAAACAACACAAAGTCACCCTTGTTCTTTAATATTGTAATGCAGTGGAACAAAAGCATGGATCAAGAGATATAAAAATTGATAAGGACGAGGAAATCTGATTATTTTATATTATTATATACACCTGAAAAACCCAAGCGCCTCGGTGAAACACTACCATTAAGAATTCACTGAGACATGTAAATCTTTTTCACTGAAGTTTTGTGTATAAGAATAGGTGTTTCTTTAGACATGAACAATAACCAGTTAGAAAATATAATGGGGGAAGAAACACCTCCATTCGCACCAGCAAGAAGAAAAAGCAAAATATTTTAAGAAAAGTTTATTAAGAAATACAAGCCGGGCACGGTGGCACACACTTGTTATCCCAGTACTTTGGGGGGCCAAGGCAGGTGGATCACCTGAGGTCAGGAGTTTGAGACCAGCCTGGCTGACATGGTAAAGCCCCGTCTCTACTGAAAATATAAAAATTAGCTGGGCATGGTAGCACATACCTGTAATCCCAGCTACTCAGGAGGCTAAGGCAGGAGAATTGCTTGAACCTGGGAGGTGGAGTTTGCAGTGAGCCAGGATGGCGCCACTGCACTCCAGCCTGGGTGGCAAAGTGAGACCCTGTCTCAAAAAAAATTAAAATAAAATAAAATAAACGTTTAAGAAATATATAAGTTCCCCGTAAAGAAATCTAGGGAACTCTATTGAAAGATTTTAAAATTTTCAATAAACTGTCATTGATTGAACAATTTAATAAGTCAGCAATGCTTTTTAAGCACCTATTACTGTAGCACTATCTCCATCAAACTCTCAATAGCTTTTTGGTTAAAACTTGTCAAAGCAATTCCAAAGAGTATCTGGAAGCATGCACGTGCAAAAATAACCAGGATAAGAATATGAAAATGAGAAGACTTGCACACAGGGTACCCAATATATTACAAATCTACAGTTATTAACATGTGCTGCAGGCACAGAAATAGCAAAAGATCAGTGGAACACAACTGGAAGTATGGAAGTAAGCCCAAGTTGATAAGATATTAATATAAAATAGGATCATCACTTCTCTTCTCAAAACCCTTCAGCAGTTTCCCATCTCAATATAAAAGCCAGTTCCTTCATGTGACCTAAAACCTTGCTACTTAAAGTAGTGGGGTCCAGGGACCAACAGCAACAGCATCACCTATGAAATTGTTAGAATGTGGAATCTCAGACTCCATTCCAGACATCCTTCAATCAGAACCTTCAAGACGCTTATATGATTCAAATGCAGTTTAAAGCTTGAGAAGCATTGTCTTCTAATGCACTACATGACCTGGCTTCCCTTAACCTTGCCTTTCCTGCTTCTTCTGGCTCTTCCCTTGGAGGCTCCTGACCACCTTGCTGTTCCATGAGCACACCATGCACACTCTCATCTCACAGCTTTGTTCCTGTTTGTCTTCATCCGTTCCTGCTGCTATCACCAAATACCTTACACTGGGTAATTTATAAATAATAGAAATGTATTGCTCACAGTTCTGGAAGCTGGGAAGTCCAAGATCAAGGTGCTGGCAGCTTCGATGTCTGGTGAAGTCCTCTTCCTCATCAGTGGGGTCTTGTCACTGCATCCTCTCAGAGTGATAGCGGGGCGAAGGAGCTTGCTCAAGCCTCTTTTATGAGGGCACTAATCCCTTTCACAAGTGCGGAACCTTGTGATTTAATCACTTCCCAAAGGCCCCACCTCTAAGACTATCACATTGGATGTTTGTTTCCAATATATGAATTTTGCAGGGACACCAACATTCAGATCATAGCCCTGTTATACATATCCTTTCACTTTGTTTAGGTGGCTGCATAAATATCACCTTATCTAAGACGCCTTCCCTGATTTATAATTACCATCACCTGACATGTATTTATTATTTAAATTCTCTCCCCTGCCTCTTAAAACACACTGCACTGAAACCTTGGGGAGAGGAGAGGACTTGCTTTGTTCTTACTGTAGCCTCAGTGTTTGGCACCTAGGAGGTGCCCATTTGCTAAGGGAAATGGTCTCTGGTCACAACATTTTTATCAGCCTATCAATATATGCCCTTGTTTTATGTGTGTTTCTGTTTAAAGATGCCTTATTTAATATATATTGTTGATTCATTAACATTGAACTGATGGCCAACAGCACTCTAAATTACACCTAAACAAAGCCCATCTAACAGTCATATTTTCTCTATAAGGCACATCACAGCCTTCTTGCACTTAGGAACACTGGACAGCATTTTGGCTACGCTCAGGGCCATTTTAAGCAGCAAATTCACCAACAAAACACAAAAATGGGAAAAACGTAGCACTAAATAGACCTCAAAGAAAAGGACACTTGACTTGTTTACAAAGACATGAAACACTAAGGCAGAGCTTCTCATTCAGCCTCTGCTGGAACATATGCCTTGGGGAACTCAAATTTTTCACCATTCTCCCTGCACACTTGTCTGTGGAATGACCTAAAAATCACAAGTGTTAATTTAGGGGTTAAAAATAAGTTTTAGCAAGTAGGCAAATTTGCAAAGATGGGGAATCTGCAAATGATGAGGATCAGCTGTGTGTCATTTTTCAATCACTGTGTATTGAGTTTCTACTGTGTGCTCTACTCCCAGGATTATGCAGCACTTAAACATTGATCAGTTCCTATCCATATGCCAGACCCTGTGCAAAACTCAAATAATTTAAAGATGAATTTAACAGTGTTTCAGGTATGGCTGAGTCAGGTATTTAGCTAATCTTCAATAATAATGGGTAGGATTTTAACAGGTGAAACTGTGGAGAAAAGTACTTGGGAAGAAAGAAACTCTGAAGTCAATTTCCGTAACCTTGGCTACACATTAGAATCACTTGGGAAGCTTTTAAAATGCCTCTGGCCAGGCTTCATCCAGACTAATAAAAGTAACATCTCTAGGTGGGACTTTGGCATCAATATATTTTAAATCTCCTGAGGTGATATCAATGTATATCTAAAATTGAGAGAACTGCCGCTTTAAGTACCTGTGTTTGGCTGGAGAATAGGTTATGTGAGGGAAGTAAACAAATAAATCCAGAAAATAGATTTTGGTCCAGGTATTGGAAGGCTATTATTGATTTAGCACATTTGTATTCACCTGCTGTGTGCCGGGCACTCTTCTATGTGGTGGGGATACTTCAGAAAGCAAAACACAAGAATCCCGGCCCCGTTAGAGCTAACAATCGAAATGCTTTGGCAGCTGTTCAGGATGATTCATATTCCAGATTTAACTTTTTATAGTATATGATGATTTGTATTTAGAAGGAATCTTGTCCTAAAGGCTCAGAATTCTTAATTTAATGCCTAAAATCTTACATCACCTTTTGATATGTATAGAACTCTAAAGAAAAGTTTTGTTATAAACTTTTGTGCTAATCTCACTGAGTGTTTTCTAACACAGCAGTTCCTTTTTTTTTTCTAGCCTTTTGCACAGCAGCACACTTGTCTAAAATCAGTAGTATGCAGTTATTTAAAATCAGTAGTGTGAGGCCATTGGAAATTATAACTCAAGCTTTTCATTTTCCCATCTTACAAGAACACTGATGTAGAAAGAAGTATTTTCTACATTGATTCTTAATAAGAGTTTATGTTGAGAGCAAACCTAAAATTTACAAAGTACTTTTCTTGGGTCATAGTGGGTTTGCAGCTCGTTTTGGATTATTTCCCATATACCATATTTTATTTTTTTTCCTGAATTCCTGTACAAGCATGGTAATATGTTGTTTACACACTCTTATGGACTCTTAATAAAAACAGACCTAAACACATAACTC
Source organism: Homo sapiens (assembly GCF_000001405.40). Lineage (NCBI taxonomy): Eukaryota > Metazoa > Chordata > Mammalia > Primates > Hominidae > Homo > Homo sapiens. Next base: position 110,121,967 of record NC_000011.10, read on the forward strand.
TGTTTTAATTCTGATGCAATTATCCTTTGTAGTCTGTCTGTCCATTTCACTTTTTAACAATGCTTTGGTCAAGCAGTTTTTAATTAGTTTCCTAAGTAAATTATTTAACACTTAAAGAAGAACAAGACATGCACGTATCCTCATTTGGTACAAGCAGCCTAAAGATATGATTGTGCAGATGAGCAGCACATACCAGGTGGTGGCTGAGGATGTCAGAGAGCGTGGCATCCGAAGGAGAGATGAGATGACGTCTGACCAGGCTTTGATGGTGATATTGTGAATATTCTTACCATACAGTGTCATTAAACTACCATCAGTTATTTTATAATTTCAAGATATCTTATGTAGACATTTTCTTTTGTATAAAATACGCATTTTTGGTCATCTTTTTCTGACAATTTCAGTTATACTTAATATAACCACGAGTGTATTTTGTTAACATGAGTGATAATCAATCATGTGCCTTCTGCTTTTAAAAAAAAATCATACGTAGTCCTCCCTTATCCTCGAAGGATATGTTCCACCACCCACAGTGGATGCCTGGAACTGTGGCATACATATATATACAAATGGTCCCCAATTGATGGTTGTTCACCTTAAGATTTTCAACTTCATGATGGTGCGAAAGCCACATGCACTTGCTAGAAACTGTACTTCAAGTACACAGATACCATTCAAGTGTTTTTCACTTTCAGTACAATAAATTACATGAGATAATCAACCTTTATTATAAACTGGGCTTTGTGTTAGATGATGTTGCCCAAGTGTAACTTAATGTTAGTGTTCTGAGTACATTTAAGGTAGGCCAGGATAAGCTACGATACTCAGTATGTTTAAATGCATTTTCAACTGATGATATTTTCAACTTAAGATGGGTTTGTCAAGACATAACCCCATTGTAAATCAAGGTGTATCTATACTACATTTTTTCATTTCTCCTCTAGCCAGCTAACAGGCAGGTGGGGTCTATAGTGTGGATACACTGGACAAAGGGATAATGCACATCCTGGGTGCCACAGAGCAAGTGGGCAGTAGATTTTCTTATACTGCTCAGAACGGCACACAATTAAAAATGTATTAATTTATTGTTTATTTCTGGAATTGTTTATTTCTGGAATTTTGCATTTAATATTTTCAGACCATAGTTGACTGTGGGTAACTGAAACTGAGGAAAGTGAAATGTAGATAAGGGGGACTACCGAATGTCCTCTTTGACTCATGAGTTTTCTCTTCCCATACACTAGCTGCCTCAGAACCTATTACATCAGCACTTTGGATGTCATTTGCATTCCTTGTACTTTTCTAAAATTCCTCATTCCGTGAGTATTTACAGGTTTTGTAGGAATTGAAGATAATCTTTTTTAAGAGCTATTTGCTTAATGAATTTTTTAAAAAACACTAAATGGGAAACTAATCCCTGGAAAATATTGGATGAAGTCCTGGGATATGAGTTATATTTTCATTTAAAATGAATGTAGAAGAGTTTCTTTGTCTTTAGACCAGTGGAAAGGAATGTTGTTTTTGTGGATTTATTTTGTATTTGTTTCTGGTTCCTAAACAGAATTGAAGGTTATCTACTCTTGATGACATAGGACGGAAAGATTTTCATAAACCTTAAGAATTTTGACTTTGAGGAGCATTATCTTTCTTGTGACTGAATTTTTTTCTTCTTTTTTGAACTTAATCCCCTCAAATGTGTTAGACAAGTGGTCTGATTAGAGTTAATTCATACAGTTTTTATTACCCTTTATTTTTCTTAGTAGTTCTTTATAACAAAACTCTTTTTATTCTTGAGTATTGTTGGAGTTTGAGGGGTCTTTTTCCTGCCTTATTTCTCAACCAATTGAGAAACAGACAAAGGAGCCAAGCACATGGAGATCAAAATAGCAGCCCTTTCCATCCATAGAACTATTGGAGAGAAGGTGATTTAAGAGAACAGCATAAAGAGCTTAGTAACACTGAACCCCAGAATTAGATTTAACCATCCAGTCCCAGGCCATGCTGGAGGGCAAAGCACCCAAGTGTTTTCTGCCTGTGGGCAGATCTCAAAGAGAAATGTGCAGTTGAAAAGGACTGGTCCTTACAGACTTACCCATCAAAGTGATCCTCAAGTGGGGAGGCAGAAGCTGCAGTGGAACTTCCGCAGTTGCAGCTCTAGTTGGGAAGAGAATCCAGAGGAGACTGCGGGAAAAGACCCGTCATCACTGGGAGTCTTGAGCTTCTTTGAATGTTGGAAGCAGCCCCAGTGGCAGTATCAGGGCTACAAGAACTTTGCCAATGGCCGAGGGCTCTGATAAACCCACCCTGTCACAGGGAGAAATAAAGACTAGCAGAGCAGCATTTTTGTTCTTGTGAATGCCTGCATTCAAATTTGCAGGGGTCTATTTTTTTTTTATTGGTCGATTTTTCACTTGAAGATCTTCTAGAGATCAGCACACTGCTGCATGCCATATTGGTTGTACTATGTAGATTATGGGAGAATGAATGGTTCTGCTCTCAAGAAGCCTACATCCTGGTTCATAAATAAATGCTAAATTGTACTGTACACACTATTCATGTTACAGAAGTTTGAAGGAATTGGAAAGCAATAAAAACCGAACTAGTCCAAGAAGGCTTTATGGAAAAAATAAGTCTTGAGCTGGGCTTAGAACAATAGATAAGAACTGGATAGGTGAGGCTGTAGTGCAAGACAACACTTAAGGCAAAGAGACATCTGTGCCCTCACTTTTGCTGTCCCTTCACCTTAAGTGGGAAATTAGATTACAGGGCCAGAGGAGGCCCCGTTTGTAGATGGAGCCTCGAAAACAAAACAAAGCAGAGGACCAGAGACTTGTGATTTGCAGCTGAGATTTTTTTTTTTTTTTAAGCAGAAGAGTGATGTCATTGAAAATTACTTTGGCAGGGAGGTACCTAAGGGATATTCAAGGAAGGAGATAAATTAAGATAATCTAAGCCTGGGGGAATAAATGCTTAGCCTAAGGGATGCTCATGGCCATGGGAATGAGAAAATTGGGAAGAGAAAAATAATCAAGAATTGATTAACTGGATCTTCAGTATGTATTAAATGAATGAAACAATTGAGAAATAGACAAAGGTGTCTATGAGGTTTTAAGAATGCACTGTTGCAACAATGATAGCTACTCTTAAGGAAAATGGGGAATGAGATACACTGTTGCTCATAGATGTGAAAACGGAAGCCAAGCAATACATAAGTTCTTCAAGACTGATAAGTTTATTCCATTTCTACTTCCTCTTTTAAGTCATTTGGATGGATTTTATGGGAACCATATAGGATCTCTCACTAGTGTGTGTGTGTGTGTGTGTGTGTGTGTGTGTGTGTGTGTGTGTGTGTGTGGTTTTTTTTGTTTGTTTTGAGATGGAGTCTCGCTCTGTCATACAGGCTGGAGTGCAGTGGTGTGATCTTGGCTCCCTGCAACCTCCACCTCCAGGTTCAAGGGATTCTCCTGCCTCAGCCTCCCGAATAACTGGAATTACAGACACATGCCACCATGCTAATTTTTTTGTATTTTTAGCAGAGACGGGGTTTCACCATGTTGGCCAGGCTGATGTTGAACTCCTGACCTCAAGTGATCTGCCCGCCTTGGCCTCCCGAAGTGCTGGGATTACAGGCGTGAGCCACCATGGCCAGCCTCTCTAATGTGTTTAATGTCCTTCTGTACTGGGTGTCTGATGTTCTGTCCACCTAGCATTTTCCTGCTCTGCTTCTGTTACTATCACCCCACCTAAGGAATGCCCCGCCACCATCTCCTTACGGCCTGACAGGGCAGCCCATCATGGCCCCACATACATCTGGCCACAGTACTAGGGCAAACAGGTGAGTAACATGACTTCAGCTGTGCTCATCAGATTCTCTGTCTCAGGAATTTGAACCTTGAATGGAGAACACAAGGTCAGAGAACATAGTGCTGAATCATCAGAGAGATAGTCTAGAAGCTCTGCAAATGAAACCCGGGGTTTAGTCCTCATCTCTGACCTGAAGGCTTGAATGTTGAGATCTCTTTCTGACCCTGAGAGCTCCTTCGTGTTCTTCCAGTAAATGTCCCAAGCCCTTTCTCAAAAGTCCTGTTTTTCTTGCTGATGAATAGTAAATTGATATGCATCTATTATTTTTATTTACCTATTGGTAGTTGCTTAGTATTTTTAGGAGCAAATATGATTTACAAAAAAACATGAGTTCTGATACAATTTCTTTTAGGATTTGAATAGGAAAAGTAGTTGTTGTTTTCTTCTTTTTTTTTTTTTTTTTTTTTTTTTGAGATGAGGTCTCACTCTGTTGCCCAGGCTGGAGTGCAACTCCAGCTCACTGTAGCCTTGAACTCCTGGGCTCAAGTGATCCTCCTGCCTCAGCCTTCCGAGTAGCTAGAACTACAGGCATGTGCCACTATGCCTGGCTAATCTTTTATTTTTTATTTTTGAGATACAGGATCTCCCTATGTTGCCTGGGCTGGTCTTTAACTCCTGGGCTCAAGCAGTCCTCCTGCCTCAGCCTCCTAAAGTGCTGGGATTATAGGTGTGAGCCACTGCACCCAGTTGTTTTTCTTTCTTATTATTAAAATACCAACAGTTTACTTAATGGCTATGGAGGTAACTATATCATGGTGATAATTTTAATCTACCTTCCCCTCAGCCCCCACTTCCAGTAATGAGATTAATGTTAACAGTAAGAAATGGCAGAGATGGCCATGTTACTGGAGGAAGTATGAGCAGAAAATGTGTTTGGAACTTTTTTCATTTGCACTGCATGTTCCAATAATGCTACTTTCATTGATTTTTGTTGTCTTCCTTATTGGTTAATAATATTAGTTATTTTCTACCCAATATTCATATTTTAATGAATAAATACACTAATATTAATGTACTTTTTCTACCCCATATTAATACTTCTCTATGAGCTTTATTTTATATAAAGTTATTTATATTTGATGATTTATTTTAAACATATGATCTTGATTACAGTTGAGATCTTTTTTCTTACAGTTAATGTTAAATATAAAGGTATATTTTTCCAGAAGTTACTTTGGGTGGATTGTATTCAGGGCTGGCTTCAAATATGGGCTAATGTTGGGACTTTCGGCGTCTGCCTCTTCTCTGAAAAGTGGCATGGTTTCATGGACAGAAAGGAATTAGGAGAATGTCTAACGCTTTCAACAGTACTTTCTGGAATGGGCATGTCTCAGATGTTTATCAGGTTCTTGATACATTTGACCCTACGACTTTCTGTTAACCAGTGCTCCCTATATCTACAGCAATTTATTTGTCTTTAATTCATACAGGCAATATTCTTAGCATTGTTTTGTGGTTTAAAGTTAGTCTTTAACACTTTTCAAATAGCACTCAGAAGAGTAGCTTTCTACAAGAGAGCTCATGGCCTGTCTGACTTCCTAAATATAATAACTCATAGATACTAGAGTTAATGCCTATTTGATTTTTTACTCTATTCTTTTACACTATGTGTGTGAATTAGCTTTTGTTGTTGTTGGTGGTGGTGGTTGCTTCTTTTTTTAACACTCAAAAATAATAGTTTTTGGTTAAAATTTTAATTTCAACGTTTTGGGGACAGTTGGGAAAATCTGATATAATAATCTTACTTCCATGGTGTTATCATTAGGATCAAAAGAAATTATAGGCTGGGTGTGGTGGCTCATGCCTGTAATTCAAGCACTTTGGGAGGCAGAGGTGGGCAGATCACATGAGGCCAGGAGATTGAGACCAGCCTGGGCAACATGGTGAAACCCCATCTCTACTAAAAAATACAAAAATTAGCTGGGCGTGGTGGCTGGGGCTTGTAGTCCCAGCTACTTCGGAGGCAGAAGCTTGAGAATCCCTTGAAGCTGGGAGGTGGAGGTTGCACTAAGCTGAGATTGTGCCACTGTACTCCAGCCTGGACAACACAGTGAGACTTACTCTCAAAAAAAAAAAAAAAGAGATTACATATTAAAGAGAGTGGTCCCAGGAAGTGAACTCAGATCACTGCTGGCAAAGATAATTGATGCCATACCCCCACATCAAAGCTTACTTGTTTCACATTCATACGTCAGAAAAAGTACAAGCCCCTCTCAAATGGTTCAAGTTTCAAATATTAGACCCACCCATGGCAAAGACAGATTTTAGTATAATACTCCTAAAACTACACTGTCTTTTTTTTTTTTCTGTCATAAGTGTGCATTGTGCTCAGTCATTTATTTCAGTGACCCAAACAGAGCCCAGTCCAGCTGTTTGTATTTTCCCTGCAGTGGGAAGTGGACTAGGGCCATGTGACTAAGAAAGCCAGCCTGGGGGCTGTCTTTTCACCTACAGATGTTTTAATGTGCTTAACATTATCCAATACTAGCAACCGAGATAGTCTAAATACCACAGCAGGATCTGATTAGCTTTTTCAGATCACTGCCTTTATTTGCTGTTTGCAAAAAAGCTTAATCCAGTGCTAGAGATCAGGCTTCCTGCTGAGCCCTGGGGTAGTTTCTCTCATTCTTTGTGTTCACAGTGGCAGGCGTTAGTGAGCAGATTCCTCCTCCTCCTAAATTAAAGCTGTAAAGTAGTAACTGTAGTAGCAAGGGATAAAGAGAAGGAAGAAAACCCAAGGGAAAAAAGAAGACTGTCTATTCATACCAAGTAGTTTCCTTGATATACACAAAAGAAAGAGTTTCTAATATGAATTCATAAATACTGACCTCAGTGTCTCTTCTACTCAGTGCACAGCTATTAAGTTTTATTAGGTTTCAGTTGTAACTACTTTGTGTGGATATATGTTACGTTTTTCATATTTATCCTACTCAATCAATCTCAGTTTTACCAGAAGAATTACATTTATTAGCCATAACAGTGGCCCTTCTCTTATTCTTTTCAGGGCTGATATCTTTTTTATTCATGAGATTTCAAAAAGAACTATCACCACCACTAACAAAAAAAAAAAAAAAAAAAAAAGAGATAAAGTCTTTCTTCATTTCTGGGACATCCATTTGCTTACCCAATATGTGACATTTGAATTCTGTGTAATTTACATTGTAATTTGCAATAAGCGAGAATACTAGAGATGCTTTATCTTGATCTTTGATGGGTTTATGAAATGAGACCATCGCCTTAACTATTTCAGTAATATTGCTATAACCCTTAGCAGAAGAAAGAATAGGTCTTACTTTAGAAATTAGTTTGTCATTCAGAACCTAGTAATTATATTTAGTTCAAAAATATTTTCACTGATTTTTAAATTTCCTACCATTTTTAGAATGGCATACATCAATAAAATATTGGAACTCTCTTGAGGAAATATCTGTAAACAAATGATGATCTGTAATATGGTACTTTATCTTTTAGTTTTCTTTCTGGAAACAATAATAATTTTCAGTTTTTAGTAGGCAGAAGGAGTGTTTTCAGTGCGATAACTGAAACATCTTAACCATGTAGATCTTCTTATTTTGTAAATAGAGACGATCTCATTTGCATTTGAGTAGGCACAATAAGGACAAGGCCAGGAGTCCCAAACTAGTGTTACTTTTTTCCAACTATTCACAAATGATCCTAATTGTGTGTAGCTTCTGTATTTGTGTATAAAAGGAGATTGATTTTGATTGTTTTGGGTACTTTTTATATCTTTAGAATTCATGATCATATAATGAAAAAGTCTAGGCTCTGCATAAATCAGCCTATAGCAGAAAATTGTATGTAAAGAGCAGTTCTTTGCCTTCACTGTTTTAATTTGCACTGGAATGAAAAGGGAATGTGCGTGCTTGTGTTCTACATCACGTAAGTAAATAGTAGAACAGCTATAGATTTCCTTTTTCTTTAGTAGGGAAATATCCTTACAATGCCTTATAGTATTTACATTTTGATTGATTTTTTTTTTTGTTCATAATCAGAGGCCACTCCAAGTATAACTTACGCAGCCCACAAAAGCAAGTAGTACATAGTATTATACATATTGCAGCCTGAAACTTTGAAATAAATCTGGGATAACAAGTTTACTCACGAAAGGGGCTTATTTTTATATACTTTATACACTACAAAAAATCATAGTATTTATAATGTTAACTTGTTCCTGAGCTGAAATTTGAGTATTACATCTTACAAATTTTATGAAATACAAATACTTTTAAACAGTTATGTTGTATATTAAAATATAATGAAAGACTTTGCTTCTCTTTAATTACGTGGTTAACTAGTATCCATAGTAAAAAAAATTTTACACTGCTATTGGCATACATAGGATAGGTTATTCTGATGATTTTAAGTTGAAGTTAAATAATTCTGTCTAAATCTACAGTTTAGGTAACTCATTTGGCACAAAGTTAGACAGAACTTTTGTTTTATCTACACTTTCAGTGAATTTTTAAAAATCAGTTCTATTTGTGATCTCTTAAGTCTTTTTCTTTTGCAATTGTATTTTCATCATCTCTTCTTTTTGTTTTCTTGTCTTGCAACAAATTAACAAATACTTAAAACTACACATTTTCCACTATTTCCAGGGAAATAGTTTGACTATACCCTTCTGTCTCATTTCACCAGTAACTCATTTATTAAAGACAGGGATTACTGCAATAGTTAATTGCTACTTTGACACACTTCATTTTCTTTAATAAAAATGAAAAGCTAATAGACTACAGTATAGCCTCAACTTTTTGGAAACATGCAACTTTTACTACTTTAAAATATAATTGGTTTCTTTGTTTCGTGCATTAAAAACAAGGAGGAAAAACTGAAGTCTGCCCAAGCCAGGTGTTTCTTGTTGGCAGCCTGCTCTCTAATGACTCCGCTCTCATAGAGCAGCTGCCTACTAGTCAGCTTTGTATGGCCTATTGTTGCTGCACACCCCTCGTTAATACACATGCTGCCCGGGGCAGACCCTGCGAATGACATCAGCTTGCTTATCTTAGAAACCTACGAACCTGACGCAGGGTGCTGAGGTTGTCTTGCATCTGCCCGGCCAACTAATTGTGAGCTTTCTGGCCTATGATTGGCTGTTATTCCACTCGGTAATAGGTTAAGCAAAGACATTACCATTCCATCTGTTCAACCATTCATTGTTCTTCTTGCCTGCCTGGAAGTCTGCAGCTAAAATTGTGTTAAGGAGTTTACTGCTGAAGCTGCTACAGAAACCAATGTCTTTGTATTTTCCTGCTAACGTGAGTATTTGTGCTACTTTAATGCCTTGGAAGTTAAACTTTGCTAAATATTCAGAGTATTAATTTGAACTCTGTAAAAGAAATCACCTCCAATGAAAGTCTACAAATTATTACATAGTGCCAACATACCAGAAAATTAAGTTATTTTTGTGAAATATGTCTGCGAAGCAGATTTTTACACTTTTCTAGTCTAGAGTTATATAAATAATTACTTAGAGCTTCATGAACATTTATAAGGCATTAGGCATGGCGTATAATCATTTGGAACTTAAAGTCAAGTTATAATAAATGTTCCGATATTTTTGATAAATGGTGGATTTAAATCTTACCTTGTCAAAGTCTTAAGTTTCTTAAGATGTCACTGTCGTACCCAGGTGCTATAAAATGATAAGATTTGATAGAGCTTTCTGTTGTCTTAAAAGTCTAGCTTGGGGAGATGGATTGATGTAGGTAGATGTCTCAACTTGTTTTAGATGCGATGATTAAGCATTCAGTTGCTTTGTCAGCAATCTCAGTATTCATGTACAGCTTCTGATTTCTTCACTCTCACCTTTCTTCTCCCTTACATTAGTTTCAGACATTAGATGGAAGATGTCATTCCAAGAACTATTTTCTTCAAGAGTTCTGTAAAGGGGAAGGGAGGAAGAAACAAAGACGTGCATCTATCAGTTGGGAGGGAAAGAAAGAGCATAAAGGGTTAAAAAGAGGTTTTCATTTCTACCACATGCCCTATTGTGCGAACATATGCATAAGTCTATTGAAAGTTTTCCGAAGATGGGCAGGCCACCAGTTGCTGGTCTCCTGCAGTTCCAGTAGACATCTGTTGCCCCAGAGCATTAACCAATCTGTTCAAAGGGACATCCCTCCTTTGTTAGCTAGAGGGATGCAGACAACAGCACTCACTCAAATACAATGGTAATTAAATACACAGAGACTGCAGCAGTAGGTATTTATTACATATTCATTATTTTATTTTTATTGTTCTCATAGTATTACCATTTGGATAACAACCAGAACCCACTTTTATGGCATTGTAACTTTACATTACAAACAAATAAGTCGGCTTAACAAGTTTATGGTCTAATATTCCTGATTAATATGAGGCTCTTTAGAATAGAAAAAAGATTTTTTTTTTTAATCTGATTTGAGACGAAGAATTATCCAAGTTAACTAATGAGAACTTTCAGAAAATTTGGTCACTCGATGGAGGAATTTCAGTGTGTGCAATAAATTTCTAGTGAATAGCCATTATGTTGTAAACCTGCATTCAGCTAGTACAAAGTTTCTTTTTGATAATTAAAAGAATTAGCTACACTTCATCATCATCTACAAAATTAGCATGAACATTTAGTTCTTTTTCAACAAATAATATTATTTAATTTTCAACTTGCCTTCTAGCAAGAAAAATTGAGTTTCCAATACAGTATCTGGAAGGAATTTATAGATTTATAATTATAGAAATCTTCACAAATCACTATATATTTGCCCAGTTCCTTTTGTGTTCAAGAATATAGTGTCTTTAGGTCAATTACAGTGGAGCCCTGATAATACAGTTTAAAAATTAGCTGCATTTCTTGGAGTTTTTTGATAACTATGGGAGTAAAAACTGACCTACTTTGTGAAACTTGGACTATGCTGCTTCATGAAATGAGCAAAATTACCCTTATCAGTTAATATTTCATTGATTAATTTAAGATGGTTTATATGAGTTTACGTTTTAGTAAATGCAAACTTAAAAGTCTAATAATTTTTTAAGAAATGAAAAGTATTTTCTACTTTACATGTAATAATACATTTTGTGTTGTTAATGGTCTTTTCCGTTCTTTTAAAAGTTATATTAATCATTTTTAAAGAACTGAACGAAAATAAAGATTATATACCATTCTTTCTTCTTAAGTTTCTCATAGTAATTTCTTGTAAGTTTTACATATTTCATTATATTAACAAATACTGCAGCCTATTTAAATACCTTGTTTTTAAATCTTTATCATGTAGCTTTTCATTGAATGATTTCAAGATATTGCCAAATTCTGGGTTGTTTTTAGGTGCCCTATTAAGTAAGGGCAATCGTTTGCTAATTACAAGTGGGTGAGGAAGCATTCTAGAGATCAAAGTTTTAAAAACCAAATCTTTACCATTTGGATCAATACAAATCAGGTTATTTCAAATTTGTAGTATGTTTATAGGCATAGAAATTGAACTCATTTGTCCCTATTTGTACTGTTTCTGTTTAGCCTCTTGTTTTGCAAGGACTAAAAATCATTTAACTGCTTGTTTAGTACACGATGACATTGGATAACCTTCTCTGAGCTAACCAATGAAATCTAGAAGATGAAGAGAGGCCTGTCAGTGTGAAAAAAGTTCAACCAGAATATTTTAAGACAAAACTTATTTGCCTAAAAAAACTGGATGTTAATTTCTTTTTAAGTAGGTTAGGCTTACATTTATCCTTAGCATTAAAAAGTCAACCTAATTATTGTAAACTTTTTACTTAAAATTGTGTGCAAATTACATAAATTATCACTTTAAAAATATGTGGTAGTCACTAAATACATTGGTATACAAATGAGGTTTGTGTGATTTAGTTATTAAAAAAAACTGAAAATCCTATTTTCCGCCTTGTATCATGATAGCCATATAATAAAATTACATGGTATAGTAGGTTTAGGTAGTATCACTGACACTTTTTTAAAACATTAGATAGAAGATATAGAAAGATTTAAATACCTTTTAAAGTGATTGATTTTCAGTTTAAAAACTTTGCAGTATCTGATTTTGTTACTTTGAAAAATGTGAAAATAATTTCACTTATCCTTTAAGCAGAACATTTTGTTCTAATATTTGTCACTAGTTGTATTTTTCATAAGGTATTCATCTTGTCTGGTGTAAAAGAAAAACAAAAACAAAAGCAAGCCCCAAACTGCTCAATATTAAATAATATTTCCTAGGTCAATTCAGGGATTTGGTCAGCAAGTCATTATCTTGAAGAATTATCTCACAACAGCACTTATACAAAACCCAAACTTTTCAGGGGAGATCAAAAATGTTGCCCATTAAATGCACTTCCTGCAGTCAGAGCAGATTGTGGGGTTTATAGAACAATGATGTCGGAGCTTCCAGATTGGTTTGGCAGCTGCATTGTTCTCGGAGGGTAAACCAGACGCACTTAAGTCCCAGTCTCTTTTATAGGCTTTTGTTCATACCAAATTATTCTTTCACTGTGCTAGCATTCATGATGGCATGTTAAAGGCGTGCAGCTTAGCAACCAGCTTCTGGTTGCCAAGCAGCCCAGCTTCCAATAGGTTTTCCTCGTTTAAGATACTTTTGGTGGGAGCGCCATGAAGGCCATGGTGTGGACTTTTCTTAACTGTATCCCTTTATTAGGATGCTGCTGTGATTTTGTTACTTGCATTATGGTGTTAGTATATTACAGTAGTTAATAAATCACAGGGTGTAAAAATCTGTTTTTAAAATTCCTTCCTTCAATTCTAAGTAATTGGGCTCATGCATATCTATATTAATAGGAAAAAATTGAAGTGGATACAACTTCATAATGAAGCAGATGTATACAGAGCTCTCCTAAGGGATATTTCTTTTTATGAGTTGCCAATCCAGAGCTAGGGGAATTGATGTTTCTTTAAAACTAATGAATCCTGTATTAGTAGAACAATGATATTAAAGTTGTCTATCTTCTCAGGGAATAGGCCCTGAGGAAACTCCTGTAGAAGTGTGTAGGAGTTCTACACTGAAGGAATGTTAAGTGTATTATCAAGCTGAAGATTCCATGTTCTCTTCTCTAGTATTTACCATAGTTAATAAAATGTATTTCATTACTTGACTCTCTAATTAAAGTTTACCAGGTATGCTTTCAAATTTGTGACTTCTCAGAAAATCACTTAGCATTTTCTTTTAACATTTATATAATAGCTATTTTCTAGTGTAAATATGATGTTGAAGAGCTTTAGAAACATTTTCTCAGTTTTCTTTTTCAGGTTAGTTTTAAATAGGTGTTTTTATGGCAGTCTGAAATTCAACTATCGCTGGCTTGCTAATGCTGTATCTGCGTAGAATACCAGAATTGCCTTAACAAGTAAATCATGAGGCCAGGCGTGGTGGCTCACACCTGTAATCCCAGCATTTTGGGAGGCCAAGGCGGGCAGATCACTTGAGGTCAGGAGTTTGAGACCAGCATGGCCAACGTGGCGAAACTTTGTCTCTACTAAAAATATAAAAATTAGCCGAGCATGGTGGCACTCACCTGTAATCCCAGCTACTCAGGAGGCTGAGGCAGGAGAATCACTTGAATATGGGAGGCAGAGTTTGTAGTGAACTGAGATTACACCGCTGCACTCCAGCCTGGGCAACAGAGTGAGACTCCCGTCTCAAAAAAAAAAAAAAAAAAAAAGTAAATCCTTGATGTGGATATAGTTCTTACAATGAAGCACCAGAGAAAATAGCTTTATTTTCCTAACCCATTCCTAGTAGAGAAATAACATTTCCAATAGTCTTTAAGGAAAAATAGTAAAATGGCAAAAAACAAACCAATTTTAAATAGTAAAAGTATTCTTATATGGTGAAAAATAGGAAAAAAGATCACTTTTTAACCAAATGCAGATTAATGGCTAGTTAATCTGACATAATACAGGAGGATTTTCTGCCATAAAATTCAAGAAACTGAGATAACATTATCTAATATGCCTAATTGTTTGCTGCTAATTTTATGTGAGATATCATCTCTGCTTTCCGTAAGTGCAGATAGAATAAAACTTTTACCTTTTCCTGGAATGAAATAGACTGTTGTTTCCCTGGCACTTAATAAGGATAGCATAATGCTAGAAATTATATTGTGTTACTATGTTCCATAGTCAAAAAATCATGATTACTAGGGCAAAACCCTGTTCATCTCTTAAGAAGAATTTAACTCACTTTGTAATTATTTAATTCCCTTCTGTCTATCTTAGAATATGTGCTCTTTCATTGCAGTATCTATGTTATTTTTGAAAGTTCTTTAGATTGCTGTTAAGCTTCATCCAGATTAATAATGATTTTTCAAGTATAAGTTAATGGTTTCTTTCTATGTGGCTTTCTTTTTAAAAGAATATTTATAGATACTTATGAATTCTGTTAGAGAAAAATGTAAATTTTAACCTGTCATGCATATTAAAAACATACTTTTTGATGATATTCTATGTGTCACTCTAGAATTATAAGCCGTCCTAAAAGTAGAAAAATCTGATCCATCGAGATTGAGAAGGAGCATGATATAGTGGGAAAAGCATGGGTTTTAGAATCAGACGAAACTGGGTAAAAAAATACAGTTCTACTACTTATTTACTTTGTTGCCTTGGAGGAATTACATGGCCTTTCTAATTTATGACTTCTTCATCTGAAAAATGGCAGATGATACTCTCTTGGCAAGGGTGTTAGGAGGGAGGAGAGGATGTAGACAAAATACAAAGTATTTTGAGTAGTTGAGTAATTCTCTTCTGACTTCTCCATTGAGACAGAAATCTAGCCATAACTATGAAATTCTAAATATTTTACATTTTTCTCTAGGAATACGGGGTGCTTTGCATTCAGGAATACAGAAAAAACAGCAAAGTGGAGTCAAGTACACGTAACAACTTCATGGGCTTGAAGGATCACCTAGGGCATGACCTCGGCCACCTTTATGTGGAGAGCACTGACCCACAGTTAAGTCCAGCTGTACCTTGGTCAACAGTAGAAAACCCAAGTATGGATACCGTTAATGTGGGGAAGGATGAAAAAGAGGCGTCTGAAGAGAATGCAAGCTCTGGTGACTCTGAAGAAAACACAAATTCTGATCATGAGTCAGAACAATTGGGTAGCATTTCAGTAGAGCCAGGCTTGATAACTAAGACTCACAGACAGCTCTGCAGGTCTCCCTGTTTAGAGCCTCACATACTCAAGCGCAATGAAATTTTGCAAGACTTTAAACCTGAAGAGTCCCAGACTACATCCAAGGAAGCAAAGAAACCACCTGATGTGGTGCGAGAATACCAAACAAAACTGGAGTTTGCACTTAAGTTAGGTTATTCTGAAGAACAGGTTCAGCTTGTACTAAACAAACTTGGTACTGATGCTTTAATCAATGATATTTTGGGAGAACTTGTCAAACTTGGAAATAAAAGTGAGGCTGATCAAACGGTTAGTACAATTAACACTATAACACGGGAAACTTCTTCCCTGGAATCTCAGAGGTCTGAATCTCCAATGCAAGAGATTGTAACAGATGATGGTGAAAATCTGAGACCAATAGTTATTGATGGCAGCAATGTGGCAATGAGGTAAGTGGAAAAATCGTTACTGAAAATTACTACCAAATAATCTTTAAAAGCCTTATTTCTAATTTTGTGGCTCTTTTCCTTCTCATGGTCATTAAAGTCAACATTTTTCTGTATCCTGATGTTAACATTAGAAAACATTAGTTTTCCGTCTCTCTTCTTTCAGGGCACTCAGCCATCTTTACTTCATTTATCCCCGTATAGAGACCCATTTTTCTCAGATATGTCTCTTTTTGTCCTCATCTGGCTAAATTTCTATGGTATAAAAATTAGTGTGTGTTTCTGGTTTACTATTAATCAGTAGTTTTAAATGAATAATTTGATATGATAATATTCAACAATTTTAGAATCTAGTCAAATGGTCTATTTCTTTAGGAAGTTAAATAACCCTAATTCTTCTAGAAAATAAACTATGTATTTTATTGATTTGAGAAAAAACCAAAGCTGTAGTTTGAATTGTTTTGTAATTTGAGTTGTTTTCATTTAAGAAATTCAAATCAGAAATAATTCTTAAGGAACTGGGGGGAAAAAAAAGCAAAACTTTCAGTGATAATTTTTTTGGCTAGGCAGGGTGTCTCACACTTGTAATCCCAACACTTCGAGAGGTCAAGATGGAAGGATCATTTGAGGCCAGGAGTTTGAGACCAGCCTGAGCAACATAGGGAAACACCTCTACCTATAGCAAAATATATATATATATTTAAAATAAAATTTTAAAAGAAATTTTTTTGTGTGATTTTGATGGCTCAATATTTAAAGCACATCTAAATTCAATCAGCTTATGGGTAACTGCTCACAATTTCAGAGCGCTGTGAAGATAAAAAGATATGTGTATAAAAGCATCAGTTCTTCCTCTGGAGAGCTTAGAGTTTCATATGCAGTTTCTCAGAAGGTGATCTGATGATGCCTACCAGAGAATCATCTGAGGGACTTATGGAAAATGCAGATTCTATATCAGTGCTGTCCAAGGGAAATACAATGCAAACCATGTATGTCATATTAAATTTTCTAGTACCTACATCAAAAAGTAAAAAGAAACAGGTAAAATTAATGTGACTAATGTATTTTGTTTAGGCTAACATGTCTAAAATATCTTGCCGACATGTAATCAATTTTAAAAAGTTATTAATGAGATAGTTTACATTATTCTTTTTTTTTTTTTTTAAGACAACGTCTTACCCTGTCACCCAGACTGGAGTGCAGTGGCACCATCTTGGCTCACTGCAACCTCCGCCCCCAGGTTCAAGCGATTCTTGTGCCTCAGCCTCCCTGAGTAGCTGGGACTCCAGGCACATGCCACCGTGCCTGGCTAATTTTTGTATTTTTTAGTAGAGCCTGGGTTTTACCATGTTGGCCAGGCTGGTTTCAAACTCTTGACCTCAAGTGATCTGCCTGCCTCGGCACCCCAAAGTGCTGGGATTACAGGCATGAGCCACCACTCCTGGCCTGCATTATTCTTTTGATTTTAAGTCTTTGAAATCTGGTGTATATCTTATAGCACATCTCAATTTAGAATAGCCATATTTCAGGTGCTCAGTATCCTGATGTGGCTATTGACTACTATATTGGACAATGCACTTCTAGAGCCCCATGCAGACCTACCAAGTCAAGTTCAAAGTGTAACTCAGGCATCACTTTGTAAGTAGTGTGCCTTCCATTAATGATGTATGCTGAAATTAGGGAACTACTGTTTTCTGTAGGTGACAGCAAGTTCTTTGACATAGACTATGAGGAGAACCAACCTAATCCTCTAAATAGCTTTTTCGGGTGGAGGCAGTATTATCTTTCTTTCATTTATTAGCAAATGCAACAAGATTTGAACTACTTGCCAAGACAAAATGGAATTCAAACCCAAAAATGTCTGACCTAAAAGCCTATATTCTTCATTACATAAAAAAGAGAAAAACTAAGTTGAAAAGGTTAAAGCCAGATCTTACTAGAGAATTTAAAGCTGGCTCTGTAATCCAAGGGTAATTGAAGGGTTTTCAGTAGAGGAGTGTCAAGAGTAGAGTTGTGCCTTATACTGATCATTTTTGCAATGATGTATGGGAGGTAGGAGATCAGTTTGGATGTAAACAACCCTTTCTAATGGAGTAGAAAGAATCTCGCCAAGTGTCATAGAGGTATGGAATGCTCATAGGGCTTTGAGAAGGACTTCAGTAAGATTACCTCTTGTTTGATCTTTCCCAAACTTGACCACAAAATAATCTTTTTCTTGAATAATCCAGAATGTCTGAATGATTACCTTAGTGATATTAAGACCAAAAGCCATAAAATTGCCAAACGAGGGAATAGTGAAGGAAGGTCATAGATCCCTGAGGAATACCTACAACCATGCCTGTATACCAGAATTACCAGAGGAGTTATTTAAAAATACATTTTCTAGCATTCTACTTTTGTAGAATATAGAATTAGTCTCTATCCACATGTACCCTCTAGTTTAAATTCATATATTTTCTTTTTTTTTTTTTTTTTGAGACTGAGTCTCGCTTTGTCACTCAGGCTGGAGTGCAGTGGCATGATATATTTTCTTAAATGAATCCAATGCTTTCTAGATTTTTCCCTGGTTTTAGGTTCAGATGACTTGTCGTTAAGAAAATACAATTAAGGCCGGGCACAGTGGCTCATGCCTGTAATCCCAGCACTTTGGGAGGCCAAGGCAGGTGGATCACTTAAGGCCAGGAGTTCAAGACCAGCCTGGGCAACATGGCAAAATCCCATCTCTACTAAAAATACAAAAATGAGCTGGATATGGTGGTGCATGCCTACATGGGAGGCTGAGGTGGGAGGATGGAACGAGCCTGGAAGGTGGAGGCTGCAATGAGCTGAGATCACATCACTGCACTCCAGCCTGGGCAACAGAGACCCCATCTCAAAAATAACAACAACAACAAATTCTAGCGAGCTATCCAGAGTGGGAATGTGATAAATTGATGTTAGTCCCCTTTGGTACCTAAAAGTGTTTGAGTTCTTCAATATTCTTCCATGACCTAGTCATCTGACTTCATTAAAATTAACTAAATCTCCATATCCCATTTCAGCTTCTTCCAGATTTTATATAAAATAAGAATGATGAAAGAAAAAGCCCAGAGCTTCATGGCTACCTCCACATCATGCCATAGCACACATTCTTCTGTTGAGTGTTAGAATGGAAGCTGGCCACACCAGTCTTGTGTTTTTGATATGAACAGACTGTTGAAACTTTTCCCTCCTTTATCATGGCAAGTCCTACCTTTTGGGTAGTGAACCCAGGTTTCTGGGATTAGATTAAATCTCTCCCCTGACTGGTGGGTAGGCCTTATTTTTGCATGTTCGTGTGGAGTATTAAGATAAATGTTTTGTTGGCTAATAATCTCACATGAACCACTTTTGCCCATGGGATCCATGCTCGTATTTTCTCTCTGTTAGTGATACGGAGCTACTAGAAGAATTTAAGCAAGGAAAAAAGTGGCATAGTAATATTTTGCCTTTAGGAAAAATCACTCTATAGGGAAATGTAGAGAATGGATTTGAGCACTAAGATTGGAGACAAAGAGACCCACTTATGTTTGAAAATATATGCAAAAGTTAAATTGTGGACAACTCCTGGAAAAAGATGCAACAAGAATATCATTGGTTTTATATACCAATCAAATGACACAGAATAGAGAAATAAAGTAACCATTTGCTTGAGAGTTTATACTCAGCCCCGCAAAGAGTCATATTGGAAAACAGCTGGTGTTAGTACACATCTGATTGTAACTGGGGTATTAAAAAAAGCACTGCAGGTAAATCACTGAAGTAATTTTCTTAAAGTTTGAACAGAAATCAGATATAGATTATATAGAGTCAGAATATGAACAGGGAAAATGCATTAAGCTGTGATAACTTTCCTCTGTATCAAGAAAATGAACTAAGCCCATATATTTATGAAATACAAGCAGAGTTTAGCAATCTGTACAATCAGGATTTAAGCTTCTGATTAATCTTTTAAAAAGTACAAAGCCTTTCTTATATCTAATCTTTGGGAAGCTGTATGAACTTGAGAACCCTTTTTAATATAAATTTGAATACTGAAGGCTTTCTTGCCTAGGCTCTAAAATTTGCCTTCAATTGTTTGGTTGGTTTTGCTCTCCTGTTGCCTGGTTATCATTTAAGTACAGCACTGACTTATAGTTAATAAAATCATCCTGGACACCTAGTCCAAATGTATGGTTTAGACTACAAATGAGACTAAAAATTGCCGGAATTCATACAAATTTGTTTTTGGCTCTCTCAACAAAACTGTATCAAAATTACGTGCAGTAGACCTGCATGAAATGTGTCTAGCCCAAATTGAGATATGCTGTAAATATAAACTACATATCACATTTCGGAGACTTCGTACAAAAATATGTAAACTATTTGAATAACTTTTATGTTGATTGTGGATTTAAAGAATTTGATATATTGAGTTAAATGAAATACATACTAAAATTAACTTCAGCTGCTTTTTACTTTTTTAATATGGTATGCCAGATGATTTAAAACTATATATGTGACTCACATTATATTTCTATTGAATAGCCTCTCAGTAGACTGTTTTGTAAGCCCCAGTTTACTAGAAGTAACATTCATTAAAGGATAGCTTAAATTCCCTCTAGGTGAGTGTCACAGGTATTACTTCATTTGGCAGTGCCCCATTTCTCTTACTGTTTTTAAAGAAAATCCTTAGAGCCTATGAAAAGAATCAAAGAATCAGAGCTAGCTTTTTGTTATTGTTTAATTATATCATTGTGGAGCCTGACAAAGACAGATATTAGAGTTATATTCCATTGCACCTCTTTATAATTCTAAGTACATAATTCTAGTTGTCATCAATGTCATGTACTTTAATAGACCAGTCAGCAAACTTTCCTATTATCTCAAGTGTGCTTATTTAAACTCTAACCTAAAAATTGGCAACCTTAGTAATCCTATTACATAGAAATAAAGTTAATCACAGATCTTCACCTAACTAGTGTTACCAGTTATACAAAATGGGGAAAAAGTGATTAGAGTCCATGTTTTCTACTTTTGTTAATAAGACCTTTTTACATCTACTAAACAGATTTTCTTCATTATCTTTAGACTGGATCTTGACCAGCTAGATGTTGCCTCAAATTGTAGACCTTATATGGCGAAGGAAATCTTTTTTCCTTTCCTTTTTCCTTGGCCCTTTCAATTCTCAAAGCTACCCCTCTCAACTGTACTGCTGTTGAGCTCATAACCAACTGAAGGGTAATAATTACTGCATAATGGACTTCCATAGTAATTTTGGTGTTAAATATTTTTGTTGTCCTAAATCGATGACTTCCAGGCTTCTATTTTCCTTTAAAGCAGTACAATCCTGCAGATCTCTTCATGGAAGCCCAATATTTAAAATCAAGCAATAGCAGAGTTCTGTTTGAATTGGGAAGGATGTACAGGGTTGTGTTCCCACTTAAAAATTCCCTTCTCTACTCCCCAGAAGGTCCTGCCATGCCATGGAATTTCTGTTTGGAACACAGCTTGATAAGCATTGATTTAAATGATCTATAACAAGGGACATGGATTTAGTTTTCTGGTGGTATGTTTAGTATTTAGCATCCTGTGAATGAGATTTAGCTTCAGAATGATTTTGGTATATTGGAAAAGAGATCAGAGACAATAACGTTGAGTAGCTATAAGAATAACAAAATAGGCATGCATAAATAGTTATGAGCCTTCAATACAAAAGAAAAAACTCCAGATCCCCATGAGATGAATTATAGATTCTCAAATAAATATGAAATTTAATTGGACTACAATGAGAGAAAGTAAAATATCCTGTTTCTACGTTTCTGTATTTTCCTATTGAAGATGAGAGGCAGCTGCACTTCTTCCCCCTGCTTAAGGACTACGGAATAGATGTAAGAGAATTTAACAATCATTAAACATTGAAAAATATATCAGTGAAGAAGGTCTTAAAGTCATTTTTTTTAGAGTCCTTTAAAATTAAAATCTATTTTCATGTGTCCAAGATGGTTTATGTATAATCAGGCCTAAAATATGAGAAAAAAATAAAATTAATTCACCAAATATTTGAAGAGTACCTGGACTTTATATTAATAATTTAATGTTCTATAAATATTTATTAATATTATAATTATTCTGTGATTAAAATCTACTATACTCTTTCTCTAATATAATTAACTATATCTAAACTGGAAGGATTTTGATACTAAAGATTCAAGTATGATTTTCTAGTTTAAAAAGATTATTTTTAAAAACACACACACGTATATGTATTTGTATATGTGTATGTGTATATATGTATAAAGACGGGGTCTTGCTATGTTGTCCAGGCTGGTTGAACTCCTGGGCTCAAGCAGTCCTCCCACCTAAGCCTCCCACAAGTGCCAGGATTACAGGCGTGAGCCACCGTGCCCAGCCTAAAAAGATACCTTTATATTTCCATTCTAGCCACTTCATTGACAAACCCTGCTAACTTGTGTCCTTATCACGATAGGTAGGTTAATCTAATTACCCATTAAAGTAATAGAAGTTTTATAATCATACTTATTTTTCTAGTGGAGGGTATCTTATGCAAGTACATCTTAGAATATAGCAAACTTACAGGTCAAGTTTTTAATTTAAATAAAAGATGATATATAGAAGGTTATAGAAAATCAGTGCATGTCCTTTTGAATCCCATAATTACCTTGATCTTTTGTTTGGTTTCTTTTTAAAACACTGTTTAGTGATCTCTACACATCATGCATTTTGCTCTAAAAGTCATAGTTTAGTATTGTGAGATTAAAGCTATTAAATAAAGATGTATTTTATTGGTTTCATTTTGATTCCAAAACAAGCTTTTTTCCATTTTCTAAATATTAAGACTGAGAGGACATGAGAAAGTAAAGACACTAGCATGTGTCGAAGACTTCGATATGCCACGCACTTGGCTAGGTTTATTACCTTATTCAGTTCTCACAACGCTATGAGGTAGGTGAGGTTATTTTCATTTTAAAGATGAGAAATTGAGATTCAGAATAAGAATCCCAAGCTCACACAGAAAAGTGGTAAAGAAAAAATTTAAACTCCTGTCAAATTCCAGAGGCTATGTTATTTTCGGTATCTTCAAGAGCCATCTCTATTTGGAGTACTGAAATGTGCCATTCTAGGTACTTTGTATCATTAGATTTTAGATGATTTGTGAAAAAGACTTTTTAAGAATAGGTCTTCTTTGATCATGTAAATAATATACGTATTATATAAGTTTTAGAAATAAAGATCACCTGTAATTTCCAAGGTTTTTAACAAGCATTATATAATATGCAAATTGTAGTAAAATCAAATTTGAGGAAATAAAAAGATAACTGAAAAGAGGTTCCTTTGTTCTTTTCTTCACTGCCATATAAAGTATTAAAAAGAGGCAGTCTCTTTTTATAGATGCCTTCATTCTCTTTTTAGGTTTTTCCATGTTTTTCAATTACTCCCCGTGTCTATCATTGGAAGGTAACAGTTATAATTCTAAAATAACCCTTCCTGTTCTGTGGTTAACCTAGTTAATGGTATCTGTATATATACCTAAAGAAAACATTAATATGTAACATTATGGTTTTTTAGATATGGCAGATCTAAAAGTGGTTGTCCCATCATCTTCCCTTCTAGGCCCCAGACTGAGGCACATTGCATTACAATATGTGGTCCCTTGAATTTTTCTCTGCATTACAAAACCCACCTCTATTATCTATTAACCATTGTAGGTGGCTAATATAGTGCCATTAATAAACAAGCATAATTCTCCGGTGGCAATTCATATGGTGTAATAGGATACAAGAAATTATTTTGACTTCTTAGGCCCTTCTCTTGAGGGCAGAAAAGTAGAATTTATGTGCTTTTCCAGTATATTAGTCTTGAGTAAAGATAATCTTATTAGAGCTATGAGACAAAGTGAATTTACAGAAAAATGAAAAATTATAATAGTGAAAGCCTTATGAAGAATATGTTTGTTAAGATAATTTAAGTTCATTTAGCTCTCCTAATTTCCAGTTGTCTAGTTCATAAGGCGTTCCTTTTACCTGAAACTGAGTAGGCATTTTTGGATAGAGGTAATGAGGTTTCAATTAACCCAATCCAAAGCGTAGTAGTCCTTTTCAGAGCTTGGTCTACAGATTAATTTCATCTTATTATCCAATATGAGCTCTACAACAAATTACAGAAATTGGGGGCGGGGGGGAGTTGCAGTGACTCTAGTAAATCAGCATCTCATATCCTATGTGGTATTTTAGCTGCCACTGATGTTAGGATGCCTCTCTTCTTCAAAATGTGGCCCATAGCATGGAAGATCCCCAGCACATACTTTCTCTTGATATAAACAAGCACATACTCACCAGCTCAAGTGCCCTGTCTCCTAGAATCTTCCAAATACCCAGCGTACAGAATATGATGGCTCTTAGGTTACACAGCAGGTCCCTTCACAACAAATTAACAGCAGTAAGAAACAAGAGAGAGGCATGTTCTTCGAACACAGGACCTATTGGCTCGGGAATCTCAGACGAAAAAGAAAAGGTAGAAGACGGTTGAGAGAAACCCATAACTTGTTGGTTTAGTTTAGTTTTGTTTTGTTTTTGAGACGGAGTCTTGCTCTGTCGCCCAGGCTGGAGTGCTGTGGCGCGATCTCGGCTCACTGCAAGCTCCGCCTCCCGGGTTCATGCCATTCTCCTGCCTCAGCCTCCTGAGTAGCTGGGACCACAGGTGCCCGCCACCACGCCCGGCTAATTGTTTTTGTATTTTTAGTAGAGACAGGGCTTCACCGTGTTAGCCAGGGTGGTCTTGATCTCCTGACCTCATGATCCGCCCGCCTCAGCCTCCCAAGGTGCTAGAATTACAGGCATGAGCCGTCGCGCCCGGCCCCGTAACTTGTTTTAACGGGTCAGGCTAAAACAAGAAAGATGAACAGAAACTGCAGAATTCATGGCTCTAGTCTCCACAAGACAGAGCAGGAAAAGATTAAGGCAGGAAAAACAAGCAAACAGATCAGGTTGTCCCATTTCCAGCACTGAGGCTCTCCCATTATGTCACTTTTGCTCCTAGTTGCAGCGTTATTTCCTGTCTGATTTCCCGAGGGGAGAAATCTCTGGAGGGGGTAGTAAAGCTTCATAGTTGGGTTGCATCTCTTGCATCTTCCTCAGTCTCTTCCAGCATCCCTTTTTCCAATGTCCTAGCTTCCTATAGTAGTGACCTATTGACTTTTCATTAGAGGATCTTCTCTTATTTGTTGGTAGTCCCAGAAAGGGGTTTGCTCCCCTTGTGAACAATTCCAACTGGGAAGGTAACACTGCAGTCTTAAGTTTCTTTGTCTTTATCTTTCTACATTTTTTTTTCCAAAACTGGATTGCTATTGCCAATACCTGAGAAACTTGTCTATCCTTACCATCCACATACCTTTTCTTTTACCTACGCCTGAATTCCCAGTAGCAAGGCTGCCATAAAAGTAGAGAAGAATAAGGGTCTATTCTGATCTACCTTTAAATCCATCCTTGTTAATTTAGAAAATGCCTCAGTCAGCCACTGATGAAAATCAATGGAGACTCACCCAACAGCAGCATTGCAGCTTCTCCCAGGTCACCTCGCGGTGGGTTTCTAAGGCATGAGAGGAGGTAGTCTCCTCTTGTTTGAGGAGGCAGTCAGCTTCCTGAGGCCAGGGCACTCCCTTACAAGAGGGGTTATCATTTGCCTCCACCGTGCCTGTTCCATTAGTCAAACACAGTCGGCCAGAGCAACTCCATGCAGCAGCCAGTGTGCCACAGAGCACCTCGGCAAATGTTTCCAGATCTTTTCAGAGCACTGGGAAATAACTCTTTAAGATGGGTACCATCAGCTGGGGAAAAGGTCATATGCACTCCTACCATGTCTGATGTACCTGGCAGTCCTGGATCACTTTAAAAAGGCATTTGAGTCACCGGAGCTACTAAAGGGTAGGGCTGATTTTCTTCCATTGAGATGAAAAAATAAGTTGACTCAATGAGAACACATGACTACAGGGAGGGGAATATCACACACCGGGGCCTGTCAGGGGGTCGGAGGGAAGGGGAGGGAGAGCATTAGGACAAATACCTAATGCTCGCGGGGCTTAAAACTGAGGTGATGGGTTGATAGGTGCAGCACACCACCATGGCACATGTATACCTATGTAACAAACCTGCACATTTCAGCCCATGTATCCCAGAATTTAAAGTAAAATTAAAAAAAAAAAAGAAAAGAAAAGAAACAATAAGTTGGTTTGTATGACACTGTAGTGTCAGTCTCATTTTGCTGTTTGGTATCCTTACTCCTTTTGCCTCCCCTTTCATCTAAGTTACCAACGCAACCATTTGCCAACCTAATACCTTAATTCTAGGACAGTCTGTTATCCAGGTTCTCAGACTCCTTGTTCCTTCTTCTTCATCATTTCTGCCTCCGTAGCTGTGTTTTGCATGTTCTGTTTAGGGAAGTTTTGGAGAATGGAATCCACATTAGAATATTCTAATAAGGCTAGCAATTTTCCCCCTTCCAAAGGGAAGTTATCTCCAGAACCTGTAGCCATTGGGAATCATCCATCCATCCAGAAGGTCATTGCCCCACTCTTCTAGGACCTAGATAGAGGCAAAGAAGGGCAACAAGAAGCAGAAAAAGCAGAAGGAGCAACAGCAGAAAGAGGTCAAGAACCTGGAAGAAGAGAAAGGAGCTTTCAGTTACTTTATCTCTTCCTCCAGTTTCTTAATTCATTCTTTGTGGCTGCCCACTTCATTCCTTCTTTTATTTCCTGAGATCCAGAGATACCAATAATCCCTTTGAGTGGGGTTTTTCTGAGAATTCCTGTAAATACATCAATTTGTCTACTTCAAATGAGCCTTCTTTTGACCGTTGCAAAGCAGGATTTTTATAAGTATGCTTATGCCAAATGTGAGAGAATAAAAGAAGCCTTTTATTTTTAAAAGAGAGACCTACTGACAATATTCTAGGCATCTCGTATTTTTCTACTGCTAAAGCCAGTGATGAATCAGATGGGACCTTCAATGAGTTACCCATTTTGCTCAGTTGTAACTTGGAATTTACAGAGAGGCTTTGGAATTTTCCCTGGGAACCAAATCCCACTCAGCCAAAGTAGTCAGAGGGAGACTTTTTGGCAAACATTCAGAGTTCTGACCTAATCACGGGTGACCACAAATCCTCCAACAAATTCACCCACCAAAAGGACTCACTTGAGATATACCAATCTTCCTTATTGCCAAATTGTTGGGATAAAAAAGTAATCAAGGCCCAAAGGAACATGCTAATTCATAAAAATAGAATTAACTAATTTTGTTACTGAGCAGAAAACCCCTGCATCCATGCAGATAGCCCATAAGTGGCTATAGAGCTATGGTGAATGTTCTCTATTTATAAGCAATTAAAGCTATGGTCCTTTTTTTAGTAAATAGTCAACAGATAGTTCATTTGCATCAGTAGCTACATGGCACTTACTCTGACATCCTGTTTTTCATCATTCTTTATCTGGCTCACTCTGATTTTGTAATTCTTTATCAGTACCTCCTCTAGTTGTCCCTTATATTGTATCTAGCACGTATGATGAGTCACATCCTTCATCATGCGTCAGTAAGGTTAGATTAAGTTCAGTCTCCCAAAACCTCTCCTAGTGTGACAAGTCCCATCTGCAGATTTGAGCCACCAGGTAACTGTCTGCTCAGGCTTAAGTTATTATACTATGAATGATTCTGGATCTTGATGCCTGACACAGACTTCCAAGACAACAGCAGCGATTCTAGAGATTTCTCAGTTAGCATTCATTTTGGGGCCTCATCAGGGGAATATTGGCTGGGAAAGTCCTGGTAACTCGGGGACCCACCCTGCTCATCCCCACTAACCTGCCTTTCCCTCGCCGTTTAAAAGATAAGAACAGTAGCTTGCCCCCAAGTGCCATCTAAGGCTGGGAGGAGGATGAAAGGCAGTTGCCAATTGTATTGAATCTAATTTCGAGTTCCTGTGGGGTTTTACTGTACCTGGATGCAGAGCTACTGTATTTTAGAGAAAGTACGCCTTCCGCTTTATGGAAGTATTGCCAAATTGCTCTCCCAAATAGTTATACCAATTTACACTCCCACCTGTGATGTATGAGTTCCTACTTTCACACATTCTTGG
Organism: Homo sapiens; assembly: GCF_000001405.40. Lineage (NCBI taxonomy): Eukaryota > Metazoa > Chordata > Mammalia > Primates > Hominidae > Homo > Homo sapiens. Next base: position 110,149,556 of record NC_000011.10, read on the forward strand.
CAACATCTGGTGTTTGCAGACTTTATTTTTATCAATCTGATGGGTGTGAAGTAGTGTCTCATTTTGGCTTTAATTTGCATTTCTTTACTATTGAACATCTTTTCCTATGTTCATTGGTCATTTGAGTTTCCTCTTCTGTGAATTGATTGTTCATATCTTTTGCCTTAAAAAACAACTGGCTACCTCTTTTAATATACGAGAGTACTTTATGTTCTGAGTACTAACCTTCTGATTGGTATTATATGTTGCAAATCTCCTCTCCAAAGCTATGACCTGTTTTTTTATTATGGAGTCTTTTGTATAAAGAACTTTCATGTGCTCCAATATGTCTATTTTTCTTAATAGCATGTAGTTCTATGTCTTGTTTAAGAAGTGTTTTCTTATCCTGATGTGAATTCTCTGGTAATTTATTCTAAAACTTTTATAATTTTTCTTTTCATATTTAAATATTTGATCTATCAACAATTTATTTTTGTATATGATGTGAGATTAAAATGCAGTTTTATTTTTTCCACAGGAATAACCAGTTGCCCTAGTACCATTTGCTAAATAGTTCATCTTTTCCTCATTGATTTGTAATGTCACCTTATTGCTGGCCTTTGGTTTTTCCATGTTAATTTTAAGATTAGTTTCTCAAGTTCTGTGAAAAAAACCTTTGGAGAATTTGATTGGAATTGCAACATACAGATGAATTTGAAATCATTTGCCATCTTTATTAATCGAGTCTTACTGTCCATAAAAATAGTATATTGTTTTTTTATTTAAGTCTTACCTTATGCCCTTTAATATAGGTTTTCAATTTCATTTTATCTATAAAGCTCTTGCATGCCTTTTTTTAAAGATCTGTATGGCTTTTATTACATTACAAATTGGATCTTTTAAATTAAAATTGTAAATTGGTTTTGCTGCTATAGCAACACTAATTTTTTAACAAGGACATTATATCTGCAATGTAATAACATATTGTGGTGAAAGAGTGTATTGTATGTATGGTACAGATTCCTGATATCTGTTGAAATCTGTTCTATGACCTAGTACATAGCCAATTTATTTATAAAGTTTTCATATTTTTTGAAATAATTTTTTCTCTTTAGTTTTGTGCAAAATTTGTATATGTCCATTAGATCAAGCTTGTAATTGATTATTCCAGTTATCTATATCCTTATTAAATGTTTTCTTCTTCTGTCAATTAGTATGGTTGTGGATTTTTTTCATTTCTTCTAGTAATACTGTGATCTTTTGTGTTACTAATTTGGAGATGAGTTTAGAATGACTATAGCTTCCTATTAACTGTTACATAATAACTTTTCTGCTCCTAATAATGGTTTTTGCCATAAAATATATTCTTTTTCTGGGTATTCATAGAGCTGTGCCTAGCATAGCAATTAGGGATGTTTTCGGCTGCAAATAACAGAAAACTTGACCACAGATTCCTAAACACATGGAGGATTATATTTTTTTCAACAAGATGGAGATATTTACCATTAACGACATGCCGTTTTTCATCTTCATTCTTGTTTTTTCCCTGTGAGTCTTTGTGGAGAGGGAGGATAATGAAACAACCTTTATGATCAGAATTGCATAGTACAGTATCCTGTTTTATCATCTATGGAATCTTTATCCCATAATTGTAAATGGTTTGCTGTTTGCACTCATTTTATGAAAGTAAAAGTTATTTAATTATTTAGGAGATAGAATTTTCTATTTCTAGAGTGAGTAAATGTGACAGTTATCCTTACCAAATGAAATTACCAGGAAGAAATGTTTATGCAGGCCTGTCGTTAGAGCCAGAAGCAATTAAATGCTCAACTCTCAGTAAACCAAGTATCATTAGTTTACTAGCAAAGCTTAATACAATAGATTTCAGACAAGATCCAGTGCATTCAGGGTGGTATGGCGATAGACATAATGCAATAGATTTCAAAGCATTAATGCAAAGTAAAATTTTAGTGAGGTTTTAGCAAGCTGACTTTTTGCATCTAGGAATACTTGGTACATGTGTTCTCTCTAGAGATACCATTTTCTACAGTTTTTCAGAAGACTGATTTCAGTATTTCATTATTTTCCATGAAACCTAATATCACTTTGTACCTTTTGATGGTGCATTCACCAGGCTATCGGGTCACCCTTCTTACCTAGAAAATTACCTCAAAATCTCCCTTTCCTTATCCCATTTTCTGAAACTCTGGTGCATCTGATTTCCCATCTAATCATGCCCTGGACCATTAGGACAGGACTATGGAACCATGTATTTTCTCTTGTTTGTATTTGGAGCCTTCGACATCTACAAAGCAAGTCAGTCTATTTCTGTTTTTTACTAAAAATGATTAGCCATATGTTAGATGGTTCTAGGGTTTCCCAGGGAACCCTAGAACAAAATATTAATATGCCTAAAGTTTAGTTTATGCTAAAAGTTAATAAAGCATTTACCTTCAATATTTCATTCAGCCCTCCTTCATCCTAAGAAGAAAAAATATCTCCGTTATAGATAACAAATGGAGCCCTCACATTATAAAAGAACATAATTATTGCATTCAAAATGGGAGACTTTTTCTTCAAAAACATTGGGATGGGTATCATTTTTGAATTATTAGGTTAAAGTGTACAAGCAGAGCCTGGTGCTAGATAAACACTTACTGAATGACTACACTGTTAGTTGGGCATTTTCTTTTAGGCACTAAGGCTGCTAATCCAATTTTGAATGCCCTTTTGTCATCATTAATCCTTGTCCAACACGATATAGTTGAACAGAAACTAGGTGTCTTTTCACTGCATTATATGCAAAGTGTTTCTTCTATGAGATTAAGCATTGTGAACATGTTTTTCCTTTCAGTGAGTGTATAGTATGTTGTTTTACATTGGTCACCTGATAAAGTTTGTGCAGTATTCAGTCATTGAGTATTGAAATATACACTAAGAACTTTTGAGAAAGAAAAGTTTTTAGAAACTCATAAGTATTCAGTTTCACTGTTTTTACAGATTTTTTTTTTTCTGTATGAGTTCTTGACATTTGACTGAAATTCTTCTTGCTGTGGTTGAAGGAAGCCCTTTCTGTTTTCTTTATTCTGATCAAAAACAGCTTGTGTCTTTCTGACTAGTTAACCTTTAGAGCTTTACCTTTGAAAACTCACTTTTGTTTCTTCTCTGGAAAATAATCATCCCAATTTTCTTTTCTGTTTTTCCTCACAGATCTTGATTTTCAACTTAGTTATCTCGATGTGTCTCTGATCTATAAACTCCATTTTAACTCTGACGTCTCTTATTACTGTTGTAACTATGTAATACTTTCTGTTTATAAACTTGAATTAATTTACTTAAATTTAGGTTTTGTTGTGTTTTAAGTGTTCCGTAATAATCTTTCAGCCATGGAAACAAAGAAGTATTTTCCTGCAGAGGAATAAAATTGGCAGTGGATTGGTTTTTGGAAAGAGGCCACAAAGACATTACAGTTTTTGTTCCTGCTTGGAGGAAAGAGCAATCCCGACCTGATGCTCTCATTACAGGTAGGCTTATTCCAGGCGGCTGCTTGTACCTAGCTTTCCTATAATAACCATGCAGGTGTCTGACACTGTCAGGTATCCTAAATCCATTTCACTTGCTCAGCGCAGGCAGTGGGACACAAACGTTGTTTTTTGTTGTTGTTGTTTTCTGAGATAGAGTCTCCCACTGTCACCCAGGCTGGGGTGCAGTGGTACGATCTTGGCTCACTGCAACCTCCGCCTCCCAGGTTCAAGCACTTCTCGTGCCTCAGCCTGCCGAGTAGCTGGGATTACAGGCGTGTGCCACCACACGCAGCTTATTTTTGTATTTTTAGTAGAGACAGGATTTCACCCTGTTGGCCAGGCTGGTCTCGAACTCCTGACCTCAACTGATCTGCCCACCTCGGCCTCCCAAAGTGCTGGGATTACAGGCATGAGCTACCATGCCTGTCCAGTTTTTGAGTTTGAAAACTATCTGGTTTTATTAATTAAACATTAATCATCACTACATAAGCCAGCTTTTTTTTTTTCTTTACTTTTGTGGAAACTCTGACTTCAAATTTTGTGAAATTCTGACCTTTAGAGAGATGCCAGAAGTCACAAGACCTGGATCCAAATTCTGGCTTTGCCCTTCACTAGCTATGAAGACTTTGAGCCACACAATGAACCCCTTTGGGCCCCAATTTCTCATGTGCTATTGTGACATTAGGTGGCAGTCAGATTCTAATAACAACAGTTCAAAAAAGACATGTAAGACCATAAGATGTGCTTCAGTCCAGTAGAAAGAAATGTATTTTGCATTATTTTGTAGTTTTTAAATGTATGAGTTTCAGGCAATGATGTCCTCTGTAACTGTTAATTATTGTTCTTGAACATTTTGCTCAATTACAGTGATTTACAATCAACATCCAACCTTTCTTGTCCTTCTCTCTGCATCCAGTATTGACAAAAACTGAGGCACCCGTGTAAAGACAACTGTAAAACATTTTAAATCAAAAACAAATAAAGAGACCATCTACTATATACCCAAAGGGGATGATTAAGACTTAATTTTTGGCTGGGCGCAGTGGCTCATGCCTGTAATCCCAGAACTTTGGGAGGCCGAGGCGGGAAGATCACTTGAGCTCAGTAATTCAAGACCAGCCTGGGCAACATGGTGAAACTCTGTTTCTACCAAAAATACAAAAAATTAGCCAGGTGTGGTGGCATGTGCTGTGGTCCAGATACCCGAGAGCTGAAGTGGGAGAATCACTTGAGCCCAGGAGGCAGAAGTTGCAGTGAGGTGAGATCACGCCACTGCACTCCAAGCTGGGTGACACAGTGAGACCCCATCTCAAAAAAAAAAAAAGACTTAGTTTTTATGTATAATTATTACATCATTGTTAAATTAACATAAGAATGAATAGGCAAGTCATGGTGGAGTCCAAAGTGGAACCAGACCCTAGCCTATGTATAAATGTAAAGCAGAGAGGTCATCATTCAACCAGTAGTACCAAATATTGGATAACCCTTTGGGAAAAATGTACTTGTTTAGACCCTTATCTTACACCATATAACAATAAATTCCAGGTGGTTGAAGACTAATTATCAAAAATCAAACCATCAGAGACCATAAGAATTTTCTAAATTTAAAACTTTTAGAAGAAATTACTAAGGAAAAGAGAGATAAAATTATATCAAAATTAAAGCTCCTGCATTTTGAGAAACTTTCTTAAAAATGATAATTGGCAAGTTGCCTAAGGAAAAAAAAATCCAACAAAGAATCATGCCCTTAATACAAAGAGCTCATACAGCTTGATTAAAAAAAAAAAAAAAAAACTTCTTTCCAGTATATAAGCATCAAAAGGCTAGGAATAGACAACTCCCAGAATATAAGCACCAAATAAGAAGAAAAAAAGTTCAACCCCATTAGTAATTAAATAAATGCAAATCTAAACAATGTTATTTTTCACCCAGCAAATTAGCAGAGATGGCCAGATGCAGTGGCTCAAGCCTGTAATCCCAGCACTTTGGGAGACCGAGGCAGATGGATCACTTGAGGTCAGGAGTTCAAGACCAGCCTGGCCAACATGGTGAAATCCTGTCTCCACTAAAAACACAAAAAATTAGCTGGGCCTGGTGGCGGGCACCTGTAATCCCAGCTATTAGGGAGGCTGAGACAAGAATTGCTTCAAGAATCGCTTGAACCCAGGAAGTGGGGGTTGCAGTGAGCCGAGATCATGCCACTGCACTCCAGCCTGGGCAACTGAGCAAGACTCCATCTCAAAAAAAAAAAAAAATAGCGGAAAGTAAAAAACTGATAGCATTCAGTGCCCTGAAGCAGTTACTCATAGGCTGCTGTGGAAATTGTTACAACCTGTCAAGAAAGTAGTTGGTCTTAAAATGTTAATATTCTTGGATCCACTAGTTCCCCTTCTAAGAATAAGTTCCAAGAAAATAAGCAGAAGTACAGACAAATATTTGTGACCAAAGACATCCCATGCAGTACCATTATTTAGAATAGAAAAAAAAAAGTGTTCATTCATTAGAAGAATGGTTCAATTAGGAGGTATCAATATGATAGAATATGCATTAGAATATTCAGGCAGAATTTTTAATGATCTGCAGAAATGCTCTTTTACATAAAAGGCAGATTTTATTTTTGTGTGTCTGTCTATACAGACACACAGGCATACATATATATATACACATATATCAACAGTGGAAAGAACAAAATACACAGAAAATGATGAGCAGGAAATATACCAAACTGTTAAGAGTAATTGCCTCTTAGTTGCAACTTTGTGAGGTTTTTATTTCTGCCTGCTTCTTAGTACTCGTCCTTACCTTTCTAATTTTCTACAGGGAACTTAACAATATTTTGATAATGGGGGAAGGGATAGAGTAAATTAAAAAAAGGAAAACAATATTTAGGCATGTAAATGACTTTAAAGCTTCTTGAACATGAAGAGAAGAAGAGAAAATGATAGTACACTGTGTAAGTGTGTCTAAGTTTAGTTTTAAAAATACCAGCATGCCAGTCCCTGGAACACATCAGTATGCAGATTGCTTTATAAAATGCCAAACTAATGGCAGAGGCATTATATTTTTATATATTTTATATATATAAATATATATTTATATTTTTAGGTATTATAGGTATTATAACCCCAGGGTAATAATTCTCTTAACTAAAACCCTGAACCAGATAATACCTGATAAATTGAGTAGCCCAATACTCTTTCACTGCAACAAAAAAGACCCTTGATAAGAAATATTTTTAAGTTGTCAGCATCATAGATTCAGATTAGCACTTTTGCCAATCTTCCATTCATTTATCAAATATTTAACAAGCACTAGCTATGTATCAAGTGCTGTGCTAAGAACTAGAAATTCAGTTAACTTACTAGTTTTACTGAACCCATATTACTTATGTCAGGATTATTTATGTCATCCTAATTAATGTCCTAACCTCATTAACAATTAAAGAAATGCAAATTAAGCAACATGATGACTGTGAGGCCACCGAACTTAATCTACAACTCACTTTGGTGAGGATCAAGACATGGCATAGATGAGTAGACATCCTCACAAATAATAAAGTACCATAGATTACTCATGAACATAAGACGACGAAAGAACTGAAAGACTTCAGAGTATATAGGTTTAAGTAACTCATTCATTCCACAGACAGTCATTGAACATCTACTGATGTGCCTCATGGGCTGGGTGCTGATGGATACAAAGATAAATGACTCATGGCACCTGCCCTCAAAATGCTTATCAGGTTAATAATACACAAAACTATATGACAGCTCCTATAATTGAGACGGGGCACTTGCTTTTGCATTGGTATTCTGTCATTTCTAAAAGAGATCAACAGTAGGCCAGGCACAGTGGCTCATACCTGTAATCCCAGCACTTTGGGAGGCCCAGGCGGGCGGATCACGAGGTCAGGAGTTCGAGACCACCCTGGCCAATATGGTGAAACCCCATCTCTACTAAAATTACAAAAATTAGCCGGGCATGGTGGTGCACGCTTGTAGTCCCAGCTACTCAGGAGGCTGAGGCAGAAGAATTGCTTGAACCTGGGAGGTGGAGGTTGCAGTGAGCTGAGATCGCACCAGTGCACTCCAGCCTGGGTGACGGAGCAAGACTCCGTCTCAAAAAAAAAAAAAAACAGAGAGATCAGCAGTTACATCTATTGAACAAAATTAAGTTGAAGAGCACAGTGTTTACTGAGAGCTTGCCAGGCACTGTGCTAGCTGCTTTGCCGCAAGATAACTCATGTACTTCTCATAGTCTATCAACTGCATTTGACAACATGAAGAAACAGACTCAACAAGATTGTGATTGTCTGATGTGGAAAGTGGCAGAACCTGAGCCACATTTCTTCCACTCATAGAAAGGTCTGGTCTTTTTTTTTTTTTTTTTTTTTTAAGACAGAGTCTCGCTCTGTTGCCCAGGCTGGAGAGCAGTGGCGTGATCTCGGCTCACTGCAGCCTTCACTTCCCAGGGTTCAAGCAATTCTCCTGCCTCAGCTTCCCAGGTAGCTGGGATTACAGGTGTGCACCATCACACTCATCTAATTATTGTATTTTTTGTAAAGACAGGATTTTGCTATGTTGGCCAGGGTAGACTTGAACTCCTGAGCTCAAGCAATCTGCCTGCCTCAGCCTCCCAAATGTCTGGTCTTAATGAATTCATCTGTCAGGAGCATCATCAATCTGTATGCCAGGATTAGAGCTGACCCGTGTCACTCTTCCATCTGTACCCAGCTCACACTTCTGCTGTGGCAGTTACAACCCTTGCTTACCTGGCTTATGTGTTTGTCCAGTGCAGTCAGACTGAGGCTCCTTTGGAGAGGTGATTTTTAATCTTGATGGCTGTTACACCTGGCACAATACCAGGAAGGTATGTAATAATCATCCGTTGCAGAGATGGATTGAAAAAAACTTAGTAAGTCCAGTTAATAAGCATTGAGAAGAAGTGAGCTTTTTTTTAAAAAAAATCATGACATCTGTAGGTTTGTGCCCCGCACTCTGTGCCAGAACTTACAATGGTGGGAAAATGGGGGACAGAGGAGCAAAAGTAGAAGGAAAGGATGGTTGAAAGAGAATTTTTATCATTGATTAACATATGAACTCTAGTACCCTTTTTTAAATCACAAAACAAGTCAATAGAGTTACAAAGTGCTATAAGAGTATGCCAACCAGCCGGGCACGGTGGCTCACTCCTGTAATCCCAGCACTTTGGGAGGCTGAGGCGGGTGGATCACCTGAGGTCAGGAGTTCAAGAACAGCCTGGCCAACATGGTGAAACCCTGTCTCTAATAAAAATACAAAAATTAGCCAGGCGTGGTGACAGGCGCCTGTAATCCCAGCTACTCAGAAGGCTGAGGCACAAGAATCACTTGAACCGGGGAGGCGGAGGTTGCAGTGAGCCAAGATCACACCACTGCACTCCAGCCTGGGCGATAGACCAAGACTCAGTCACAGAAAAAAAAAAAATCCAACCACAGACAAAATGAGCATATCTCTACCTGGCCTTTTCTAATCAGCAGATGTTTTCTCCACATGATGACTTCTTATCTTTTACTCAGTCTGACCCCCACAAGAATGCTGGCATTTGTCACCATGTCTCACAGAAAGGTCATGGGGCATATTGTAGCCATGTTTATAACAACACTTGTGACCTCACTGCCTTCTCTCTCTTTGAACTTTCTGCATTTAAAGATTTTTCTCTTTGCTACCTGGACAACTTCTACTTCCTTTCATACTCTCCCACTAGTTAGAAGAAAATAATTACGAAGTATGCAAACAAACTTAAAAGGAAAAAAATGTATTGCTCACACCTGAACCCCACACAGCATACAGCTGCTTTATTAGAATGGCATTCAAGTAGGAACGTGGAAGAAGCTGTGTCCATAGTGGTCGTGTGATGACTCCAGCTCTTAAGCAAAAGCTTCACATAATGACAGTCAGAATTTGCCCAGTCATGGTTCAATTTTATACTGTTCGTATTTTTTTAACTAGTTTTAAAGTCTTTATTATTAAAATTCCTGAAGGAAAAATACTATTGAGAGTTGGAAATGATGCTGTATCTACAAATTAAATCATAATCCCTAATTAAAGGATTTCATATATACAGCTTATGTTTTAGAGTTTCACATTGTATGAAAGTTGCCATGTGTGTTATCTATGTATTTACTTTCTGCCATCCTACCGTCATTATTCTTGCAGATCAGGAAATTTTACGTAAATTAGAGAAGGAGAAAATCCTGGTGTTCACGCCATCCCGGCGAGTCCAGGGGAGGAGAGTGGTGTGCTATGACGACAGGTTCATCGTGAAGCTGGCTTTTGAGTCGGACGGTATCATTGTGTCCAATGATAACTACAGGGACTTGGCTAATGAGAAGCCAGAATGGAAGAAGTTCATAGATGAACGATTATTAATGTATTCATTTGTCAATGACAAGTAAGTAAAACCATTTACTTGCCAATGATACTGCTTCTGTAAAAATATAACTATCCCTGGCAGCTGCTACAGAATTCTCTTTTTGCCACTGTCCAGACTTCACACAGGTTTCTAACAACTGATCTCCCCACTGATCCTCAGTGGGAGTCAGGAAAACTGCAGAATCATTGCCAGAGGAGGCCCGGTGTGAGTGGCAGGCCCCACCTTTCCCTGTAAGTCACTCATAGAACACCTAAGGTAGAGGAAGTCTTCTAAGACTATGTCTGGAGAACCTGAGGAAACAGACACTGGGGAAATTCCCATCTTCACCCTCAAAGGACTGCCTTTTAAAATCAATTTAGAGCACTGATAGCTTACTAAATAAGCCATGCTTGGCTTAACAACAGGGATACGTTCTGAGAAATTCATCTTCAGGCGATTTCATTGTGGGTATGAACATCATAGAGTGTACTTACACAAACCAGCTGGAACAGCCTACTACACGCCTAGGCGATGTGGTACATATAGCCTGTTGCTTCCAGGCTACCAACTTGTATAGCATGCTACTGTACTGAATACTGTAGGCAACTGTAATACGATGGTATGATATGTTTGTATATCTAAACATACCTAAACACTGAAGAGGTATATATACCATAAAATATGGTATAAAAGATTTCTAAATGGTATGTCTCTGTAGGGCACTTACCATGAATGGGGCTTGCAGGACGGGAAGTTGTCCTGAGTGAGTCAGTGAATGAATGGTGAGTGAATGTGAACGGCTAGGACATTACTATAAACCACTATAGACTTTATAAACACTGTATACTTAGGCTATGCCAAATTTATCAAAAAATACTTTTCTTTTTTCAATAATATATTAACCTTGGCTTATAACTTTTTTACTATTAATATATAAACTTCTTAGTTTTTAAAACTTTTTTCTCTTTTGTAATACCACTTAGCTTAAAACATTGTACAACTGTACAAAAACATTTTCCTTCTTTATATCCTTATTCTATAAGCTGTTTTCTATTTTTATTTTTTTTTCTTTTTAAAGTGTTTGTTAAAAACTAAGACACAAACACATTATCCTAGGCCTGCACAGGGTCAGGATCATCAAAATCACTGTCCTCCACCCCCACATATTGTTCCCCTGGAAAGTCTCCAGGGGCAGTACTATGCGTGGAGCTGTCATCTCCTATGGTAACGATGCCTTTTGAAATACTTCCTGAATGAACTGCATGAAGCTGTTTTACAGTTAACATTATTTTAGAAGTAGAAGGAATACACTCTAAAATAAAAACAAAAAGTATAATATAGTAACTATATAAACCAGTAACATAGTTGGGGATATTTTGTTTTCTTTTGTTTTTTTGTTTTTTGAGACGGAGTCTTGCCCTGTCGCCCAAGCTGGAGTGCAGTGGTGCCACCTCAGCTCACTGCAACCTCCGTCTCCCAGGTTCAAGCAATTCTCATTCCTCAGCCTCCTGAGTAGCTGGAATTACAGGCACGCCCCATCACACCTGGCTAATTTTTGTGTTTTTTTTTTTTAGTAGAGACGAGGTTTCACCATGTTGGCCAGGCTGGTCTCGAACTCCTGACCTCAAGTGGTCTGTCTGCCTTGGCCTCCCAAAATGCTGGGATTACAGGCATGAGCCATCACGCACAGCCAGTGACATCATGGTTTATCGAGTATTATGCGCAGTCCATAATAGTATGTGCTACACTTTTATACGACTGGGGGCATGGTAGCTTTGTTTGTACCAGCATCAGCATGATCACAAACACATGTGTAATGCATTGTGCTATTACGTTACCAGCAACTTTTCAGCTCTACCGTCATATATGCAGTCCATTGTTGACCAAGATGTTATGCAGTGCGTGACTGTACCTGAATTTTTAAAGTTCTTATAGTAATGTAAGACTCTGGTCATGATCAGAGTCTAAAAGTTGATGAATGAACGAATGACATCAAGCATGTCTCATGAGAAGTAAATATATTTCTAAATATGTAGAAAAAGTTCACCTCTTGTGCTAATTAAAAATGCAAATGAATCTAAAAAGAATATATTTTCTCATTTAATTCACAAAAATAATTTTGTGTGTGCCTTATGCTATTAAAGAGGCACTGATAGGTTATTTGGCAGAGGTTCACAGAAGCCTCAAGAATATTGTGTTCCATCAACCCAAAAATCTCATTTCTTGGAATATATACTGAGGAATAAATAAAGACCAGATGTGTTCATTTCTGTATTATTTATAATTGCAAGAATTCAAGGGCAACTAAATGTACAATAGAGAAATCAATCAAATTATGATACATCTCCTACTGGAATATTATTCAGCTCTTCAGAGTTCTTATGAAAAAAAGAATTATGCCAGGTGTGGTGGCTCATGCCTGTAATCCTAGCACTTTGGGAGGCCAAGGCAGGTGCATCACCTGAGGCCAGGAGTTTGAGACCAGCCTGGCCAACATGGCGAAACCCCGTCTCTACTAAAAATCCAAAAAAAATTAGCTGGGCATAGTGGTGGGCGCCTGTAATTCCAGCTACTTGGGAGGCTGAGGCAGGAGAATTGTTTGAACCCCAGGGGGGCGGAGGTTGCAGTGAGCTGAGATGGTACCACTTCACTCCAGCCTGGGTGAAACAGCAAAACTCTGTGTCAAAAAGAAAAAAAGGATTATTATGAAGGCTATTAAGAAACATGGGAAAGTTTTTTTATGTTAAAAAGGCAAAGTGTAAAATTGTATTTGTGTTTGATTAAAGCCATGTAAAATGATGTGTGCACAATGAAAATGACTTAAATCTAACACAGACCTGGAAAGTAATTGTATTAAGATTGTGGGATTGAGTGACTTTATCTTCTGTTTTGTAACATGTAGTGTTACCATATTGTTTTGTAATAATAAACACTGTGGTTGCTAAGTGTTACTACTCAGCCATGTTGACACTCCTGTAAGGGTTCATACATTATTCCCATTATTCACATTTTATAGGTAAATACTTGGGTTTAAGTTCAAATGGTAATATAATGAATAGCAGAATTCTTCAAGCATAACTTCTTTTCATTATTCATGCCATAAATTCTTCTCTTCTTTATTAGTCCATCCAAAATAGTAGGTTTATTTCCTTAGCATTTTTTTCTATCTCAACTGAGAAGCGCATTCAAATAGGGGAAGAGAATAGATCGGAGTTAGATCTAATTGAATCTTGACTATGCCATGCAACATTGGATAAAAATCACTTCATTTATCTAAACCTAAATTAGAAAAGTTTACATATCTGTAAAATGGAGCTAATACTTCGTGGGATCATGGTTAGGATGCCATGGTGTAGTGTGTAAAGTGCCTAGCACTAACCGGTGTCTGGTAAGTTCGTACCTTCCCATTGTGTTCCAGCCCCCTCCCTTCTTCTCAGCTGCTCCACCTCGCCCCACCTGCAGCAGTCCATTTCATGAGGTGTATGTTGATAAAGCTCTCCTAAAGTGTCACTGAAATCGTTTTCTAAAACCCTTACAAAATCCCAAGACTGAGAGGAAGGAAGAATTAATAGGACATGCTCAACTCAAAACTTACTTGAATTAAAACAAATACAATTTCAGCTCAAAACAGTTCAATTTTCATTAAGAAATGAGAACTTCATTTACTGATTTCTTTTTTACTCTGTAAACGTGGAATCAAAACACTTGGATTAAAATTGCAAAAAAAATTCCTTATAGAGGGAACAAATCTTTGTACTCTTTTTAGAATTAAATTATCAGCCTCCTACTTAGGTATCATTTTTTTATTATCTCCATGACAGGTTCATGCCCCCTGATGACCCTCTTGGCAGACATGGCCCCAGTCTGGATAATTTTCTGAGGAAGAAACCTATTGTTCCTGAACACAAAAAGCAGCCTTGTCCATATGGTAACTTGCTTTGTGAATATTGGGTATATGCCTTTAGAACACAATATATTATTAAACTTTTGTTAACAAAAATGAACACTTAAAATTTTGGATGGCATAATATGCAGTTCTTTGGATTCCAGATAAATTTCAGAAAACGTCTTAGCCATGAAAAAGAATTATTTTTACCTGTTTGGATTCAAGACAAATGCATTTCCTTATATTAAAACATGGTTCAAAAAACACTGTTAATTCTACGTGAAGTTAGTTTTGAAGTGAATAAAAATTTGGAGTTTTTTCATCTAGATACAAATCAGATGAGCATGGTTCTATCGCCCTACAGTAGTATACTGTGCTCTTCAAAACAGAATTTCCTACCTAATTATAAAGTCCTACTGGAAGACAAGAGGCAGGTAGGAGTTGAGGACACGGAGGTATTAGCCAAAAGTTCTGGAAGTGGCTGGGTGCAGTGGCTCAAATCTGTAATCCCAGCAGTTTGGGAGGCCAAGGTGGGCAGATCACATGAGGCCAGGAGTTGAGACCAGCCTGGCTAACATGGAGAAACCCTGTCTCTACTTAAAATACAAAAAAATTCACCAGGCTTGGTAGCGCACGCCTGTGATCCCAGCTACTCAGATGGCCGAGGCATAAGAATTGCTTGAACCCGAGAGGCAGAGGTTGCAGTGAGCTGAGATCACACCACTGCCCTCCACCTGGGTGACAGAGCAAGACCCTGTCTCAAAAAAAAAAAAAAAGTTCTGGAGGTGATTATTACTCATTCGGCCAACTTCCTCCTGTTCTTGATAGTAAAGAAATGAGAAGACTGAGAAGTGACGTTTCTCAAGAGTAAAGAACAGAGTGACACTTAGCACAGCTCCCATTTCTATCGTTGTCTCTTCTACAAGTTAAAATCATAGGGCCAAACTGAGTTTTCAGGATCTGATGGTATGCTCCTTTGCCTAATTAATTTTACTCTTCTTAGGAAAGAAGTGTACCTATGGACACAAGTGCAAATATTACCATCCCGAAAGGGGCAGTCAGCCACAGCGGTCAGTGGCTGATGAACTCCGTGCCATGTCTAGAAATACGGCAGCCAAAACTGCAAACGAAGGAGGACTGGTGAAAAGCAACAGTGTTCCTTGTAGCACCAAGGCTGATAGCACTTCTGATGTCAAACGAGGTGCTCCAAAGAGGCAATCAGATCCAAGCATAAGGACACAAGTCTACCAAGACCTAGAAGAAAAGCTTCCCACCAAAAACAAATTGGAAACCAGGTCTGTACCTTCCTTAGTTAGCATCCCAGCTACTTCTACTGCAAAACCCCAAAGCACTACATCTTTAAGCAATGGCCTTCCATCTGGAGTTCATTTCCCACCTCAGGATCAAAGACCACAGGGACAATATCCTTCAATGATGATGGCAACCAAAAATCATGGAACGCCAATGCCTTATGAACAGTATCCAAAATGTGACTCACCTGTCGACATCGGATATTATTCCATGTTGAATGCATACTCAAATCTGAGTCTCTCAGGCCCACGAAGCCCTGAAAGGCGTTTCTCCTTAGACACAGATTATAGAATAAGTTCCGTAGCTTCTGACTGCAGCAGTGAAGGGAGCATGAGCTGTGGGAGCAGTGACTCCTACGTGGGTTACAATGACCGGTCCTATGTCAGCTCCCCCGACCCACAGCTAGAGGAGAATTTGAAGTGTCAACACATGCACCCTCACAGCCGCCTTAATCCTCAACCGTTCCTGCAGAATTTCCACGACCCCTTAACCAGAGGGCAAAGTTACAGTCACGAAGAACCAAAGTTCCATCACAAGCCTCCTCTTCCGCACCTGGCTCTGCACCTGCCGCACTCCGCTGTGGGCGCCCGGTCCAGCTGTCCTGGCGACTACCCCTCTCCTCCAAGTTCAGCACACTCTAAGGCACCACACCTAGGGAGGTCCTTGGTGGCCACGAGAATAGACAGCATCTCTGACTCTCGACTTTATGACAGTTCTCCTTCACGACAAAGAAAGCCTTATTCCCGCCAGGAAGGCCTGGGAAGCTGGGAGAGGCCAGGCTATGGGATCGACGCCTATGGGTACCGGCAGACTTATTCCTTGCCCGATAACTCCACACAGCCGTGTTATGAGCAGTTCACCTTCCAGAGCCTCCCTGAGCAACAGGAGCCAGCCTGGCGGATCCCATACTGTGGAATGCCGCAAGATCCCCCGAGGTATCAAGACAACCGAGAAAAGATTTATATCAATTTGTGCAACATCTTCCCCCCTGACCTTGTGAGAATTGTCATGAAAAGGAATCCTCACATGACAGACGCCCAGCAGCTCGCCGCAGCCATTTTAGTGGAGAAATCCCAGCTGGGTTATTGAAAGATGATGCATCTTTGTGGTGTTTAGTAGTTTTTTGTTCAGCTCAAATGCTGAGGGAGGTTTGCTACAATAGCACATGTGATCTCCTTCTCAGCAAGGAGGTTATATAGTATCCATTTATGTGAAATACTGTATCATGGAATCTGTATGTATAGCCCCACATGGTGGAAGTATCACGGGATTGCTTTACATTTAAACTTTTTTTTTTTAACATTTCCTTTTTAAAGCTATATCCTTGGCTGGAAATTTTTCCAGTTTGATTTAATAGATGTATCTGTGATCTTTGATATTAATCTTTGGTGCATCAGGGGTTTATATGCAGCACTTTTTATCCTTGTTTTGTGTTTTATTAACTTGGTGTTTGTCTATCAATTGCAAGCAATTACAATACCTTCAGAATGTGGGACATTTGACTAGACCTAGCAAACTGTTTTTTCGAGCCAAGCTTAGTTAGACTCTTTTACAGCTTTTTAAGTTATTTTTATTTGGGGAAAGTGGGCTTCTTTGTGCTATAATCATTATTTATAGAAACAAAGTTATACTACAGCACTGACTTTATATTTTAAACAGAATGTAAGTTACCAGTTTTATGTTGAAATGTGTTACAGTATATATATATTAGAATGATTTACAATATGGCACTTTTCGATGTGTTATTTTTGTTTGGATTTTTTTTTCTGTTAAGAAATTAGTTAATTTAATATGGTCAATTTAAAAGAAAGCAGATGCAATCAATGGAAAAATGTTTCCATTTTTTAAAAATGAATAAGGCAAAAGCTGTAACTGTTACAGGTTAGAGCTTTGTTATCCAGCTATGATGTGCTTCTTGACAGTAGAAGTGGAATTGAATTCCTAGATTTCCATTAACCTGTATTTTTAATATGTCTGTCTTTTTGTTTTGGGGCACAACAATACTGGATAAAATAACCCTTTCACAGCACTTGCCTGTTTTTAATGAATCTAATTATTCACAATGCAACTTTTATATTTAACATACTCTTTAGCTTTCCTGCTATTTATCAAGGCTGGCCTGAGGTGGGTTTATGTGTTGAGGTTATGCAACATTTCTTGATACTGCACTATAGAGAAATGGTGATGGAGGAGTTGTAAATGGTAACTTAAAATTTTTGTAAGATATTGTATATTTTCCATTTTCCTGAAGGTAGTTTTCTTGGGGGGGCCTGTTATATTATTAAGGCCAGACTCTTGCCACAAATAGTGTAGTTTTAGATACAGACTAAGGTCTGTTCTAGTATTAGTAAGGGATATTTCTGGTTTCAAAGTCATGGGTTTTGCTAGTGGTGAATACATTTCTGCGGAGTAGAAGATAGATTTTGCAGTCAGTGGCAGACAGTTGTGTGATTGACATCACTTGACTGTTGCGTCCAGGTTTTGAATTGTACTTCACGTAACAGATGCATTCAGATCTTTTTCTGTAGTCTGCTTAGATGCCCTGGCTATTCTGATTATCCTACATGCTACAGTTTGAAGTGAAGCCCTGAAAAACCAGAAAGTACCTTTTACTGTTGATACAAATTGTATCTTTTTAACTATAAGAACTATTTTGATTTGTAGATCTAGTTAAAACACAAGTATGTAACTATGATTAGACTTTTGGGCAACATTTTATCCCTTATTTAAATACAAATTTTTAAAGTAAAATTGAGGTCTAGAATAGATTAGAAAATAAAAATAACAATTTAGATAAATAGAAATGTCTGTCTTAGTTTTATATAATATATTAAAACACAGTAAATAAATTTATTGGCATTTTCTTTCTCCTAAAACTTACCTAGTGTGAACTTAAAATAAAGGTAAAATGCTGCCTGAAAATAATGTCCAAGCACCTTTGACTAGGATAACATTTTCACTACTTGTGTGACACTGTGTGTTGCACGAAGTAGGATTTGGGTATACAGTAAATGCTTCTAAAAGGCATTGTGCATATTGACATAACCAATAATCTGAACCGTGTTCAGCAAACTTAATTCAGGAAAGTGGTATTCTACACAATTATTGCTGTTGTGTTTGAAATGAGTGTGGCACTCATCTGTATCCAGAAATAATATGGGTGAGGCCACACAACCCATTCTGAGTGGTGTCTGTCTGAAAGCAACCCTACTCGCATGTGAAATTGTTCTCCTTGATTTGGTCACTATAAAGCAAGTTTAAATGTAGAGGCTAACTCAGTGCCAAAAACAGGGTTACAAATGTGTAGTATCTTTTATTTTAGTCATATTCTAAGACTTCTTTTTAGTATGAAATCACTTTTAAATTATACATGTAGGTTTTGCTTCCATTTTCTTCATTTTACCATTTTAATTATTTGAACATTCGCCAAATTTTACATTTATTTAAATGAGATCTTAGGTGAGATGTGTGTGACACTTTGAATTTGACCTTCTTGTGTTATTAGCTGACTATTTGTCATTGCCTCATGGATTTTAAATTATGGGAAAATAGTGTAGCCAGCTGCCACCTCTACTGAAGTGAGTAGCTCTGAACTACCCACACTAAATCCTTCAGTGTAATTAATTATGAGTTTAAAAATAGCAGTTTTCTTATGTGAAGAGGACAGTTTGTCCCCTTTTTTTGAAGCACCGATGTTGCGTTCAGAGCTGTAGAATGAGATAATTGGCAGACTTTAGGTACAGCAAATTCTTACTTATCTAAAGCAATAAGTCAAAGGAGTCCATCATTAAATTAAATCCATAGCTGATCACAAGCCTTCATTTTAGCCAAAACTTTCTCTCTAACCAAATCTTTTACCAGACTTGCTAATAAATAACCAGAGAGATGTGTTAATAAGTGAAGTTGCCAGAAATGGTCAACTGATCGGAAAAAAAAGGATTCAGACTGGAGTATTTTGCCCCTGAATAATTGACAGTTGACTGTGCTTTACACAGTAACTAGCCAGTCTGTTGTCTCTGTGTCTTAGTCCAGAGGGAATAGTACCCAATTGGCCAAATACTGGCCCTTAGTATCTCCTCCTTTCTTGCATGGGATACAGACGTTTTCAGTCTTGTTTTTATGATCTCTCTCTATATCCTGATAAGAGTTTGTCATTGACTTACACATTTGGAAGAAATGCACACCAGTGTAATATATTTGATACTGGTGGAAACTTGAACTTTGTGTTTTTATGAAAATTCATTTATGAGAATATGTAATATAACTGAAGAGTATTTTATGTATATCTATATACACAAATATGTATTTGTTATGAGGTATTAAAAACAGGGGTTGGGGGGAGTGCTTCTGATGGCTAACTTTTCTCTAATTAAACTATGTTTCTTTGAGTTGTGAACGACCGAGTCTGGGGTCTGGACGGCCAATGATAAGATTTAGAACCACTTGGATGGAAAGCAGTTCTTCACTGGTTTTATTCTTGGTATTTTCAAAGAATTATTTTGATATTTTTAATAGAATGTGTAATTTTAAAATACACAAAAAACTTAAAGTAGTATTGATTATACAAATAATTATTTAACATGTCTTATGGATGTATCTATATGTATATAGACAGTAATATATTTATAAAACAAATATACTTTGCTTATGTTATAGCTCTTAGTTTGTGACAGGTGGGAGGATGGCTCTGGGTGTGTGTGTGTGTGTGTGTGTGTGTGTGTGTGTGTGTGTGTTTTGAAAACTCTCAAGCTGTTTTCCCTCTGATTTACAATGGTATTTACTTTAAAGTATGTTTGGTTTTCATTATTCTTTTTGCTCTCCAACTTCCTTATTCAAGATAAAATAAGACATACAGTTTTCTGGCCATTCTGTTGGTGTGTGGTGCACCCATTTTATTGTCATCTAACTCCTGGAGAATTCCCACGTGACCTGAAATCAAACAGATTCTGGCTGGACATATGCTTATGTTCCAAATATATTAAAGATGTTAATTCAGCTAACAGTTAAGTTTCCAAGGTATACACCAACAAATAAAATGAGGTATTAAAAAGAGATGGATTACACACATGCATTAGAATAAGAGAAAACAGTAGTGTTAATAAAAGTAAAGAAACATACACTATCTTAGCCCCCTAGGGCAGGGGTTGACTTTTTCTGTAAAGGATCAGATAGTAAATAATACAGGAATCATATGGACTTCAAATGCCATTGTAAAAACTACTCAGCTCTGCCTTTAGAGCATAAGAACAGCCACAGATAACATGTAAATTAGTGTGGCTGTGTTCCAATAAAACTTTATTTACAGAAACGGGAAGCCGGTCAGATTGGGCCTGTGGGCCATAATTTGCTGATCTCAAGCAGTAAATCCTGGTATATGTTAATAGAAGAAATCATAATTGCATTTCAGTTGACATTAAAAGAAAATCTGGTAGTTTTTGATGTCCTTCAAAAGAGGATTGTTAGACATTGATGTTAAAGCATCTTAATTCATTTGAGTTTTCTTACCTGTTTACACCCATTATTTATTAGAGATATTTCTTGTGTTTAACCACAAAAAAAAGCACTCTGTTAAAATGTTTTAATATGTATTGAATTTCTTTCATAAACTTTTCATTTCTGTTGATAAATGGGAATCCCTTACCAACCTTTTGTTTTTTAAAAGTCTCATAGACCAAAAAAAATCTGTTGCAGCATTTAATTAGCCACAGATACATTTTGGCTGCATTTACCAGTTACATTTTTCCATTGGTTTTGGCTTCTAATAAATAACATATCTGCCATTCTTTAAAAATGATTTTAAA
This sequence comes from Homo sapiens, assembly GCF_000001405.40. Taxonomy (NCBI): domain Eukaryota; kingdom Metazoa; phylum Chordata; class Mammalia; order Primates; family Hominidae; genus Homo; species Homo sapiens. The sequence continues at coordinate 110,170,450 of NC_000011.10, forward strand.
GAAGATAAATATATTGTAATTTCACATGCTATAGCTTTATTCTGTAAGATTAAAAATTGTGACTAGTATAATTGTAGCTATAATGTGAGTGGCATGTTACAATGTAACTCTTTATGAGAAATAAAATGTATCTCTGCTTTGTCTGTCCAGATCTTTAGGATTTTTAGATGCCTTGGGACTGTCCTTGGTGAATGATATTCTTCATATGATCATATGTAATTTTGAATTCGTTGGAAGTACACGCTGCTGAGCATGTTTATTCACAGTGCTTTATACCGGGTGTTGCATCAGTAATCATTTTCATAAGAACATTTAAACAGCATGAACATCATCATCCACTTAAATAGTTAAACTTTCTTTTAAAATTGGAATGCAACTGTAGGTTTTAACAATGTTTATTGTTTTTTAAGTGGTTACTTTGTTTTTCCTTAATACTTTCTGTTAACTTAATTATTACTCCTGTTGCAGTGTTACTGTTATGTATTAGAAGTGGCTTTTCCCCCTAAGATCCTTAGTCTTTTAAAGACAATTTAAGGTATTGGCCATTTGGCAGTAGAAAATGTGCATGTTTTAACTTGGTTTTATAAAATCTGTAATGTTTCACTTCTTGAACCATGTACCAAATTTGCCAATTTTCTGTCCAAGTGTTTCAGATGAATAACAAAACGCTGTTCATTGAAGCTTTCGCCACCTTTCTTAAAGCAGCGTATGTTCCAAGGGAAAAAGGCATTGAAAAGCAATCGTTTGTTTTTATGAAGAATAGGTGTTCAGATTCCTTCAGTTTTTTTGAAATTAGAAATTTCTTACCTTATGTGAAATATTCACAAACGTGCACACTTCTGCAGAGACAAAGCATTTCACTGCACGTGTACCAGGTTATTGATTTTATCTTTTCCTTTCAGGGTTTTGTCCTCCCAAACCAGAGTCATATGCTGCTAGTAGAATTTTTTATTTGATCCTGCGAACTTTTCTTATAGGAAAAGTAAGGCAAAGGATGTGTAGTGCAACCATCTGATAAACTAGTGTGATTGTATTTATCCTCTGTTCTGTGTATTTCTGTAATGGAATCTTTACAATTCCCAAAACGGTATTTTAGACCTACTGGAAATCTGTATCGAAACAGCTATGTGATTCTGCCACTGAGAAAAAAAAAATTTTTAATTCGTTTTTCTTATGCTGGTTTGTTTTTCTTTAATGAAGAAATTGATCTCATATGGCATCATAGATGCTAAATAAATAAAAGCATCATACTTCTCTAGTTTGCCTGCATTCAGTGGCTAACATTATGAGCATTGTGTAAGATAAACACATGGTCAGTATCAATGTAAATGTTAGAGCCATGATTAATTCCTATGAAAATTGAAATTAAATGTCAAAGACAACTAGACATAACTTAAGGCATGATGAGAGTGTTTTTTTTTCCTGAACCCGTCATTATAGTGTTGGTTCCCAGTGCTTTTGAAGTATCATCAGGTGTCTGGCTAAGAGTATTGTTGGTAGGGACCTCGTCCAGGGAGTTTGTAAGATAATGCTAGATGGCACGGACATCCTCTTTTCTGATTATGAGGGCTGCCAGTTGATTTAAATTGTATTGAAAAGGCCGGGCGCAGTGGCTCACACCTGTAATCCCAACACTTTGGGAGGCCAAGGCGGGCAGATCACTTGAGGTCAAAAGTTCGAGACCAGCCTGGCCAACATGGTGAAACCCCATCTCTACTAAAAATACAAAAAAAAAAAAAAAAAATTAGCTGGGCTTCATGGCGCACGCCTGTAATCCCAGCTACTCGGGAGGCTGAGGCAGGAGAAGGTTGCAGTGAGCCAAGATTGCGCCACTGCACTCCAGCCTGGGTGACAGAGTGAGACTCCGTCTCAGAAAAAAAATGTATCAAAAAGACTCATTGGTGCAGTGGTGTTTACTAGGATGCACAAAACTTTGAGCCCTGATGTCCATGACACCCTGACAGGTAGTGGGGCACAGAGAATGAGGGTCCACACATCCCTCTTCAAGTTAACTTCTTTAGCTGGCCTGGAATGTACGGGGCCACATAGCCAACAGGAATAAGGATTTTGTTTGTAAAAATAAATTGAATAGATTTGAATGCACAGAAATTGAAATTTTTATCTCTTTAATAGTTGAGGCTGGAAAACTTAGATCATTGTGGGGAAATGCTCTGCTTCTGTGAAATTCCTGCACAGATTGGGAGAGATTGCAGACAGCTGTCAGGTACTCCAGGGCTGTGTTTGACTCTCAGTCCTGCACGTATTACTATGGTAACTATATATATGAGACACACAATATGTAAAATTTGGGCAAATTATTCTCTTTCAGAGTCTTTTTCATACACCGTTGTGAAATGATCAGAATGCCTATCTCACAGGCTTATTGTCACTAGCTACATGGTGGTGATGACCGTGGGCGTAAGGATGACTCAAGGACAGATGCAAACAAATACAATGCGGCATCCACCCTGTTCTTGCTGAAGTAAAACAGCAATCTTCGCTGTATCCCGACTATTCTAGACAGCAGTGTCTTCCTGACCCAATTGTCCTAATAATTTTCTATTAACGAAATACTCTGTTTCCGATGCAGTCACCGTATTGTCATGATCTTCATGATTTAGCATGTGGACGTTCTGTGTCATTGCATGAGAAGCCACTATTTCAGAGAGCGGGTTTCTCCTCTGACATTGCTTTTTGGACCTTTGCTTTTCTTCTTTTTCCCTAAAATTTCCATTTGCATTCTTAAGTATTCTTTTTTTCCCCCACTTGATTACTTTAAGCTGTGTAACTGCAAGCTTATGGATTTAGACCATTTATTTTGGCTCTGCCAGCAGATTTGATTATTGATGTTTGATTGTGGACAGAGGAGTCAGCATATTCAAAATAAGCATTAGGTGTGAGAGTTCCCCAGGTACTTCCACAGGCTGAGCCAAGAATCCAGGAGAATATTCTATTAGGCAACAGTGTTACCTGGGGTAAGGACTTTATTTCTTCTCCACCTATACCATTGGGTAAGAAGAATGGGTTAATACTCATTGATGAATGAAGTGGCATGTGAGAAGGGGAGTTTGGTAAAAAGCAACTATGACAGTGAATTTATTCAAAACAAAACAAAACGCCTGCAGTTGGGCCTCTCATTAGTTAAACATCCTTATTTGTTAGCCTTTGCACCTCCGCCTCTGTTGCTGTTTTAGAGTTAATGGTTTTCATTTTTGTGTTTTTAAAGGATTTTTAAATTTTTTTAACATTTTAAAGGTTTCCCTTTTTAAAGATTTTTAAAATAACCTTTTAAAAAATGTATTCCTCTCTAGGTGCAGTCATCGGCCTTGGGTTAAGAGTACACACCCAGCTCCACACATCATACATGTAGCAGATTGGCAAATTACTAAACAGAGTAATAATTGCCCCCATTTCCTAGGGTTGTTAAGACTAAATGAGTTGAAACAAGTAAAACCCTTTGAACATGCAAATCCATAGTGTGTGTTCAATAAGTGACAGCCATTATTATGTAAATAACTAGGGGTATTTAAATGCGTAGTAATTTTGAGGCTTTCTCAATGGAGCCTTCCCTATCTCTATAGTTATGCTGTGGAAGAGTTTGAATTCTAACAATCAATGTAATTTGATTTATTCACTGGTGAGGTCTATTTCAGGAGTGGTATTTTAACCTTCAAAGAGTTCTTAGAACCCACTTCCTTGCTGCTCCCATCACTCAGCTCTTCTAGGTTTAAGGGTTTTTCCTCTGTATCTGCATTGTAATAGGGAAAGTGGAATAACAAATGATAATTACAAAAAGATTTCAGAATCTCACAGTTAAGCAGTTTACGACGGCGTCACTAACATCCCCTGCACTCCACTTTTACTCCTGAAGGTGGCGCTCCGCAAACCTGTCTGCGTCTCTTCCCCACCGCACACACCCCTGACCGAAGTGAAAAGGAATGTCGGTCCCTTACCGTAAGAACCTACAGAGCCGACCTGGACAGAGCAATGGCTGCTGTGTGGTCTCAGGTGGACGATGTACATTTCTGGGGAGATGTCAGATGACACTGGGCAACTGTTTTTCCCTTAAGCATTCCCTTCTAGTTTACAACTGCCGCTTTCAAAGTTGGAGAGATAAGGCTAGCAGGAAGAATACTCACATCTGAGGGTCCAGTACTATATATTTACATAAATTAAAATCCTATGAAATAAGCATTATCCCTATTTTAGAAATGAGGAAACTGAGACTCCAAAAGCTAAAAGCACTTACTCAAAGACAACCTCGTGATTCAATTCCCACTGTGCATGCTTTCAGAATTCTTTTTCCCACTTCAGTGTGCTGCAAAGCAGTGCTAGGAATGGGCCCTTAGTCACCTTTGGTATGAGTTATTCTACACAAAGTTAGGTCTGAGGAATGAAACCAGTTATGCTATAAATGCACATCCTTGAACATGCTATAACTTTACCTGGGAACAGGGAGAGACTAGGAAAAATATGAACTAGTGCTGTATTTTTACTTCTTCCGTGGACCCACACACCTTCATCACTCTGCTTTCATGTACAAACACCTGCGACAATGATGTCACTTGGATTAGAGGAAAGGTTTCACTGAGATCTTCCTGTCTTGAGGCTTGTGGTGATGGGCTTGGGTTGGGACTCAGGCCAGCTGACCAGGGTTCACTGCTTAAGGCCCCAGAAAAACCCAGGGCCCGCTGCGTCTGATAAGCAACAGTGGTAGCTTCTGTGTCCAAAGGAGGTTATTTCAGAGTCTGGACTCTTGTCTCCACTCTAGCATTCTTTGTAGCCCTGGAGAGTAAAAGGCAGTACATTTATTTCTAATGTTTCCAATCATGCTCAGGGACGTTCTAGGGTGTTTTTAGAGAAGGCCTATTTAGCTTTCAGACTCTTGACAATGCCCACTGCAAACACAACACCTTTTATGCTGAAGCAGCTGCCACTGGCATTTTCCTGGGCTTTGTGTTTTGCACAAATTCACCATGAGATTAAAAATAGGAAAGTTTAATTAGGTAGCCAAACAGATTCCCTTCCTAGTTCCCCAGGAGAACTCAGTGAGGAAGAGAGCACTGAAAGAATGGCAAGTACAATGTTTAAATGCACTTCCTGCTCTTGTCCAGAGGTCTGGGTGGGTGGGTGTCAGTGCACAGAGGGTCCCCCTTCAGCCCCTGGGGTGGGGGTGGGGGCCTGCCAGAGGCGAGGCTTTCTGTCTCAGCCTTCAAAGCCCTCTCCCCACTGCTCTCCACTTTCCAAGGATGTAATTATCATTCATTTGAATAATTCTTTCAAATATGCATGTGAAAAGATTGAGGGAGATGGCAAATACAATTTGGTAACTACATGAAAAGCTATTCAGTAAACTCTGGAGGAGATTTATGGGTTTGCTCTGTATGTTGCCAAATTAAGACAAGGACAAAGCACATTGTGCCATAGTGAATGCAATACACATTAAAACCCTGCAAATTAGACAAGGAGGATTGGAGCAAGATGCCTGTTCTAGTCCAAGCTCAACTTCATTGCCTACATTGAAGGGAGGTGGGAAGCAGTGGGAGAGGCGGGAGTGGGGACTACAGGAGGCCCCTGGGCCAAGGCGGGTGTGGGTGAGGGCGCACCAGCACCAGCCTTTTTTTCTTTTTCTTTTTTTCTTTTTTTTTTTTTCTGAGGCAGAGTCTCGCTCTGTTGCCCAGGCTGGAGTGCAGTGGCGTGACCTCGGCTCACTGTACCCTCTGCCTCCCAGGTTCAAGAAAGTAGCTGGGACCACAGGTGCGCACCACCACACCCAGCCAATTTTTGTATTTTTAGTAGAGACGGGGTTTCACCATGTTGGCCAGGCTAGTCTCAAACTCCTGACCTCAAGTGATCTGCCTGCCTCAGCCTCCTAAGGTACTGGGATTACAGGCATGAGCCACCTTGTCCGGCCTAGCACCAGCTTTTACAAACCCCAGAGCCCATCCAGGCAGTACCCCTCCTGGCTCCTGCCTTCCACATCCCATCATCTCCTGGCTCTGAGTCATCCAAAAGGGTAAGCATTCTCAACTCTGCCTCCTGCTCCCCCCAGCCACGGGGTGCCTGGGGACATTGCCATCACCCTGTCAGCAGTGACTGTAGGCAGATGGGGAAAGAGGAAGATGGCAACTGACTTTAAAAGATCCTTCTCCATCTCTCTCACAACTTAATATACAGACTTGTGATACCGCTTTCCAGATTGGTAGCAGGAAATGCCAAGTGGTGAGAGGGGTGGCGCAGGGAATATTTTAATCAAGGATTACAAGGATTGAGCAACGCCAGGCTCTGGAGGCCTAGCAGGAAGTTAGAGGGGGATTGTCAGGCCACAGCTTGTGCTCCTTGAACTCCTAAGGAGCCGAAGGTGGTGGGTGCGTCCCCTAACTCAGGCCTATTCTGCTGGGCTGTAGTTCATCTGAACAGGTAGCAGTATCACCAGGCCCTTTCGGAGTCCTCTCTGCTGACCTGAAGGAACCAGCGCAACATCGCACAGTCGGCTGGCCTGCAGCCTGCCAAGGGCCAAGCGCACACCACCTCCCCTTCCACCGTGACTGAAGCTTTGCCCAAAAGACCCTCTGAGAGGCTCAGAGTTTCTGGAGCCAAATGCATCTTCCAGAGAAAAGAAACACATTTCCAGAGACATCGGTTCTGTCAAGCTGTAAAGCAAAATGCCTCAGGGCAAAGTAGTAAAAGCCAAGACAAGGAGAGATGCTCATGGAGAAGAATTTCCCACCTCCACCCGGGGACAGGAACGGTGAGACTCCAACCACTCCCTGGCTGAGGCCTGAGGCCGCGACAGTGCGAACTCCTGTGGGAAGTGGTGAGGTGGTGGGGTCCAGACCCAGCTGCTAATCTGGTGCCCCCATTGCTGCACTGCACAACTTTGAGCAGGTCCTTAATCTTGAAGCTCAGCTACTTCCTCTATTGTAAAAGGTGATCTTTTAACCCACCACACAGGGTTGTGGGATGTTCAGCTCCAGCGTCTAGGACATGAGAGGTGTCAAAGACAGAATTCACTTCCCAGCTGGAGGCCTGCACCTTGGCCCCCATTCTTCCCTCTCCCTCCCAGAGGACATATGCAGCCCCCCAAATCCTCCATTCAGCCTCTGAATAGATCTCACTTTCATCACCTTTGCCTCACCTTTGTCCCTCTCCATGGCTCTGGCTGGACCTTGGCCTGGCCTGGGAGCTCTTTTGTGTGTATGTGTGTGTGTTTTTGGTAGAGACGAGGTTTGCCATGTTGGCCAGGCTGGTCTCGAACTCCTGACCTCAGGTGGTCCGCCTGCCTCGGCGTCCCAAAGTGCTGGGATTACAGGCATGAGACACCGCATCCGGCCTGGGAGCTCTTGTTACAGCAAACACTTCCCTATCCAGTCTCCCTACTGCTCCACCCTGCCTCAAATCCTTCTAACCTGTAGCTAGAGTTAACCGTCTCATGATATACTTAGAAACCTTTGACATTCCCTGTGCCCTCCCCGACACTCCCCCTCATACCCGCCCAGCACACACCCTGCCTCTCTGATCAGGCCAGGATGTCTGACCATAACATGCAAAACTCCCCACACAGTGACATCCCAGGTCCACCATCTGCCCTCCCCACCCACCATGGCCTCTAGACCCCTGGCCCGTCTCACAGTATGCCTGGCAAGCACTCTGTTTCCTCCAGGCTGTGTACTGCAGGCTCCTCTGCCAGGGATAACCTCCATCTCTGCTTCACCAGCAAAGACAAAATCCACAGCTCCACGTAAATGTCACCCTCCACCTGCAGCTCTCCTGGTCTTTCTAACAAAAGCAAGGGGGCCCTCTCTTCTAGTGCAGAACTCAACTGCATCCTGATTCTGAATTTGGGTTCAGTACTTTCCCCCTTTGCCCAAATCAGGGGTGCAAAAACAGTGGCTGTGCTGGGTTCATTTTCCCCTTTGACTGATCGATCCAGTTGCTAAGTTACATGCCAAAGAAGAGTGTGGGGAGAGAACTAAGGGTCACCACTGCCTACATCATGTTTAGGACTATGCCGTGGCTATTACATCAGTTGGCTTCTGCCCTGGAGATCACCGTCTAAGTCAGGGCAGAGGGACTCATCTATGATGCTTGCAACCAATGATCATGCTGTGGGAAGACGGGACAGGTTCACAGAGAAGGTGGCCTTGGACCTAAGTCCCAAAGGTTGATAGATTTTGGGGGGCAGAAAATATAAAAGTCAGAAGAAATCAGGTACAGAAGCAAGGAGGCATGACAGAGCACCTTCCAGGGACAGAGGTGTAGCCCAGCCAAAGTAGTGAGGGCGCAGAGAGGAAGCTAGAGACACTGAGGCCAGGTTGCAGAGGCTGCTGTTTGAGCAGCTCAGGATTTGGGCCTTTACAGATTATAAAGAGGGAACACTGGGGCTTGACTTGATGACAGACATATCTGCTTTGGCTGGCACAACCTGTTTCTCTTTTTGCTGAATGCCTTCAGCCATGTTTGTACTCTACATTGATCCCTGCCACCAGCCCTGCTGATTTCGTTACACCAAGCAACTAAAGACATTCGAGTTTGGGGTCCCTGCAAACAGGTAGTACCAGGGCCAGGGAAAATACCAAAGATTTTTACATGGGTACCAAATGGTGGAGCACAATTTTGAGGAGGGTGATTAGACCAGAGGGGTTCAGCCAGGGGGAAGCTGCCGCAATGGCCATCCCAGGAGAACTCATCCAAGGTCCACCCAAGGGCCAGAAGCCGGGGAACTGATGCCAGACACATTTTGGAAGTAGGATCAAACTAGGCTTTTTATTTGGGTGATGCTGGATAAGCTTTTTGCCCTGTAACCATCCATCACACGTGGAATCCTGGGCCTGAGCCCCAGTGGCAAAAAGTGACAATGAACACCACGCCAGGAAGTACCATGCCCAGCCCAGAGCCACCACCCAGCAAATATTCATTCCTGTCACTGCCCTGGCCTTTCCATTGTCTCTAGGATGTTAAGGCCCCATCTTCCCAGTTCCACTTGTGCCCTCCTAAATCCTGCCTCCACAGAGTAATCAGAATATTCTCTTAAATATCTAGGCCAGGCATGGTGGCTCATGCCTGTAATCCCAGCACTTCGGAAGGCCGAGGTGGGCATATCACCTGAGGTTGGAAGTTTGAAACCAGCCTGGTCAACATGGCAAAACCCTGTCTCTACTAAAAATACAAAAATTAGCCAGGCGTGGTGGTGGGTGCCTGTAATCCCAGCTATTCGGGAAGCCAAGGCAGGAGAATCACTTGAACCCAGAGGCAGAAGTTGCAGTGAGCCAAGATCATACCACTGTACTCCAGCCTGGGCAACAGAGCAAGATTCTGTCTAAAAAACAATTATAATAATAAAATCTAACAAGGTTAAGTTGTACCTGCAGATCCAGCTATGGAATGCCTCAGCCTCTAGGCCTCCCTGCAGTGCTCTGGACTTTGTTCTTTTTCTTTTTCTTTTTCTTTTTTCTTTTTTTTTTTTTTTTGAGACAGAGTTTCCCTTTGTTGCCCGGGCTGGAGTGTAGTGGTGCAATCTCAGCTCACTGCAACCTCCGCCTCACAGGTTCAAGCGATTCTCCTGCCTCAGCCTCCTGAGTAGCTGGGACTACAGACAGGCACCACCACGCCTGGCTAATTTTTGTATTTTTAGTAGTGAAGGGGTTTCACCATGTTGGCCAGGCTGGTCTCGAACTCCTGACCTCAAGTGATCTACCTGCCTTGGCCTCCCAAAGTGCTGAGATTACAGGCATGAGCCATGGCGCCTGGCCCTGGACTTTGTTCTTTAAGAAAGCTATTGAGTTGCAAAAGTGAAATTGACTGTGTAGATCTGCCTTGTCCTTCAGCGCTCATCATGCTATGTGCCAGCCAAATTGGACCCCATCCTATTTCCCCAACCCCCATATGGCCAAGGTTTTCCTCATTAGCTCCAGCTTTGGGCTGGGATTCATTCCCTCCCAACTTCAGCGGTCGGAATCTTCCCCTCCTCTCCAGGCCAGGAAGAAAGTGTCTCCTGCTGGAGTCCCCTGTCACCAATCTCACGGCAGGTCTCACCCTACCTTCAGTTACCCATTTCCCCGGGCCACTGTAGCAGGCAGCACACACACAGCTCTGTGGTCACCCTCGTGAAGCTGTTCCTCTAGTTCTGCTCTGTAGGGCTCCAGGCCCCTTCATCAGCCTTCTTGCAGTTTCCTCAGTCTGTGTGCATGCTCCTATCTCAGAACTTTTTTTTTTTTTTTTGAGACAGTCTCGCTCTGTCCCCCATGCTGGAGTGCAGTGGTGCGATCTCGGCTAACTGCAACCTCCACATTTTTGTCATTCCCTTTGCCTGGCTTTATCCTTCCAGGTGCTGCGTGGATCCTTCTCTCACTTTGGGTATCTGCTCAAACATCACCTTCTCAGTGAAGCCGTCCTGATATTTAGAAAATCGGAGCTCCAGCCCCCCTCTTGGATGTGCCCCGTGTTATATTCCTCCACAGCATGAAACCTTCGGATGAACTGTGTGGCTCCTTTATCGCTCAGCCCGGTCCTGGGACACACACTCCATGAAGGCAGGGCCTTGGTTGATTTGTTTGCTCCGTTCACATATGATGAATGAGTGGACAAAACTGCTTCATTGCCCCATTCCAGGTATCACCTTGGAATGTGTCTGGATCTGCCTGGATTAGAGCAGCTCAGGTGGTGGCCAGGACCCAGGCTACACACACACACGCACACCAGCTCAGGGCTGCATCTTTTTTTTTTTTTTTGAGACGGAGTCTTGCCCTGTCACTCAGGCTGGACTACAAATGGAGCGAACTCGACTCACTACAACCTCCGCCTCCCGGGTTGAAACAATTCTCCTGCCTCAGCCTCCTGAGTAGCTGGGATTATAGGCACCCGCCACCACGCCCAGCTGATTTTTTGTATTTTTAGTAGAGACGGGGTTTCATCATGTTGGCCAGGCTGGTCTTGATCTCCTGACCTCATGATCTGCCCGCCTCGGCCTCCCAGAGTGCTGGGATTGCAGGCGTGAGCCACCGCGCCTGGCCAGGGCTGCATCTTAATGCTCCTCTAAGGTCGTGAGCTATGTGAGGTTGGCCCCTTCCCAGTATCTTCCACTGCCCTGTGCCCTGGTGGACAAGAGGTCAAGGGGCCTAGAAGAGTTGGGCAGCAGAGCCTCAGGGCTTGGCCAAGAATGGGGGCATGGCCCCTGTGCCTTCATTTTACAATGTGTGGCTTTGAAGGGTGGTCCCAGAAATGGCAATGGACAAAGGCAAGTACCAGGCTGTACAGTCCGGAGCATATCTACCAACTTCCAACAGAGCAAGGGAAGAGAGGCGTCCAAGGCCATGTTATCACACATACACCAGGTGGCTTACCAGGGCAGGGGCATTTTAAGTCAGCTTCACTGTCCTGCAGCAGTGGCCTGAAAAAAAAGGGGGCAGCTTTTATTCCGAGACATTGTTACCACCTCAGACTCAGACCCAGGCACACCCTGGAGTCATCAGCAGCTCCATCAACTCCTGATGACTTGGGTACAAGGCCCCCTCACCTGGCAATCTGCACACTCCTCACCCCTCCCTGTTCCTCCCTCGGCCACCCTCTCCCATGCCTACTGTGCTCCAGGGCCAGCACAAGAGAAGGTGGGGGAGAGACACCCAGCAGCTGCTTTAGCAGCTTTCTGAGTGGAAAAAGCTGAGACTTCCAATTCTACCCTTCTCCTCTGAGCTCTCAGCGAGTGAGGACTACTGAGCTCCACAGATTCCTTGCCGCAGTGCTGGGTGCCAAGGGAGACGCGGAAGAGGTGGAGCTCCAGGAGGGCAGAGACGCCTTCCAGCCACTCATTGTGCAGCATCTCCAGTGCCCAGGACTTTGAGGAGGGTCAGAAATATTTGTTGAATGAATGTGGCCGGGCATGGTGGCTCATGCCTGTAATCCCAGCACTTTGGGAAACCAAGGTCCTTGGATTGCTGGGCTCAGGAGTTTGAGACCAGCCTGGGCAACATGGCAAAACCCCGTCTCTACTGAAAATACAAAAACCAGCCGGGTGTGGTGGCACACACCTGTAGTCCCAGCTACTCGGGAGGCTGAGGTGGGAGGATGGTTTAAGCCTGAGAGATGGAGGTTGCAGTGAGCTGAGATCTTGCCACGGTACTCCAGCCAGGGTGACAGAGCCAGCCCCTGTCTCAAACAACAACAACAACAACTTATTGAATGAATGAATAGGAGAATGGTAATTCTCTTGGGTAATCCTGTTCCTCATTGCCATGGGCAATGGTTTCTCAGAACTTGTACCAAGTCTCTTCATTTCTGCCTTTAGGGAAACTTTTGACAACCATCCCTCAAGGCCAGGTGAGCAGGCTGTCCGGGGTAACAGGACATATGAATAGCATTGCTGCATTTAGTTAAACCAGAAGGAACTGAAGATGAGTTCTGAGCGTCTACGGATTCTATGTATTTGGGGAGGAACAAAATAAAATATCTATGTTACAGAGAGCAAATCATTCTTTTACAGGCGTCAGAATTGAAATCCAGGGAGGCTAAATGATTTGCCCAAAGTCATGCAGCAGAAAATGGCACAGTTGGCCTTAGAATGCGACTCATCCCAAACCAATGCTAGGCACAGCCAGACCACAGGAGTCAGCCCACTGTGAGGACAGTGAAGGGTGATGACTCAAGCTTGCTAATGTGGGTTACCCGCACCTTGGTTCAACCACCAATGAAAAAACAGCCACTGATGAAGAAATATGGTGGGTACAGGGTGCAGCAGACCTGAGTGTACACACCCAGGACCTGCCAGCTCCTCTCAGAGGTGGCGATGCAGCCCAGTGCCCAGTCTACGTGGAGGGAGGAGCACTCCAGGTGAGAAGCTCTACTTGGCTTGCCATCTGCTATTAATATATGTATATCTGTATCGATAGATACTAGAAAAGTTCTTGCGTTCTTGCTCTGTCACCCAGGCTGGAGTACAGCGGCACAATCACAGCTCACTGCAGCTGCAAACTCCTGGGCTCAAGTGATCCTCCCACCTCAGTCTCCTAAATAGCTGGGACTACAGGTACACGCTAACAGCCCAGCCAATTTATTTTTCTGTAGAGAAAGTGTCCCACTATGATGCTCAGACAGGTCCCCAACTCCTAGTCTCAAGCGATCCTTCTGCCTCTGCCTCCCAAAGTGCTGGGATCACAGGCATAAGCCACTGCACCCAGACTATCTGCTATATTTTTAAGCCTGGTGAAGCCATTACAAATAACACTCAGATGACCTTTTTTCTCTGCCACTGCTCTATTACCTGTTCACTTCTGTCCCTCATTTCTCCTAGAGTCATCAGGCCCACTGAAGGGGCCAGGGCAGCAGGACTCAGTCTGTCACCAAGCCTGGCTTTAGGCCACCATGATTGTTTTCCCCAGAGTTGCAATTCAGCAGGAGTAGGCAAGACCTACGCCAGCTGAAATGGCACCCTGGACTACAGGGCTCTGGCCACGCTGCTATCGATGCTTAGGACTAGGCCGTGCTTTGTGTTGGGAGGGCTGTCCTGTGCATTGTAGGATGTTTTCCAGCATCCCAGGCCTATCCCTGCTAGATGTCAGTGCCACACACACCCAAATCTCAGCAATCACAAACATCCCCAGACATGTCCCCTGGAAGACCACCAGTGTGCAAGATACAGATACTGTAGAATAACAGGAGGGAGAGGGAGCACGTGAGAGCCCAAGGGCAGAGGGGATGATAGAACAATCTGGCGCTGGAGACGGAGCTGATCTGAGCACTGTGGCAGCAACAGGGATGTTCACCAAATCTTCCCTTTGCTATCCTGCCTTTCCCATCCCCCTTGTAGCCAAGAGAACTCGCTATATGACTAGCTCTGACCATGAAATATTGGCAGAAGAGACAGGTGTCATTCCCAAGCCCAGGCGGTGAACAGCCCTGTGGGGTTCTCCAGCCTCTGTCTCCCTGACATGGTGCCTAAGAGGTCATATGTTCCTCCTGGTGTAGGGAAATCCAGGTCCCTGAGGGACTGTGCAGAACAAGATGCCCCCAAATGAACAGAGAGCAAGGCACGGGCCTCTAAGGTGTAAGCCTTGCAGGGTGGGTGGTAGAGCCTCACCTGCTCTGACTGATGGAAATCGGCAGAGGGAAGAAGGGAAACCCCTTCTGATGGGGGTGGGAGGCCTGAAGGAAGCCCTGGAGATGGGAAAGTCCTAGAGGGAACTGGCTGTACTGGAACAGCCACACTGTGCCAGGAAGTTGCAAAAACTTGTTGCAGGTGGGAGGCGGGGTGTGCAGCGGGCAGCCCACTCACAGAGGCTGGAGTGAAGGATGTGTGGTCAACAACACGGATGATCAGAGGAGAGACATTTTTAGGAATTCATTGCGTTTGTGGAGTAAAAGAAAGCAGACACGACACATAGAACCTGCTGAATGATGTCAATTATATAAAGTGCAAGCCAGATAAAACATATCTACCTGTTAGAGTTTGAGACGGTGCTGACCTTGGAGGGGGGGCTAGGGCCTGAGAAAAGCACTAGGGATGTCTGCGGGGACACACTCTGCTCTGGCCTTCTCCTGAATCCACTGGCATTCATCACACGGTTCCCTAACCCGCAAATGTTTGTACTTTTACACTTCAATGACAAGTCATTAAAATCCACTAGCTCCATCATTATTAAAAAGTCTTTATTTGTGCACAGTGCTGTACAAGGTTTTATCCAAGGAGAACTGAGCATGTCTCAAACTCTGTTTTAAAATAGCAATTTCAGGGCTGATGTACAGCTGCTGTTGACTCATCTTGCTTTCTGCATAGAACAGAAATGAGGATAATCCATAATCATTTGTTTCTCCCCAAGGCCGTGGGCTAGAAGAGGATATTGATTTGTAAGAATTACTCATGCTGACCGAGGACTGTTTGCCAGCCCCAGGTTAGCAAAGGAGGCCCAGCTGACTCAGACAGCCTTGAGAACATTGGGTTCTTCTGGAGTTTGAGGGAACAATAACAGAATGCCTTCTCTTAGCCAAGTGTTCCTTGGGTCTTCAGTGTGGTCTCCAGTCCAGCAGCCTCAGTTTCACTTGGGAACTTGTCTGAAATGCAAATTCTTGGGCCCCACTGCTGACATGCTGAATCAGAAACTCTGGTAGCGGAGCCCAGCATGTGTGTTTTCACAACTCCTGCAGGCAGTTCTGCTGCACATTCGAGTGAGAACCACGGGCTAAATCCATTGAGAAACAAAGCAAAAGAATAAGGCCGTGAAGCTGTCAGACCACCTTCATCCTTGATAAAGCTAGCACTAGAGAATGTGGGCTTATGCCTGTGGCGACTGGGCTTTCTAATACTGAACCCCAGACTTGCCCCTCCCAGGTGGGAGCCTGGCCTCTGTGAAACTATGGCATGGAAGAGCATACTATGGCGTGGAGGTGCTTATGCTTCCTGCAGACAGCTCATTCCCCAAAGGAAAATCCGGGAACAGGACTGGGCTACAAACCTACCAGTCAAGCAACTCATCCCACCTGCCTGGAAGCAAATGAGTGGACCACCAGGGAAAGGGTATGGTGCTGACTGATGACTGTTGCATCCACGCTGGAGGAGGGAAGCCCCCCAAACCAATGCATTTCCTAAGTATTAGTGACTAGCTTCCCCGCTTTGTGTTGCTACACCCATCAGCTTTGGGCTTACACAGTTGGGAATAGAACTTGACCAGGACTGACATCTGATAGTTACAGAAGCACTCTTCATGGGTCACTGCCCAGCTTGACGGGTGTGGGCAATTCACGCGTGAAGAAAAGTGGGTTCTTGTTCTGAGACTTCAGCTTCCCATCAGAGCATCCCAATGATAAACACACACTGCAGTCTTTCTGCCCTGTGCAGAAGAGAGCCAAGAAGAAATCCAGCCAACAGGGCATGAAAAGTGAGAGCCAAGTATGTTCTGTTTCCTCAGAAAGATTTTGACTAGGTGGTGCTTTGACCTGTCATTATCTTAATGCATTTTTTGGTATCTGAACATAGGCAATCTTCATCACTCGTTTTTTTTTCCCCGCAAGATGGTGAATTACAGGCTTCTAGCATGCCTCAGCCACTTGGAAATAGCAAAATAGTGCATAAAGATCAATTCTGTGAGCTTTAAGATGGAAAATGGGAATCCATCAGCATAACAAAAGACATCCCAGATCCCAAGGAGAAGGTAGGCAGGCAGCCCCCATGATGGCACCCAGCCAATAAAAGTGAGTGACGCCCCAGAAACTAGGAGGGTCAGAGAGTCCCTCATGGCCCATCTTTCCGCAGGGGTTCCATACAACCCAGGCCAAGGGAGAGCATTTCATTTCTCCCAAGCCCTGGAGCGGACTTATGAAGCAGCTTGGACACGGAAAAGTGGCAGATATTTTCCCAGACCCGGGATCAAGAGAAGGATGCCACTTTTAATCCAGGCTCATACAAAGTCAGTCATTCTTTGGTGACCCTGGCAGTGTAGCCATGCAGGCATTTTAGTCTCAGGTTAGAGATTGGAGCATTTGCTCTGGAGCAGGGTAGGGCCCTCCACAGCCAGAACTGGGCAGCAAATGTGGAAGGTGTCCCAGCAGTAGGCACTGGAACTGTGCTCTCCTCTGTCACAGGCCTGGAGTGGGAGGAGGGCTGCCACGGCCACAGTTTCTCCTGGGCAAAAAGATTTGTAGTCAGAGCCAACTTGGCACCCTGGAACCGTCTGCATGTGTAATTACTGGGTGCCTTAGAGATCGTGGCACAGCAGGGCCCTCTCTACTCTACCCCCAGACATATCTCCAGGTATTTGGAGCAGCTGCTCACCTGAACTAACAGCCTGAACTGCTCCAGTCTTCCTGAGTGAGTCCTTGGTGTAGCGGGGCCCTCTTTGCTCCACACTCAGGGAGACCTCCAGGCATTTGGAGCACCTGCTCCCATGGATTAGCAGCCTGGATCACCCCATCCTTCCTGTATGGAGTTTGTGGTGCAGGAGGCGCTCTCTTTGCTTCATGCCCAGGCAGATCTCCAGGCATATAGAGCACCTTCCTACCCAGATAGCCTGAGTTACTCCACCCTTCCTGAGCAGAGATCATGGTGCAGGGGGCCATTTTTGATCCTCCAGGCAGATCTCCAGCAATCTGGAGCACCCACTCACTCTCCTAGAGCAGGAGTTTAGGATGCCCCCACTCCCTGTGCAGAGAACTTGGAGCTGAGAAGTTCCCCAGCTCCATACCTAGGCACACCTCTGGGTGCTTGATGGCTGCCCATTGGACCTCTTCCTCTGCACTGGTGCTTATGCTTGCCATTAGGGGACCTGTAAGCAGTCATTCCCAGTCCAGCCCCACTTATCTTGGTCCTGTCCACCCACCCATCTTGGTCTCCCCTTCCGGGGGTTGAGCAGGGAGTTCGGACCATGGTGCACTGCACAGATCAACCCATTGCCTGAGGAAAAAAGAGAGCTTCTTCCGGTAACAAGGATCAAGTATACACCCATCTGTGTTGGCTGCAGCTGGCTTTTACCCACAAGTGCCATCCACTGGCCTGTAGATCAAACCACACTGCCCAATATAAAACCTGCCAACAGAAGTGCATAGGGCTATTCATAAAAAGAACAAAAGAATGGCATTGGCCGGGCATGGTGGCTCATGCCTGTAATCCCAGAACTTTGGGAGGCCGAGGCAGACACATCACTTGAGGTCAGGAGTTCAAGACCAGCCTGGCCAAGATGGCGAAACCCCATCTCTACCAAAAATATAAAAATTAACCAGGCATGGTGGTGCGCCCTTGTGATCCCAGCTACTCGGGAGGCTGAGGCAGGAGAATCACTTGAACCCAGGAGGCAGAGGTTGCAGTGAGCCAAGATCACACCACTGCACTCCAGCCTGGGCAACAAGAGCGAGACTCTGTCTCAAAATAATAATAATAATAATAATAATAATAATAATAATAATAACAATAATAATGGCATTCGCAGCAACCTGGATGGAGCTGGAGACCATTATTTTAAGTGAAATAACTCCGGAATGGAAAAGCGAACATCGTATGTTCTCACTTATAAGTGGGAGCTAAGCTATGAGGACGCAAAGGCATAAGAATGATACAATGGACTTTGGGAACTTAGGAGGAAGGATGGGAGGGGGGTGAGGGATAAAAGACTACATATTGGGTAACAGTGTACACTGCTCGGGTGATGGGTGGACCTAAATCCCAGAAATCACCACTAAAGAACTTATTCGTGTAACCAAACACAACTAACAGGCTAACAGGGAGCTTCTCAGCAGAAACCTTACAAGCCAGAAAAGACTGGGGGCTTCTTATGGCATTCTCAAAGAAATTCCAACAAAGATGCTATATCCTACCACACTAAGCTTCATAAGCAAAGAAGAAATAACCTCTTTTATAGACAAGCAATCACTAAGAGAATTTTTTTACCACCAGACCAGACTTATAAGAGATCCTTAAGGGTGTTCTAAACATGGAAATGAAAAAACAATACCTATCACCACAAAACACTCTTACATACATGGCTCACAGACCCTATAAAGCAACCGCACAATAGAAACTACAAAATAGCTAGCTAATAACTTCACGATAGGATCCAAACCTCACATATCAACGTTAACATTGAATGTCAATGTTCTGAATGCCCCACGTAAAAAGCACAGAGTGACAAATTCGACTTTAAAAAAACCAAAGACCCATACATCTACTATCTTCAAGAGACCCACTGACATTTAATGACACCCATAGGTTCAAAGTAAAGGGTTGGAGGAAGATCTATCATGCAAATGGAAAATAAACGAGAGCAGGAGCCAATAGTTTTATATCAGATAAAACAAACTTTAAATGAACAACAGGTAAAAAAAAAAAAAAAAAAAAAAAAAGACAAGGGCATTACATAATGACAAAGGGATCAATTCAACAAGAGACTTAATTATCCTGAACATATATATGCACCCAACATTGGAGCATCCAGCTTAATAAAACAAGTACTTCTGGACTATGAAAATACTTAGCCACACAATAATTGTGGGGTCCTTTAACACTCAACCAACGGCATTAGATCATCAAGGCAGAAAACTAAAAAATTTTGGACTTAAATTTGACATTTGACCAATGGGGCCTAATAGACAGCTACAGACTATTCTACCCATCAGTCACAGAATATACATTCTTCTCATCTACATACAGAAAATACTGTAAGATTGACCACACGCTCAGCCAAAAAGCAAGTTTCAATAAATTAAAAAACCTGAAGTCATGCCAACCATACTCTAGAACTACAGTGGAAGAAAAACAGAAATCAGTACAAAGAAGATCTCTCAAAACCACACAATTACATGGAAATTAAACAACTGCTCCTGAATGACTTTTCAGTAAACAATGAAATTAAGGCAGGAATCAAAAAAATTCTTTTGGCCAGGTGTGGTGGCTCATGCCTGTAATCCCACCACTTTGGGAGGCCGAGGTGGGCAGATCACCTGAGTTCAGGAGTTCAAGACCAGCCTGACCTACATGGAGAAACCCCATCTCTACTAAAAATACAGAATTAGCCAGGTGTGGTGGCATATGCCTATAATCCCAGCTACTTGGGAGGCTGAGGCAGGAGAATCGCTTGAACCCAGGAGGCAGAGGATGTGGTGAGCCGAGATCGTGCCATTGCACTCCAGCCTAGGCAACAAGAGCGAAACTCCATCTCAAAAAAAAAATTATTTGGAATACATGAAAACAGAGACACACATACCAAAATTTCTGTGATGCAACAAAAGCAGTGTTAAGAGGAAAGTTTATAGCACTAAATGACTACTTCTTTGGAAGGCCAAGGTGGGTGGATTACTTGAGGTCAGGAGTTCGAGACCAGCCTGGCCAACATGGTGAAACCCCGTCTCTACTAAAAATACAAAAATTAGACGGGCATTGTGGTGCATGCCTGTAATCCTAGCTACTCGGGAGGCTGAGGCAGAATTGCTTGAACCCGGGAAGCAGAGGCTGCAGTAAGCCGGAGGCTGCAGTGAGCCGAGACTGTGCCACTGTACTTCAGCCCAGGTGATAGAGAGCAAGTCTCCATCTTAAATAAATAAATAAATATAAATGCTTACATCAAGAAGATGGAAATATCTCAAATTAACAATCTAACATGATACCTACAGGAACTAGAAAAACAAGAACAAACTAACCCCCAAACTAGCAGGAGAAAAGAAATAACTAAAATCAGAGCAGAACTGACATTGAGGCCCAAAAATCCATACAAAAGATCAACAAAACCAAAAGTTGGTTATTTGAAAGAATAAAAATAATCAATAGACCACTACCTAGATTAATAGAAAAAAGAGATGTGATCCAAATAAGCACAATCAGAAATGAGAAAGGTGACATTACAACTGATCCCACAGAAATACAAAAGATCTTCAGAGACTATTATCAACACATCTGTGAGCACAAACTAGAAAATCAAGAGGAGATGGATAAATTCTTGGATGCACATAACCTCCCAAGATTGAATCAGGAAGAAATCGAAACTCTGAATAGAGCAGTATCAAGTTCCAAAATTGAATCAGTAATAAAAAACCCAGCAGCCAAGAAAAGCTCTAGACCAGATGGATTCACAGCTGAATTCTACCAGATGTACAAAGAAAAGTCAATACCAATTCTACTGAAACTATACCCAAAAATTGAGGAAGAGGGAATCCCCCCTAACTCATTCTATGAAGCCAGCACAACCCTGATACTAACACCTGGCAAAGACACAACAAAAAAAGAAAACTACAGACTAATATCCCTGATGAACACAGACACAATATCCAAAACAAAATATCAGCAAATCAAACCCAGTTAATTCACCATGATCAAGTCAGCTATATTACTGGGATGCAAGGCTGGTTTAAGACACACAAATCAATAAATATGATTCACCAGATAAACAGAAATAAAAACAAAAATGATATGATTATCTTAACAGATGCAGAAAAATCTTTTGATAAAATCCAATATCCCTTCGGGATAAAAACCTTCAACAGAGTAGGCATTAAAGGAACATATCTCAAAATAAGAAGAGCCATCTATAACAAACCCACACTGAACAGGCAAAAGCTGGAAGGATTCCCCTTACGAACAGGAACAAGACAAGGATGCCCACTCTTACCACACCTATTCAGCATAGTACTTGAAACCTTAGCAAGAGCAATCAGGTGCCAGGCGCAGTGGCTCACGCCTGTAATCCCAGCACTTTGGGAGGCCAAGGCAGGTAAATCACCTGAGGTCATGAGTTCAAGACCAGTCTGGCCAACATGGCGAAACCCCATCTCTACCAAAATTACAAAAATTAGCCAGGTGTGGTGCTGTGTGCCTGTAGTCCCAGCTACTCAGGAAGCTGAGGCAGGAGAATAGCTCGAACCTGGGAGGTGGAAGTTGCAGCGAGCCGAGATCATGCCACTGTACTCCAGCCTGGGTGACAGAGGAGACTCTGTCTCAAAATAAAACAAAAATTAAAATAAATCATAGATGATCCAAACAAAGCGAAAAACATTCCATGCTTATGGATAGGAAGAATCAATATTATTAAAATGGCCATACTGCCCAAAGCCATTTACAGATTCAATACTATCCCTATCAAACTACCAAGGTCATTTTTCACAGAATTAGAAAAAGCTATTCTAAAATTCATATTGATCCAAGAAAGAGCCCAAATAGCCAGAGCAATCCAAAGCAAAAAGAACAAAACCAGAGGCATCACGTAACCCAACTTCAAACTATACTGTAAGGCTGCCATAACCAAAACAGCATGATATGAGCATAGAAACAGACACACAGACCAATGGAACACAGTAGAGAACCCAGAAATAAAGCTACACACCTACAACCATCTGATTTTTGACAAAGTTGACAAAAATAAGCCGTGGGGAAAGGACTCCCTATTTAATAAATGGTGTTGGGATAACTGGCTATGCATATGCAAAAGAATGAAACTAGACCACTACCTTTCACCATATACAAAAAGTGACTCAAGCTGGATTAAAGATTTAAATGTAAGACCTCAAATTATAAAAATTCTAGAAGAAAACCTGGCCCTAGCAAAGAATTTATGGCTAAGTCCTCAAAAGCAATTGCAGCAAAAGCAAAAATTGACAAGTGGAACCTAATTTAACTAAAGAGCTTCTGCACAGCAAGAGAAACTATCAATAGAGTAAGCAGACAATCTGCAGAATGGGAGAAAATATTCTCAAACTATGCTTCTCACAAAGGTTTAATATTCAGAGTCTCTGAAAAATTTAAATCATTCAAGAAGCAAAAAACAAATAACTCCATTAAAAAGTAGGCAGAGGACATGAACAGACACTTCTCAAAAGAAGATACAAGCAACGACAAACATATGAAAAAATGTTCCGCATCACTAATTACCAGAGAAATGCAAATCAAAACCACAATGAGATACCATCTCACAGTAGGCTGAGTGGTTAGTATTGAAAAGTCAAAAAAAAAAACAGCAGATGCTGGTGAGGTGTGGAGAAAGAGAATTCTTATACACTGTTGGTGGGAATATAAATTAGTTCAGCCACTGTGGAAAGCAGTTTGGAGATTTCTCAAAGAACTTAAAACAGAACTATCATTTGACCCAGTAATCCCATCACTGGGTATATATTCAAAAGAAAAGAAATCACTCTACCAGAGAGACACATGCACTTACATGTTCACCACAGCAGTACGCCCAATAGCAAAGATACGGAATCAACCTAGGTGCCCATCAACAGTGGACTGGATAAAGAAAATATGGTACATATACACCATGGAATACTATGCAGCCATAAAAAAGAATGAGATCATGTCCTTTACAGCAACATGAATGCAGCTGGAGGCCATTATCCTAAGCAAATTAACATAGGAACAGAAAACCAAATACCACATATTTTCACTTATAAGTGGGAGCTAAACATTGAGTACACGTGGACATTAAGATGGGAACAACAGACACTGGGGACCACTAGAGACGGGAGAGAGGGTTGGGGGCAGGGGTTGAAAAACCACCCATTGGGTAGTATGCTCACTACCCGGGTGACAGGATCATTCATACCCCAAACCTCAGCATCATGCAATAAATTCATGTAACAAACCTACACATGTAC
This sequence comes from Homo sapiens, assembly GCF_000001405.40. Lineage (NCBI taxonomy): Eukaryota > Metazoa > Chordata > Mammalia > Primates > Hominidae > Homo > Homo sapiens. Next base: position 110,193,505 of record NC_000011.10, read on the forward strand.
ACCCTACATCTAAAATAAATCTTGAAATTACAAAACAAAATAGAATAAACTATTTTCTCCTCTCAACTGCACATTTTTGCCATCTAATGACCTTCCTCTTTAACATGAAAATTATGCTACTCCTTTCCCTCTTCCAAAGAAGACACTCTAAGAACAAAAAGAACCTTAGAAATCATTTAGTCCAAACACCTCATTTTACAGCAGAGGAATCGGAGGCCCTGAGAGTTGGAGTGATGTGTCCAAATTCCAACTACTAATTAGTGGCAGAGCCGCAGCAAATGCCCAGGTTTTAACACCCACAGGCTGAAAACTCTCAATCCTTCACAGCTTCATTAACCAAACTTTTGATTATACAGCATTATCTCTAATTGGGATTCTCTCTTACTGCATTATAAACCGAAGCAATTGGTAATTTGTCCCATACATTTTATAATAACGTCCCTTCATATCACCAGTCCTGGCTAGAAAAACCCATATGTAGAAAAGGTTTTTGCCCAGTGCATTGCACAGGAATTAGCTGTTGAAGGCAGCGGCCCACGCTGTGCCCTCTTTATCTTTTGACCTGGAGCCTCAGGTTCCCTGATATATCTATTAAAAGGTGAGAGTAAGAACAGATGTGGCACAACTCTTCAGAGTTACTTGTTCAATGTTTTAAAGAGCTTGACAGATGATTTCCTCAATTCTCTTCCAGGCTGTATTTTTTAATACACAAAAAGTAATCTTGCAAGAGCTGTTTGCCCCTGCCATAGGGTAACAATAGGCTGGAGTGCAGTGGCGCAATCCTGACACACAGTAACCTCCGCCTTCCGGGTTCAAGCGATTCTCCTGCCTCGGTCTCCCGAGCAGCTGGGACTACAGGCACCTGCCACCACACCCAGCTAATTTATGTATTTTTAGTAGAGACGGGGTTTTGCCATGTTGGCCAGGCTGGTCTGGAACTCCTGACCTCAACTGATCCGCCCACCTCAGCCTCCCAAAGTGCTGGGATTACAGGGGTGAGTCACTGCACCCAGCCGGATATTACAACTTTTCGTTTCTTGCATTCCCAGGTCTTATGACTGAATGATTTTATGCCAACTTCCACTTATAATCAAGGAGAGGACTGAGAAACCATAATTTGATAAGAAACCACAACTATGTGGTTATCCTTTAAGTTATAAAAGTGCCTGATAACCAAAGATTTCACATAAATTACAAGAGACCACTTTGGGAATAAATATTCCTTGATATTAGACAAACAATATTGTATCTGCCTAGTGTCCCCTGTAGGAGGAGGTTGTCTCTAAAATAACTAGACTTAATATCCTTGAAAAACATCAGTGACAGATGGAAAATCCTATGTCATGTTGGCATATTTTGTGGGGTTTTTCAGAAAATCTTTAAGGGGTAACTTCGTGCCCAGCAGATACCTGTCAAATAATCACAGCACAACATGCTCTTGAAGGCTGTAAGAGTGACTTTTTTGGTTGTTTTTTGTTTTGTTTTGTTTTGTTTTGTTTTGTTTGAGACAGGATCTCGCTTTGTCGTCCAGGCTGGAGCGCAGTGGTGCGATCTCAGCTCACTGCAACCTCCACCTCCCGGGTTCAAGCGATTCTCCTGCCTCAGCCTCCCGAGTAGCTGGGATTACAGGCACACACCACCATGCCCAGGGGGGTTTCACCAAGTTGGCCAGGATGGTCTCGCTCTCTTGACCTCGTGACCCATCCACCTCAGCCTCCCAAAGTGCTGGGATTACAGACGTGAGCCACCGTGCCCAGCCAGAGTGACTGTTAATGCAGCTGACTCATGTCACAAACTGTCACCCAATCCTCTAAGCTTCGGTCCTTGGACATTCAAAACACCTCAAAGTGCCAGGACTAGTGCCATCTTATGAATTAATAATGCTGCTTCACATCCCAGCTCTGCCACTGAACTCTCCTCAACCCTCTTTCTCCAAACACTGGCCAGGTCCGAAGTAACTGAAATCAGAGAAGATGGGAACCTGAGATGGGGCAGGCAAGCAATATTCACCGCCTACCACCAGGATGCAGAATCAAGTGCGCAGTAAGGCTCAGGCTGATGTTAGAATATATTTATTGCTACATTTATATACAATTATACAAACAGCCCAGACAGGAAAGAAATGTTGCATCGATTTCTGCAGATTCCACCAACATGTGCACAGAAATGGAGCTGTTCACCACTGAGTTTGCTCTTGGATTGAAGCCAAATATAAGTCACATACATTTTTTGAAAAAGTGGGAAATTCTTGGAAATCCTGTCCATAGATTCTTCCTTACAAGCTAGTCATGCAGAAAAAAGTGGGTTCTCATAAGCTGATGCCTTCCAGCATGTTTGGGGGATAGAGTCCTGAAGATGGGGTGCAGTAGATGCTGGCTTGGGACTGCAGGGTGCTGTGCGAAGTCCCAAGTCCTGGCCCATCTTGCTAAGGTCTGTCTTTAGGAAAGGCAATTGAGAGGGGTCTGGAGAGAAAGAGAATAGCAAGAAAGGGAAATCCAACAGTAAACTGAGAAGAGGAGAGAACCATGAGCCAGGGCCCTGGGTAATGGAATACTGGTCCATCCAGTTCCAGCTGAGATTGCAGACTTTGGGGGATATACACATTCAGAACACCAGGTATGTCCTTATCCTAAAGCTTCCCATAAGTCAGTAGCCAGGGGCCTGCATGAAGACACAGAAAGTGAATAGGAAAGTCAGGCAAGAAAGAAGAAAACTCAACTTGAACACTCGTATTATCAACATTCAGTTGAAAAGGCATGACCCTGAATGTCTTTGCACATTTTGTAAGTTAACATTTAGTCATGGTTAGTTGATGGTTGAGTGATGAAGGGGAATGGAATGCCAGTGAGGAAATGTAATGATGTACAGATTGTATCAAAATAAAGGTGCGTCCACAAACTCTACACTCTGACCTCAGCCTGGTTAGAATTACTTTTGGCCTCAAAAGGAGTCTCACATATAGATTTTGCAATGTTCTGATCCAGAATTATGATGTGGATATAAGATGACGGTATAAACACTCTCTCTTTCATGTCACAGTCACATACACCTTAGTGACGTGAATCCCAAGAGAAATTGTTGAGCAGCCACAGGGCGTGTGTGCTTAGGGAATGAGTTCACCTTATTTACACCAGCTCCGTCTGACCCACCTCAGGCCCCTTCCCAACTCAGGAATCCAGGAGGGAGGACCTGCAGATTGGGTTTACTCTGGCCTCCTCAGCTAAAATCAGCTCAGAGCCTCAGAGAAAGGTCTGAAGGTTGAGAAAAAAGGCCCATGACTCTAAATACACCAGACTGTGCCAGGCTTTGGGGTTGATTAGTAATTTGGGTACAGTCTGGTCCCAAGGCTGTAGGGGTCCTATTCATGTGGAAACCAGTCAGTTCTATCTTGTTCATGGCTTATTTTATTTTTGAGACAGGGTCGCGCTCTGCCACCCAGGCTGGAGTGCAGGGGTGTGATCTTGGCTCACTGCAGCCTCGACCTCCTGGGCTTAAGCAATTCTCCCACCTCAGCCTCCCGAGTAGCTGGGATCACAGGCATGTGCCACTATGCTCAGATAACTTTTTGTATTTTTTGGAGAGCCAGGGTTTTGCCATGTTGCCCAGGCTGGTCTCAAACTCCTGAGTTCATTCAACCCACCTGTCTCAGCCTCCAAATGTGCTGGGATTACAGGCACGAGCCATAGCGCCTGGCCTGTGCATGGCTTTAGATGTCACGTTTAATTCCTTAATGTCACCATAATCCTACAGGCCCCTAGTCACGAGGAAGATAGGATGACAGTGCTGTGGAGAAGCCCTGGGGGCAGTGGGAGACGGACCAGAACATCACTCAAGAGTCCCTGTTCTTTCTCTTGGGTCAATAATTTTATAATCAACTATGGAGAGGCCCAGCAGTTCTTCCAAGGGTGCCAACTATGTGACACCTCAAGCTGGAGGATGTGGCAATCACCAACTCTGTGGATCCCTTCATAAATTCATGTCTAGATAATTCAAAATCTCTTTCTGTCATTTGATCTTGACTTTTCATGCAGAAACTTTCTTTTCCTACTTCTGACGACAATAGCTCAGAGTCAAACTCACTCAAAGGATTTGCTCTAAAAAGAACATTAACAGATGAAAATCAAGGAGGAAAAATCATAAAAGATCAGGTAGATTTTACTTTGGGGAGTTTTACGAGTTGACAAAATGGAAAGAGTTACATGAATGAATTTCTGCACTGGAAGAAATGGCTAAAGATAAATAGCTAAGAAGAGTATTGTTTGCGGCAATCTATGGCACATTAAGAATGTGCTTTAACCCAGGATTTTAGCTCAAATATCAGAAATAAGACCAGCTGGATTCTCAGCTAGACCCGTTTCAAAGAGAGTGAGAGCAAATGATGATGGATGTGTCGTAGCATTTCAAGTGGACTTTGAAACAATGAAAGTGTTTTGGTAGTGTCATGAAATATCAGAGAGAATCTTGCACGACCTTAAACTCATTTCAGGGCAGGCCAAATTCAAGGCCAAAGAAGCAAATTGCTTCTAAAAGTTCCCCACCTTAAATGAACACATGTGACCATTTTTTTGTCACATAAATAAGTCTAAAACATAATATTTCTATAAAGAACATTGGTTCTACATCTTTAAATATTATCTCAAATATATTGACCTTTAGCTAGAAGGAGGTTTAGAGAACTTTGGGAGGCTTAATCAGCAAGTTGGGGGAACTCAAGATTTACAACATAAACAACATTGTTGTGGTTTTATTCACAAATGGGATGAGTCAAATAGTCTCTGCCAAAAAAAAAAAGAATTTAAAAACCTGTTATCATGGTAATCATATTGAAAAATGATTTTTAAATATTACCAAATTCAGGTCAGTACATAATACTATATTAACCTAGCTTATTAACCAATTCTTTAATTCTTCTGCTCCAGGAATCCCCAATCCCTGGGCCGAGGACCAGTACCGGCGTGTGGCCTGTTAGGAACTGGGTGGCATAGCAAAAGCTGAGTGGTGAACAAGCATTATGGCCTGAGCGCCGCCTCTTGTCAGATCAGCAGCAGCATTAGATTCTCAAAGGAGCGAACCCTATTGTGAATTGTGCATGCGAGGGTTCCACGTTGCACGCTCCTTTATGGGAATCTAATGCCTCATGATTTGAGGTGGAACAGTTTCACCCCAAAACCATCCCCTCCACCCCCCAACCCCACTCCCAGCCCATGGAAAATTTGTCTTCCATGAAACCAGTCCTTGGTGCAAAAAGGTTGGGGGCCACTGTTCTACTCAATGTGCATGTACAAAACTTCATTTTTAAGTAAATCTGAATACGTCTTTTTTTTTTTTTTTGAGACGGAGTCTCGCTGTCATCCAGGATGGAGTGCAGTGGTGCCATCTCGGCTCACTGCAACCTGTGCCTCCTGGATTCAAGCAATTCTTCTGCCTTAGCCTCCGAAGTAGCTGGGACTACAGGCATGCACCACCACTCCTAATTTTTTTTGTATTTTTAGTAGAGACGGGGTTTCACCATGTTGGCCAGGCTAGTCTCGAACTCCTGACCTCAGGTGATCCACCTGCCTCCACCTCTGAAAGTGCTGGGATTATAGGCATGAGCTACCGCACCAGGCCTGAATATGGATTTTTTAAAAAGAAGAAAAACCTCCCAGCAGAACAGAAGTGTCATAAGAGAACTTGCACCATAATACTTTCATTCTCAATGCTAGAGAGGGCTCTTTCTAAAGGTAAGAGAATCCCCTAAAGTAGGAGGTCCAATCAGCTCACCAAGATTACAGGTAAAACATCATTTTAATAAATTCTAGCTCACCTCAAAATTATTAAATTGGAGGATGATGTTCTTGATTGGCAAAGAGCCCAAGAGATGCAAACTATTGGGAAAGAACCTGGAAGGGATGGAATCAGAGGCTGTAAAGATAGAGGTTGCTCTTGGTCAGTTCCTTTGACTTGAAATCCACAGGTCCTGTGGATGAACAGGTTCAGATTTTATGAGGTCCCACCAGCATCCTGGCAGTGGAAGGTGTGGCAGGTCTAGTGGGCAGGTGAGCTGGCCCTGGCCACGGCTGCCAGTTGTACTTACCTAGTGAGGGAGGGAGCCTTCTTCCTAAGGGTTACATTTGCTTTATGCTGCTTTGGCAAGAGCGCATCTGGAACAATGCATACAGTTTGGGTCCCCACCTTTCAAAAGAGACATTAAGAGATTAGAAAGCATTTAGCAAAAGAACACAGTAGGAAGCTGAATGGGCAGGCTGACTACTTGCTCAGCACATTGCAACATCAGGGCGCTCTTGTCAGCCTGGATTATGTAGGGCCTGTTATTGTCAAACTGTCTGCCTAATCTTTAACCTCTTTTTTTTTCCAGTCCACCTTTGAAACTCCACGATTAGAATGTGGAAATAAGAATAACTTTAAACCTTCCTTTTAAATAGATGCTAGACTTCAAATAGTGCAGCAACTCTACACAAGCTAACTAGTCTCTTTCAATAATAAGACCTATTATTTAGAATAGTAGGTCTTGTCTTAAAGCCATAAAAATCAGAACTTCATGTCATTCAGTAATGTGTTCTACCAGATTTTATATTTTATGTGAAGTTCTCTTTTGATTAACCGAGGCATTGTTAAAGTTATTTTCAGGTAGCAACCAGACTAATGGATCCAAAATACTTTATAGTGCCTACTCTGAAATCAATAGTTGCTATGTTTTTGAATAAGCAAATTCTCAGTACCTGCCTACTAAAAGACTGGATAGGTTAAGACAAACAAACCATGAAAACTACCTCCTCTGCAGACACGTTGGCATTGCCGGAATTAAAGAGGTCAATTTCAGCCCTACTCTCTCTGGTCTGTCTTCCTCAGCTGACTCACCTGCCATTCTCCGATATATCCCTTAGAGATAAAACAAAGTCAGAATTAACTTGACAAAGAAACTGCTAAACTGGCCAAACGTATCCATGAGTCAGTTCCCTGACTGGGGAGAATACTGGTTACAGTATTTTCTAACCTTGTGGGTAAAACAATTAGAAATGCAGTTACTAGCAATCTCTATCTTACGAATGAGTTATGAACCAAAAGGGCAGCTGTGGTGGGCTGTTTCCCATGGAAACCACGTCATGAAGAGTGATTTTGTTTCTAGGCAGTTTAACCCATAATGAAAAGCTGAGTCTTTGCAGTAAAATACAGTAGAAACTCCAAATTTGTCAAAGATTGTAATAAAGGAACATAGAAACAATGACATTTATTAATGGTTTTATAATTCTTCTTTAATACTTGAGCTTGATGTTAACCTGGCCAGAAATAATTCGATGGTTCAATAGTACCTGAAATTTAAGAACATTTTAAAGGGAATTCTAACTATTTTCAAAGACTTTGAAGGTTAGTCTGGCTGGCACTTTATTGTATGACATGCCATTTCAGGCTGAGTAATTCCAGCACTTTGGGAGGCCGAGGCAGAGATCACCTGAGGTCGGGAGTTCGAAACCAGCCTGACCAACATAGAGAAATCCTGTCTCTACTAAAAATAAGAAAATTAACCGCGCATGGTGGCGCATGCCTGTAATCACAGCTACTCAGGAGGCTGAGGTAGGAGAATCGCTTGAACCTGGGAGTTGGAGGTTACGGTGAGCCAAGATCGGGCCATTACACTCCAGCCTGGGCAAGAAGAGCAAAACTCCCGTCTCAAAAAAAAAAAAAAAAAAAAAGAAATGTCATTTCAAAATGTATAGCTGTAGTTTTTCCATAGTCACTAGTAATATTATTCTCACTGTGATTAACTAGTAGTACTATTTATGTAGATTTAGACTCATAAAGGAGCAGAGAGAGCAAAGGAAGAGAATTATTTTTCATGAAAATAATGAGAAAATTTAGGAGAGCATGAGAAAGGAGGATTTGGGAGTAAAGTTAATAGATGAAAGGCACAAGAGAGGGAATAGAACTGAAGGAGAAAACTGCATGTATGAGTTTCCCTAACAGGGAAAGAAAGGTGAAGAGACGTCAGAAATTTCCAAGCTTTGCCACCAGGTGGCGGCATGAGATTAGATGACAGTATTTTAGCTGAAGGCAGCAGCAACTGAAGGGTAGTGAGGGTGAGATACATAAAAATCACATGAGCTGGATATTCACAACACAGGAGGCTCAGGATTTGTGAAGCGGTAAGCCATGGGTTAGAATATATATCAAGTTATAGCAAGAATATATATTAAATTATGTGTTAGAATATATAATAAGGGACGCAAACCTAGTTGAACTTATTTTTTAAGATGTTGTCTCCCTCTGTCACCCAGGCTGGAGTGCAATGGCGCCGTCTTGGCTCACTGCAACCTCTGCCTCCAGGATTCCAGCGATTCCTGTCTCAGCTTCCCAGGTAGCTGGGATTACAGACACATGCCACCACATCCGGCTAATTTTGTGTGTGTGTGTGTGTGTGTGTGTGTGTGTGTGTGTGTGTGTGTGTGTGTGTTTTCAGTAGAGTTAAGGTTTCCCCATGTTGGCTAGGCTGCTCTCAAACTCCTGACTTAGGTAATCCGCCCGCCTTGGCCTCCCAAAGTTCTGGGATTACAGGTATGAGCCACTGCGCCCGGCCTAGTTTAACACTTTAAAGAATCTATTTATCTAGTACAGGCCATGGCTCACACCTGTAATCCCAGCACTTTGGCAGGCTGAGGCCAGGGGTTGATCACCTGAGGTCAGGAGTTTGAGACCAGCCTGGCCAACATGGGGAAACGCCATCTCTACTAAAAATACAAAAATTACCCGAGCGTGGTGGCCTGCACCTGTAGTCCCAGCTACTCTGGAGGCTGAGACAGGAATCGCTTGAACCCTGGAGGCAGAGGCTGCAGTGAGCCAAGATCATGCCACTCACATTCCAGCCTGGGCAAGAGAGCAAGACTTCATCTAAAAAAAAAAATCTGTCTAGTTTAGTATATTAACATTTTTCTTTTAGACAGGGTTTTGCTCTGTCCTCCAAACTGGAGTGCAGTGACATGATCATGGTTTACTGAAGCCTCAACATCCCAGGCACAAGCAATCCTCCCACCTTAGCCTCTCGAGAAGCTGGGACCACATGTGTGCTTCACTACACCTGGCTAATTTTTCTTTCTTTTTTTTTTTTTTTTTTGGTTGGGGAGGGTGGGACATGAGGTCTCACTATGTTGCCCAGGCTGGTCTTGATCTCCTGGGCTCAAGCAATCCTCCTGGGATTACAAGCATGAGCTGCTGCACTCAGCCAACA